>NC_000011.10:666060-969090 GCF_000001405.40 Homo sapiens | reverse complement strand
CTCTGCTGCCACAGCGTGAAGGAACGCAGGCTGGGAAGACAGCCCAGCTGCGACAGCCGCTCTGGCCCCCTTCTTGTGAAGGGCTGGGGCGCTCACACCTCCACGGACGACCTCAACTGTGTAGAATACAGACCGGCCACATTTCCTGGGGAACGGTGCATCACCAGTCGGCCAGTCAGCTGCATGCTGCACTCTGAGGAGCTCATGAGAAACCCCCCTCCTTGTCAGCGGCAAATTAACATAATTTAAAAGACCAGATGATATAAATAAAAGCAGACCCGACCTGGTTCCTCCCTCCCCCGGCCCCGACCCACTTATCTGCTTGCTGTGCCCAAGGGGTCCCAGCAGACACGTTCTCCGTGCCCTGTTTGTGCAGGAGGGCACACACAGCTGAGCACGGGCTGCGCAGCAGAGATCCTCCACTGGGAAGCCCCAGCACCGTGTCTCCTACCCAGCCCAGATTCCATCACCCGCTGGAAGCCGCCTTGGACAACCACAGCCAAAAATACTGCTTGACCTCCTCCTCCCTCCGGAGACTTCCCTGTTACTCAAAGCACCTCTCAAAGGAAAAAATAACTGACAGGGGAGAGGACCAGCGGCCCGACTGGGCTGAGTTTTGTGGGACAGGGATGGGGACGGGGATGGAGACGGGGATGGGAACAGGGGCGGAGACGGAGACAGGCTCTCTCCGAGAGGAGCCGACCAGCCTCTGCTCCCGCGGGACCCCAGACGAAGAGCTGCTCTAGAGCTCCCGGGTGCTGGGAAACTTAGGCCCACCTTTAGAAGCTGAGCCCACTGGTCAGTGAGGGTGATGCAGGATCACCTCTGGGCCTCCCAGAGATGTCACAGAGCACTCCCCTGGGCACACCACCCCTGTTGCATAAGCACCGTGAGGGGCAGCGGAAGTCGCCAGCGCGAGGAGAAAGCCACAGTGCTCGGCCCGCTGCTCATGTGGCAGCACGTGGATTCCTGGCCTAACCCAGGGCCACAGGAAACAAGCAGCAATGCTCGCTCCACACCCTCACCCATCTCGGTGGGGCAGGTGGCAGGTGAGCCCGCCAGCTCCCCTGGCAGGTGCCACTGTGAAGTTTATCCCTCCTGAAAGGACCCAGACTGATACAGTCTTCAAAATGCTGGTTTCAGTACTAGGCTAGAATTACTTTTTTATTCTAGTAATTTCAAAATGTTGAGTTGAACTTTAATATTCTGAGCTATAAAAGGCAGAGGATAACAGTAATATCTGTCTCCTTGGTTTGTGCAGATCAGAGGAGAGATGGCTGGAAAACCTCATCCTAAACCATAAAAGGATCACGATTAAGTTTGGGCTCCAGTCTGAAAGATGCAGCCACTTGCTTGTCTTGTGGTCTCAGACGTATTCCTTAACCTCTCTGAGCCCAACTTTCTCAGCAGGTTACTATAAAAATGAAACAGGGCCGCGCATGGTGGCTCACGCCTGTAATCCCAGCACTTTGGGAGGCTGAGGCAGGAGGATCATGAGGTCAGGAGATAGAGACCATCCTGACTAACACGGTGAAATCCTGTCTCTACTAAAAATACAAAAATAAGCCGGGCGTGGTGGCGGGCGCCTGTAGTCCCAGCTACTCGGGAGGCTGAGGAAGGAGAATGGCATGAACCCGGGAGGCAGAGGTTGCAGTGAGCCGAGATCGCGCCACTGCACTCCAGCCTGGGTGACAGAGCGAGACTCCATCTCAAAAAAATAAAATAAAATAAAAAAATAAAACGAAACAGCACAGCACGGACGGAGCATCAGGTGTCTGAGGCAACGTAAGGTCACAACACAGGTTCATGAGCACCATCTTTCACTGACTCATCAGATGCACACAGACTTCACAGACGATAAAATGTGACAAAATGTCTACCTCATAATGACTGAAACCTGCTTGGTTATTTTTGTTTTGTTTTTCCCAGACAGTCTTGCTCTGCTGCCCAGGCTGGAGTGCAGTGGTGCAATCTTGGCTCACTGCAACCTCCACCTCCCAGGTTCAAGCGATTCTCGTGCCTCTGCCTCCCGAGTAGCTGGGATTACAGGCACACGCCACCACACCCAGCCAATTTTTTTATTTTTAGTAGAGATGGGGTTTCACCATGTTGGCCAGGCTGGTCTCAAACTCCTGACCTCGTGATCTGCCCTCCTCGGCCTCCTAAAGTGCTGGGATTACAGGCGTGAGCCACCACGCCTGGCCTGGTATTTTTTTATAACAAAATATCAAGTAGAATAAGATAAACTGGAGAGTGAGTCAGGAACCAGAGCCTCCACGCCTTCTCTTGACCTGAAAGTTGGGAAAAGGGACAGTGCCCTGACTGGCCACCAGCCATCTGGTCACCAGCCAGAGGCACTGCTGGCTCTACACTCTCCAACCCACACAGCCTGCATGAGGCTCACACCCTCGGGGGCAGGGTGGGAACTCCTTCCACTTCCTCACCAATGCACACCAGCCCCAACAACAGTGTGTGGCACAAGGCAGTTGCTCAGTCTTTGCCTTTTACATCAATGAATTAATAATCAAGCAAACTCACGGTAAAATGAAAAACAGGCTGCCCAAGTGAAAGAAAAAGTAAAGTGTTTTGTCTGGAGACAAGGTCTCCCTCTGCCACCCAGACTGGAGTGCAGTGGCATGACCACAGCTCACTGCAGCCTCAACCTCCTAGGCTCAAGTGATCCTCCCACCTCAGCCTCCCAAGTGGCTGGGACCACAGGCATGTGCAACCACACACGGCTAATTTTTTGTACTTTTAGTAGAGATTTTTAGGGTTTCACCACGTTGCCCAGGATGGTCTTGAACTCCTGAGCTTAAGTGATCTGCCTGCCTCGGCCTCCCAAAGTGCTAGGATTATAGGCACGAGCCACCGCGCCTGGCCTATTTAGCAAATTAATGTGCACAACCTGGAAAACTCCTGGAGATGATCAGTCATAAGAAATTCCCAGTCAGGTGCAGTGGCTTACGCCTGTAATCCCAGCACTTTTGGGAGGATTCACTTGAGGTGGGTGAGTTCACCTGAGGCCATGAATTTGTGATCAGCCTAGGAAACACAGCGAGACCCCATCTCTACAAGTTTTACAATTTGCTGGGCGTGGTGGTGCACACCTGTAGCCCTAGCCACTCGGGAGGTGGAAGCAGGAGGATGACCTGAGCCCAGGAAGTCAAGGCTGCAGTGAGTTAGGATCATGCCACAGCACTCCAGCCTGGGCAACAGAACAAGACCCTGTCTCTTTAAAAAAGAAAGAAACTACCATGTCTCTGTAGAGTATGAGAACACAACAGTTGTTTTCTAAAGGCTTAAAGATGGAAGGCACACCTGTGAACATCCCAGTAACTCCCCTGGGCTCCCACTAGCATGGCAGGTGCACATAAGCACTGATTTCTTGCCCATGCGTCTGCAGGTCAGCCGGGGCCACCGTCAAGACACCGTCAGATCTGGACGGGCCTGCTGTGCATGGCTCTGCTCCAGGCCCACACCACCCAAAGCACATCCTTACCATAGCAGAGGTAGGAAGAGCCCAGAGGGGAGACTCCCTTAAAGCCAAAGTTGGGACTGACATGAACACTTTTCTCCACACACCTTAGGCCACACATCAGATGGTCACACCTAACAACCCTCATTAAAGGATAAAGATCACAGGGAAGCCATTTGGGCCTACAGTCTTCTTGATGGCAAACAAATACGGTTTCAACTCTCTGAAGTTCACTGCACTACTGAAGAAACTCCACAGACAGACATAACCACGAGACACAACACACTGGCGTTACCTACACATCTCCCGCTGTCCTGCCCATTCCATTCTTTCCACCTCCACGCTTCCATCTGGGATTATTTCCTTTAATTTCCCGCCCGTTCCATGCTTTCCACCTCCACGCTTCCATCTGGGATTATTTCCTTTAATTTCCCGCCCGTTCCATGCTTTCCACCTCCACGCTTCCATCTGGGATTATTTCCTTTAATTTCCCGCCCGTTCCATGCTTTCCACCTCCACGCTTCCATCTGGGATTATTTCCTTTAATTTCCCGCCCGTTCCATGCTTTCCACCTCCACGCTTCCATCTGGGATTATTTCCTTTAATTTCCCGCCCGTTCCATGCTTTCCACCTCCACGCTTCCATCTGGGATTATTTCCTTTAATTTCCCGCCCGTTCCATGCTTTCCACCTCCACGCTTCCATCTGGGATTATTTCCTTTAATTTCCCGCCCGTTCCATGCTTTCCATCTCCACGCTTCCATCTGGGATTATTTCCTTTAATTTCCTGCCCGTTCCATGCTTTCCATTTCCACGCTTCCATCTGGGATTATTTCCTTTGGCATTTCCTTTAACACAGGCCTTCTGGTAGGAAATTCTTTCCATTTCTGTCTTCGGCAGGTATTTTTTAGCTTCATTTTTGTTGTTGTTGTTGTTGTTGTTCACAACATTTTATTAAAAAAAAATAGGAAAAGTGAGACTGTGGCATTGACCATGTAGCAGGGTGGTAGCACTCCAGCCCATGCTCTGGCCAAACCGACTTCAGCCTTACATGCAGGCTGCCTACCAATTCAGGAACAGGGCCCCAAATTAATTCCCTTTGAGGCCAACCAGATTCCCCTAACACCCCATCAAGCTTTTTCTGCCCTGTTCATCTGCAGGTGAACCCCAGATCCTGCCCACCCCAGAATATGCCAATTTTTATTATCTAAAATGGAGCCTACAGACTGGTGCCCCGCAGAGAAGCCCCAGAACTCCAGGTCAGAGCTGAAGCTGCAGTCAGACCCACAGGCTCCCTTGAAGCAGGATGGTTCGTGATGCCCCACTCAAACAGGGTAGCTTCATTGTTGAAAGGTATTTTTGTTGGATATCGATTCTTTCCCTGGTTGTAACCTTCCCAACATTTTGAGGTTGTGTAGAGCACCCCCATGTCAAGACACCCAGCGGCAAGTCTGGAAGAGGACTGGCTCACTGACAGTTCACTCTGCCCTACGGGTATTCCCTCTGGTGAGGCCTTCAGTTCACAGTGGAAGGGGGTCTCCAGTCTTTGACTATCATCCCTCTAGACAAGGCTCCTCAGCCCTGGCACCACTGACATCCTGGCTGACGCCTCTGTTGTGGGGGCCACTCTATGCACTTCGGTTGTTTAACAGCCTCCCACCTCCACCCACGAGTGGACCCACACTCCTAGGGGCCAGGTGCAGTGGCTCATGCCTATAATCCCAGCACTTTGGGAGGTCAAGGCAGACCGATCTCTTGAGCCCATAAGTTTGAAACCAGCCTAGGTAACATGGCAAGACCCCATCTCTACAAAACTTTTTTTAAATGTTAGCCAGGCGTGGTGGTGCGCGCCTGTGGTCCCAGTTACTTGGGAGGCCAAGGTGGAAGGATGGCTTGAGCCCGGGGGGTTGAGGCTGCGGTGAGCTGTGATTGCACTGGGCAGCCTGGTCAACAGAGCAAGATCTTGTCTCAGTAAATCAATAGATCAATCAATTGATCAACTGTTTTCAACAGAAGGGTTGCTCTAAATCAGCAGTGCTCACACAGCAGCCTCATGCCACATGCGGTCAGTGAGCAAGTGAAACAGCCAGTACAAAGTGAGACTCACTCTTAAGTGTGACACACACACCAGACTTCAAAGACCTGGTATAAAATAACTCGGTACCTTGTTTTTTTTTTAGTTTTTTTTTCTGAGACAGAGTCTCACTCTGTCGCCCAGGCTGTAGTGCACTGGCACGATCTCGGCTCACAGCAACCTCTGCCTCCTAGGTTCAAGCGATTCTCCTGCCTCAGCCTCCCGAGTAGCTGGGATTACAGGTGCCCGCCACCATGCCCAGCTAATTCTTGTATCTTTAATAGACACGGGGTTTCACCATGTTGGTCAGGCTGGTCTCAAACTCCTGACCTCAACTGATCCAGCCACCTCGGCCTCCCAAAGGGCTGGAATTACAGGCATGAGCCATCGTGCCAGCCAGTTTTTTTTTCAATTGATTACAACGAAATTTTAGATATACTGAACTAAATAAAATATATTATTAATTTCATTTGCTCCTTTTTACTTTTTTTCAATGAGGCTGCCAGAGCCTTTAGACCTATGAATGTGACTGATACTCTATTTCTAAATTGGACAGCACAGCTCTAAGTCATCTCATCTACCCACAGCTGGCAGGGCAGGCCTCAGGCAGCACATTTCTTACGGACAAGGAGTAGATTTTCTTCTATGTCTGCTGCCACCACCCAGGGTACGCGCGTGCTCAACAAAAGCCAACAGATCACTGTGTAGGAGGGGCCACCTTCCCTATCTAGGACAGCCAGACAGGCATGAAGTCTCCTTTAGTCCCAAAACATTTATACAGAATTTATAAAACAAAATTTTTTTTTTTTTGAGACAGAGTCTTGCTGTGTCTCCCAGGCTGGAGTGCAATGGCGAGATCTCGGCTCACTGCAACCTCCGCCTTCCCAGTTCAAGCGATTCTCCTGACTCAGCCTCCCAAGTAGCTGGGACTATAGGCACGCGCCTCCACACCCAGCTAATTTTTCTATTTTTAGTAAAGATGGGGTTTCACCATGTTGGCCAGGCTGGTCTCGAACTCCCGACCTCAATCGATCCGCCCGCCTCAGCCTCCCACAGTGCTGGGTTACAGGCGTGAGCCACCACGCCTGGCCAGAGAGTTTGTAAATTTAACAGCCTAGCAAAGTCTTTGAAGTTACACCTCAACACATTAGATGATTCTTCTGAAACCTATAAAAACCTCCCATTCGAATTTCATCTTCACCATTCTGAAGGCCATGAACTCTTTTCACAATAACAAAATGGATTCACACTGGCTGGGTGCTGGTTTCCTTTCAAGCAATTTCTATGCATTTCCTCATTTCCTCACAATGAGCACAGCAGACGCAGATCCCATTCAGTGAAGGCCCAGTGACACCAAGAGTAAGGCTGGCTTTGTCATGGTCCGGCTCCCCCAGGTTGAGAGCCACGGCTGAGCAAGAGGGTGCCAGGGCGCAGCCCTTTCAACCCAGTGCCACCACCTCCAGCCGGCAATCTGGGCTCCCGAGCTCCCTGATGGGCAGGTGGCGGCGACTGTCAGACCCACATCTCCATCTGCTTCCGCCCTTTACTTTTCACTAGTGGTGGCGACTGTCAGACCCACATCTCCATCTGCTTCTGCCCTTTACTTTTCACTGGTGGCGGCGACTCTGTCAGACCCACATCTCCATCTGCTTCCGCCCTTTACTTTTCACTGGTGGCGGCGACTCTGTCAGACCCACATCTCCATCTGCTTCCGCCCTTTACTTTTCACTCGTGGCGGCGACTCTGTCAGACCCACATCTCCATCTGCTTCCGCCCTTTACTTTTCACTGGTGGCGGCGACTATCAGACCCACATCTCCATCTGCTTCCGCCCTTTACTTTTCACTGGTGGCGGCGACTGTCAGACCCACATCTCCATCTGCTTCCGCCCTTTACTTTTCACTGGTGGCAACTCTGTCAGACCCACATCTCCATCTGCTTCTGCCCTTTACTTTTCACTGGTGGCAACTCTGTCAGACCCACATCTCCATCTGCTTCTGCCCTTTACTTTTCACTGGTGGTGGCGACTGTCAGACCCACATCTCCATCTGCTTCTGCCATTTACTTTTCACTGGTGGTGGCGACTCTGTCAGACCCACATCTCCATCTGCTTCTGCCCTTTACTTTTCACTAGTGGTGGCGACTGTCAGACCCACATCTCCATCTGCTTCTGCCCTTTACTTTTCACTGGTGGTGGCGACTCTGTCAGACCCACATCTCCATCTGCTTCTGCCCTTTACTTTTCACTGGTGGCGGCGACTGTCAGACCCACATCATCTGCTTCTGCCCTTTACTTTTCACTGGTGGTGGTGACTGTCAGACCCACATCTCCATCTGCTTCTGCCCTTTACTTTTCACTGGTGGCGGCGGCTGTCAGACCCACATCTCCATCTGCTTCTGCCCTTTACTTTTCACTGGTGGTGGTGACTGTCAGACCCACATCTCCATCTGCTTCTGCCCTTTACTTTTCACTGGTGTCACTCTGAATAAATCTTCTGTACACAGCCCATTTCAGAGTCCACATCCTGGAGAACCCAACTTGAGATCACTGGTTTCCCCATTCTACAGTTAAGAACAAAGGTGCACACCGGGCGCAGAGGCTCACGCCTGTAATTCCAGCACTCTGGGAGGCCAAAGCAGGTGGATCACCTGAGGTTGGGAGTTCGAGACCAGCCTGACCAACATGGAGAAACCCCCGTCTCTACTAAAAATACAAAAACCAGCCGTGTGGGGTGCAGTGGCTCACGCCTGTAATCCCAGCATGTTGGGAGGCTGAGGCAGGTGGATCACTTGAGGTCGGGAGCTCAAGACCAGCCTGACCAACATGGAGAAACCCCATCTCTACTAGAAGTACAAAAATCAGCCAGGCCAGGCACAGTGGCTCACGCCTGTAATCCCAGCATGTTGGGAGGCTGAGGCAGGTGGATCACTTGAGGTCGGGAGTTCGAGACCGGCCTGACCAACATGGAGAAACCCCGTCTCTACTAAAAGTACAAAAATCAGCTGGGCCGGGCACAGTGGCTCATGCCTGTAATCCCAGCACTTTGGGAGGCCGAGGCGGGCAGATCACTTGAGGCCAGGAGTTTGAGACCAGCCTGGCCAACATGGAGAAATCTCGTCTCTACTAAATAAAATTACAGGCATGTGGTGGCACACGCCTGTAATCCCAGCTACTCGGGAGGCTGAGGCAGGAGAACCGCTTGAACCTGGAAGGCGGAGGTTGCGGTGAGCCAAGATCGTGCCACTGCACTCCACACTGAGCGACAGAGCAAGACTCCATCTCAAAAAAAAAAAAAGAAAAGAAAAGAAACTACTGGATATCCATTCTCAAGCCCTCAAAAGCACCCATCCCATGAAACTCCAGTTGTCCCCAAGCTGTGTTCTGCCTGTCCCTCCAGTTCCACAGGGGTCAGGCTCAGCCCTCTCCCCGACTCATTGTGCCTGGGCAATTTCAGCTACACCGTGGCTAAGGTATGCTCAGGGAGGTGAGCCAGGTTGCAAATCTGTAAACATTAACTGAAAAATTAAGGCTTTAAGGATTAACTGGGGTTTCAAAAATGTCCCAAGGGCTGAAAACTAAATCCGTACTTCACAATTCTTCAAAGTAAGGATGTTCAGGGAAGGCACTCAGCCCACACACTGGCTCACAGAGAGGCAGTCCACCGAGCGCAGGTCAGGTCCCTGTTGACCGTCAGCAGGAGGCGTTCGGTGGCGCCTTACACAGAGCACTTCCCGTACTTGGTGTCTGTCCTCTGAACCCCCAGCACGCTGGCCTGGTGGCTAATACTGCGACATGCAGCTGGGCACTAGACCAGTGCTGTTCCAGCTCCAGGAAAAGACCAGACACCAGGAGGGGCTGCCCCACCTAACCAGCTCCACACATGCCATTTCCTAATTCTGACAGGGCCCTGATAGAAACTGTACAAACTGAGAACTTCACTTTAGTGTGGGAGAAAAGAAGACAGTATTAAAAGACTGGGTTCTTACTACAGAAAATTTACAACAGGACATTTCATGGAAAAGGTTAAACATACTTACCTTTAAATTTTGATCTGATATTTGCCAGTTCCTTGTTTATCCTTTTTATTTCTGCTTCTTTACTTTTACCTAAAAAAAAGAACAAAAAGCCATTTTTATTTTAATTGATTTCTAAAGAAACACCATTTCCCTGATAAGACTGACACTCAGAACTCACGAATGGGATGAGGCCCCGTTTCAAGGCAGGAGAAAAGCCGAAGCAGACACCTGCCTCCAACCCAGAGCCGGCAGGAAGGGGCTGCAGCAGGGCCGGGGCCGGGACTGAGCCTAGGGGAAAGGGAGTGCCTGGGTCAGGACAGCAAAGGAGCGAGTCCTGAACCGCCCGGGCCAGCCGCTGCGCACCCAGGGGGTGCTCCACAGCACCATTTCTAACTCTACCTCTTTACCAAGCTCAGAACTCAAATATCTTGCTGGATGTTTGCCATGATAAATCGTCATCCGCTAATAACACGGAGGTTTACTCCTAAAATCAACTTCCACTGCCAAAAGCACACAGTTTTACTACTATAGGCTTTCAATTTTCTTTTATAAATTCACCTCCACAGTTTCTTCCTCGATCAACTGCAGTCGCAAAACAGATGCAGCCTCTGCAACACGCATCCTTCAAGACTCAGCTCAGATGTGCCCGTTGAAATCAGCCTGCCTCCCCTGCCGTATGGACTGAATGTTTCTGTCCCCTCAAAATTCGCATGCTGAAGCCCTAACCCCAATGTCATAGTATCTGAAGATGGAACCTTTGGAAGGTGGCTGGGTTTAGATGGGGTCATGAGGTGGGCCCTCATGATGGGATTAGCACTCCTACAAGAGAAGTCCTCAGCAAATATGGTTAGGTACTAATATCATTAATAATATTAGGAGTGCTCCCACCAACAGCCCCAAAGGCTAGCTTCTGTCCAAAGCAGGAAAGACTGATCTATTCAGTCTATCTGTTGATAGACATTACAACCTATCTGTTGTCAAATCTAGTCATTTAAAATAGTCTTTCTTTTTGGCTTATCCATCCCCAATGGCAATCAAAATACCTGAACTGACACATTTCAATTTCATGTGTCTCATTTGAAAGCAATGCCCAGGATCTGTAATTCCTCATGGTCATAAAATGATGGAATGTCAGGGCTACAGGTCCCTTAGTCTGCTCCGGCTGCCATGACAAAACACCCCAGACGGGGCGGCTGAAACACTTCATCTTCTCACAGGCCTGCAGGCTGGAAGCCTGTGAGCAACACACCAGCAGGGTGGTTTCTGGTGAGGGCTCTCTTCCTGGCTTGCAGACAGCCACCTTCTGTGTGCTCACGTGGCCTTTCTTTGACGCATGCTTATGAAGCGAGCACGCTCTCTCTTCCTCTTACAAGGCCACCAATCCTACAGGATTAGGACCCCACCTCTATGACTTCATTTAACCTTAAATGCCTCCTGAAAGCCCTGTCTCCAAATCCAGTCACACTGGGGTTGGGGCTTCAGCATATGAACTGGGGTGGAGCCACGGAGGCAACTCGGTCCACAGCTAGAGGGAACCTTAAAGACGGACTGATGCATTTGTTCCGTAAATATCCACTGAGCACCTACAACTGTCCACACATGGTGCTGGGCACCAAGGCACAAGGATGAGCAAAAACAGACATGGTCTCTGTTACCCTCACGGAAGACACAGTCTGGCAGAAGACTGTTACTGACCAAGCAGTCGCACACCTATTTAATCACCATGTGCTGTGTAAGGAAAGCAGATGAAGCTAGGAGGGATTACGATACAGGGAGCAGGTCTGTGCTGCAGGGCAAACAGTTGTTGGTAGGAACATGAGGGCTTTCCTACAAAATCTGACAAGTCCACTTGCATAATATCCAATTGTGATATTATACATACATACTGGTTTTCATCTACAGTTCCTGGCTCAAAACTCTCACAGCTCTTGTTATTTTTTCCCCAAGGCAGGCCATAAGACTAACAAGGGACTCTAACCACCCCCAGCCTTTCTGTCGTGGAGCTGGCCATAAATTCTCTGACCTACCTTGTCTGACTGTGGGTCACAAGACCCACATTTCTGAAGGGGCCCTGCCCCACACCCCGGGGGAAGGAACGCCGCACAGATAGGCCGGGAAGAATCTGCACAGACAGGCCCTGCTGGGTTTAGATCACACCCTTTTGGTCCAGTCCCATTTGTACACAGCTGTCAATCATGCCTATCCAATGAAGTCTGCACAAAAGGCCCAGGAGGACAGGGTTTGGGGAACGTCCAGATAACTGAACACATGGGGATCCCTGGAGGGACATGGAGCGGCCATGGCCCGGTACCATGCCCTACGCATCACGTCACCTGCACCCTTCATACTAGCTTTTATGATCAAATAAATGTGTTTCCCTGAGTTCTGTGAGCCTCTCTAGCAAACTAATTGAATCCAAAGAGGGGGTCGTGAGATGTCCATTCACAGTCTGTCATGCACAAGCACAGGTCACAACCTGAGGCTTGAGGCTAACATGAGAAGTAGGGGGTAGCCCTGGGACTCCCCTGCAGGATCTGACACTACCTCCAGGTAGACGGTGTCAGAATCAAGCTGGAGGACACCCCGCTGGTGCCTGCTGCAGAACTGATAGCTTGTTTGCCGATGGGGAGAAACCCCCACATATTCTGGGGTCACAGAAGTCTTCTGTGTTGTAGTGGGACAGCAGAGGAATGTTAGCTTCAAGTCTTTTTTTCAGCTCACACCCATGAAATGTGGGAATTCTCCATTGTACAAAAGAGGGAAAACGCACATTAGATGTGTGACAATCAAACTTTCAGTACACGCTAAATCTATTGCTAAAGGGACCTCGCTCAACAAACACTTGCATGTATGTCACAAGCCAGGCAAGGGAGAGAGATGAGACCACGTGTAGTTTAACTCTACCTGGACCAGCTGTGAAAACTGAGGCTTAAAGAGTACAAGTGATTTTAATAGGGATACACATGTTTAACAAGCACTGTCAAAATACAATTATTCATCACACAGGGTAAGGTGAGTTGTGTGCAAAAACAACTTTGTGTACATTTAAGTCACTTTTTATTCTATTTTTTAAAAAATTAAAAATATGGCCAGGCATGGTGGTGCCTCATCAGAGGCAGGTGGGTCGCCTGAGGTCAGGAGTTGGAGACCAGCCTAGCCAACGTGGCGAAACCCCGTCTCTACTAAAAATACAAAAATTAGCCAGGCGTGGTGGCGCATGCCTGTAATCCCAGCTACTTGGGAGGCTGAGACAGACGAATCACTTGAACCCAGGAGGCAGAGGCTGCAGTGAGGCGAGATGACAGAGCAAGATTCCATCCCCAGAAAGAAAAAAAAAGAAAAAAGAAAAAATAGAGACAAGTTCTCACTACGGTATTTGGGCTGGTCTCGATCTCCTGAGCTCAAGCAATCCTCTCACCTTGGCCTCCTAAAGTGCTGGGATTACAGGTGTGAGCCACTGCACCTGGCCCTAAGTCACTTTTTTAAAGCAATAATAAAGCTGACTATTTAAAAAACCTTCTCAAGTGAGTCTTTGGTTTAAGGATCTCCAGCTGAAGTAAAAGGCCTCTGCAGCAACCCATCCACATCAGAACACGACACAAGCGGCCCCGCCAGGCCTGGTGTGCACAGATCAGAGGACAAAGAGCTCACCCCTGCCCTACGCAGTCACAGGGCCGAACTCCACCACTGCTGCTTCCAAAACTGATCTTGCCTCCCCCACAGGACAAGCTCCCTCCTCCAGAATATCTTTTGTCTTTTACTACACATTTGCTAATAAATAAGGTTGAATGTTTCCTGAACCGAACAAACACTCCTTTGAGCCAGTCCTACCCTAGAAAACTTCAGATGGACAGGTGGTCAGAACAGGAAAATCAAGTGCCTATGTGGCGGCTCCCCGACCCAAGCACTGTCCCAGGTGCTGGGAACACAACAGCTTCTGCCCTCAGGGGACCTTTAACAAAACACAGACACACCCAAACCTCCTGTCCCAGTCAGTCTCTCTTCCCAGCCCTGAAAGCTGCTCACAGCAGTGACCCCTGGGCAGGCTGCCCAGCGTCTCAGCATCCCCACTCCTCTCTGTATGATGGCTGACCAGCGGACGGCTCCACAAGAAAGCAGGACAGCAGGTACAGGAGGATGCTGGCAGCCTGATGCCCCCCAGGATGGCAGGTTTTTTGGACTTGGCTGAAAGAGTCACGAAAACAGTGTCTTGGGAGCTTCTGCCACACAAAGCCTGCAGGCAGCTTCACACAGCTGGGACTGCGCATGGGTGAGGCACTCTGCACTGGGTGCGGTGTGCCAGTGTGCGTGTGCCTATGTGTGCATGCCACTGTGTGTGTACATGTGTGCTTCTCACAAAGGTGTACACAGATCTGTGCTATTAAGTCTGCAACAGGGGACCTTGCGCTCTCTCCCTGGTTTGTGCCCTCTACTTTACCCACCCAAACACCAGGGAAAGAAACCACTCTGAGGGGGAACTTATGTTGTCCAGAATCAACAGAGCTCAGATCTAAAGCAGAAATACTAAAAACCTGGGGGCAGGAGAAAGAGGAAATACTACTACATGAGCTAAATCAACTTTCCTAAACGGAATCTACAGATTTTATATAAGGTTGTGAAACCACAAACTAAAACAAACAGCACATAATGTAGAGTTATAGAGGTAACCACCAGGAGAAACAGGCAGTTAACCCCCCTCCTCTGTGGGACAGAAACAGAGACAAGTTCCAGCTTCCCATCCACAGCTTGCTTTTAATTGCCCAATTTTCAACACACACACACACAAATACACACACACACACACCAAATACACACATGCACACATTTACAAACACACATGAATACACATTTATACAAACACAAATACACATATATACACACAAATACACGTACAAGCACACATAAACCAAATACACACAAATACACAAATGTACACGCCACACACAAATATACATATACACACATTTACAAACACACATAAATACAAATACACAGATACACAGAAATACACACGTACACAAACACAAATACAACATATATACACAAATATAAACACAAATACAACATATATACACATATACATACATACACATAAACACAAATACATACACACACACAAATACACACATGTACACACACATGCATAAATACAAATATACGCATACACACACACTTTAAAACGAGGGCAGGCCAGCCCCTGAGGAGGGGGAGAAGCATGGAAGGTGATGACAAGAGTGAACTTTGGGGCCAGCACGTGAGGTGGGAATCCAAGTGAGGTGGGAATCCAAGTGCAGCCTTTGACTCATTCTGCTGTGCCTCTGAGCTCCAGCTCCCTCAAAAGGAAAGCCACCAACGGCCGTACAACCTCACGGCATCATGTCTGTGCAAGAGAAGGTAGAGAGGCCAGGCACAGTGACTCACGTCTGCACTTTGGGAGGCTGAGGCGGGCGGATCACCTGAGGTCAGGAGTTCAAGACCAGCCTGGCCAGCATGGTGAAACCTCGTCTCTACTAAAAATACAAAAATTAGCCAGGCATGGTGGCAGGCGCCTGCAATCCCAGCTACTCAGGAAGTTGAGGCAGAAGAATCGCTTGAACCCAGGAGGCGGAGGTTGCAGTGAGCCGAGATCGCGCCATTGCACTACAGCCTGGGCAACAGAGCAAGACTCCATCTCAAAAAAAAAAAAAAAGAGAGAAGGTAGAGAGAAGAGTAGTGTCACGTCTCGGCCAGACCTGAGGACAGGAGAGCCTAAGCAGCCCCAGTATCCACAGAGGGCTGAGCATGATGCAAGAACCAGGGATGGAGTGACCTGGCCCAGCGCCCCTACTGAGCAGAGACGACGCAAAAGCAGGAAAAAGGGGAGGTGCAGGGACAGCAGGCAGACGGAGGCAGACGGAGGCAGACGGAGCCAGGACGGAGCCAGGGACTTCCAACTGCAGCTGCCAGGCAGGCCACTGTGTGAAGACAATGGGGGGGGGGGGCTCTTACGGTAGAAAAGCCACCCAGACCATGCCTCCTCTGACAGTTCAGGAAAACTAATTTCACATAAAAATACGCATTCAGGCTAGGCGCAGTGGCTCACGCCTATAATCCCAGCACTTTGGGAGACTGAGGCAGGTGGATCACTTGAAGTCAGGAGTTTGAGACCAGCCTGGGCAACATGGTGAAATCCTGTCTCTAGTAAAAACACAAAAATTAGCTGGGCATGGTGGCGTGCGCCTGTAATCCCAGCTACTGGGGAAGCTGAAGTGGAAGAATTGCCTGAACCCGAGAGGCAGAGGTTGCAGTGAGCCGAGATCACACCACTGCACTCCAGACTGGGCGACTGGGTGACAGAGAGAGAGGCTGTCTCAAAAACAAGAAAGACAATCCAGCACGACCATGGCTGAGATGACGGATGATGACCTGCAGGCAAGACTGACACATTCAAGTCAACTACCATGTCCCAAATTTACCAAAAACGCTCTAGTAGAAGCTGCATGATCAACGCAGCACCCCTGCAGTCATGACGGACGCAGGTAACAATCTGAGCCCTCCAGTGCCTGTCAGGGGCTCTCCTGTAAAGGAGCAGAGCGTGCTCCTGGCCAGGCACCAATTCGTGCCACTGACACTGCACTGATCTCCATAAGGCAGAGGGCCTCACAGGAGGACTTCAACCACCCCACCGTGCCGGGAACAGATCTAGCAAAAAAATCTTATCTTTTTAGATAAATTAGCTTGAGGAGAAGCGGGGAGGAGCTGAATTCTGAAAGGGTAAAGCATGAGCAAGAGTAACTGACCCACAGCAACAAGCCCAGCCACACAGAGTCTGATCTTTGTTAAAGAGTAACTGACCCACAGCAACAAGCCCAGCCCCACACACAGTCTGATCTTTGTTAAAGAGACGCTGGCCACAGTCATCCTGCACTATTCCTGTCTGAAATGCAGCCAGCCCATCAGCACTAAGGGTACTGTACTTGCATCAGGGAATTCTCGCAGTGAACTTAGGAGCTCTGGTGGCTAATGAGTAACCTGGACATGCCATAGCTACTGGCAAAAGCAAGTTACAATTTGCATTCCATGAAGTAGCAAAGAACACACTCTATAGGGGCAGGCTTGGATAAAAGCTCTTGAATTTTTACAATTATTGTCCCTGGTCATTCTTCAGGAACAGCATGCTGGTTAATGATTTCTTGTTTACAGGCTGAACTAATCAACAGAGAGGATTAGTATTCTGGGAACAGCCCAAGTTCCACAAAAAATAGTAAAGGAGCCTATGACAGATGATTATAAAATACCAAAGTACCAAAATCTTCTGTCCTTGCAATGTGCAGCAAAACTTGGTCTACAGAGTTTTAGTCTGTATATAAAGTGATTTCAGACTGGGCAGTGGCTCACGCCTATAATCCCAGCACCTTGGGAGGCTGAAGTGGGAGGGCTGTTTTGAGTCCAGGAGCTCGAGACCAGCCTAGGCAACATAGGGAGACCTGGTCTCCATAAATAATTTTTTAAAAAATTAGGTGTGGTGGTGCATGCCTGTGGTCCCAGCTACTAGGGAGGCTGAGGTGGGGGGAATCACCTGAGCCCAGGAAGTCAACACTCCAGTGAGCCAGGACAGACATCGCTGTACTCCAGCCTAGGCAACAAGGTGAGACTCTGTCTCAAAGAAATAAAGTGATTCCGCCGAGTAACCCAAAAGCCCAAAATTGACCAAGCCCAAGAATTTTTGAAGGAAGCTATAATTGCTAAAATTACTATTAAGGTGGTTAGCACAGCAGTCAGCCAAGCAAACTCTGAAATCAGGCCTGGACTGGAATGTCACTCCATGTTTTACTAGCTACGTGACCCTGGGCTATCAACTTAACCGCAACCTGCCTCGGTTTCTCTTCTTCAAATGGGTGTGCCATCAATGAAAGAGCTGTGATGAGAAGTGTGAAATAAGGAGCAAAGCACTGGTCCAGCCACGAGAAGCTACTGTGCCCATCACCAGGGATAAACTCACACGTTCTTTTTTTTTTTTTGAGACGGAGTCTCGCCCTGTCACCCAGGCTGGAGTGTGGTGGCACGATCTCGGCTCACTGCAACCTCCACCTCCCAGGTTCAAGCAATTCTCCTGCCTCAGCCTCCCAAGTAGCTGGAATTACAGGCGCCTGCCACTACGCCCAGCTAATTTTTGTATTTTTAGTAGAGGTGGGGTTTCACCATATTGGTCAGGCTGGTCTCAAACTCCTGACCTCAGGTGATCCACCCACCTCGGCCTCCCAAAGTGCTGGAATTACAGCTGGGAGTGCCTGGCCTCATCTTTTTTATTACAGCCATCTGGGTAAGTGTGATGCAGTATCTCATTGTGATTTTGATATGCATTTTTCTGATAGCTTTTATATGCTTATTGAACATTCGTAAATCTATTTGGAAGAAATATATATTTTAATACTTCATCAATTTTTTTTTTTTTTGAGATGCAGTCTCACTCTGTCACCCAGGCTGGAGTACAGTGACATGACCTCGGCTCACTGCAACATCCGCTTCCCAGGTTCAAGTGATTCTTGTGCCTCAGCCTCCCAAGAAGCTGGGATTACAGGTGCACACCACCACACCCAGTTAATTTTTGTATTTTAGTACAGACGGGGTTTCACCATGTTGGCTAGGCTGGTCTTGAACTCCTGACCTCGGGTGATCCACCTACCTCAGCCTCCCAAAATGCTGGGATTACAGGTATGGCCACCACACCCGCAGCCCCTAACACTTCATCAATTTTTTAATTTAGTTGTCTTCATGAAGTTTTTTATATATTCTAAATAACGAGCCCTTTATCAGGTACACGGTTTTCAAATATTTTCTCTCATTCTCAGGTTGCCATTTCACCTTCTAAATAGTATTTTGTAGCACACGTTATGAAGTCCAGATTAACTTTTTTTTTGTCATTTGCACATTTGTTGTCACCTAGGAAATCATATTCCAGACCGGGCACAGTGGCTCACACCTGTAATCCCAGCACTTTGGGAAGCCGAGGCAAGCGAATGGCGTTTGGCCAACACGGCAAAACCCTATCTCTACAAAAAAACACAAAAATTAGCTGGGCATGGTGGTGCAGGCCTGTGGCCCCAGCTACTCAGGAGGCTGAGGCAGAAGAATCTCTTGAACCTGGGAGGTGGAGATTGCAGTGAAACAAGATCACGCCACTGCACTCCAGCCTGGTGACAGAGCGAAACTCTGTCAAAAAAAAAAAAAAAAAACCATATTCCAAAGTCACAGAAACTTACTCCTGTTTTTTTGGTAGGAGTCTCATAGTTTTAGCTCTTACAGTTGGGTTTATGATCCATGGAGTTATTTCTTGTGCATAGTGTAAGGTAGGAGTCCATTTACATACTTTTACATGGAGATTCAGTCATCCCAGCACCATTTGTTTAAGACTATTCTTTTCCCCCACCATTGAATTATCTTGGCACTCCTGCTGAAAATCAATTCACCACAAATGTAAAGGTTTACTTCTGTACTCTCAATATTATTATCTCAGTATCTACGTATCTGTCCTTATACCAGTATTATACTATCTTAATCATTTGTGTATTAAGTTTTGGAATCAGCATGTGAATCCTCCAATCCTGTTCTTTTTTGCATCTATGGAGATGACCAGGCATTTTTTCATCCTTTATGGTATTAATATGAAGTATTACATGGATTGATTTTCAGATGTTAAGCCAACCTTGCATTCCTGGGACAATTCTCACTCGAATCTGGTGTATAAACCTGTTTTTTTTTTTTTCTTTTTTGAGACAGAGTCTCTCTCTGTCACCCAGGCTGGAGTGCAGTGGCGTGATCTCGGCTCACTGCCAACACCGCCTCCCGGGTTCTAGCACTTCTCCTGCCTCAGCCTCCTGAGTAGCTGGGACTATAGGCACATGCCACCACACCCAGCTAATTTTTGTATTTTTAGTAGAGATGGGGTTTCACCATGTTGGCCAGGCTGGTCTCCATCTCCTGACTTCGTGATCCACCCGCCTCGGCCTCCGAAAGTGCTGGGATTACAGGTGTGAGCCACCACTCCCGGCCTGTATAATCCTTTTTATACGTTGTTGCTGGATTCAACTGGCTAGCATTTGGTTGAAGATTCTTGTTTCTATATTCATGATAATGGCCTGTAATTTTCCTTTCTTGTCATGTCTTTGTCTAGTTTTGGTATCAGCATAATACTGGCCTTATAGAATGAGTTAAGTATGCCCTCCTACTTTTCCAAAGAGTTTGTAAAGGACTGGTATTAATTCTTTTCTTGAGACAGAGTCTCTCTCTGTCGCCCAGGCTGGAGTGCAGTGACATGATCTCGGCTCACTGCAACCTCCGCCTCTCGGTTTCAAGCGATTCTCCTGCCTCAGCCTCCCAAGTGGCTGGGACTAAAGGTGCGTGCCACCACACTCATCCAATTTTTGCATTTTTAGTAGAGATGTTGGCCAGGCTGGTCTTGAACTCCTGACCTCAAATGATCACCCACCTCAGCCTCCCAAAGTGCTGGGATTACAGGCATGAGCCACTGCACCCGGCCAGGACTGGTATTAATTCTTTAAGTGTTTGGTAGAACTCAAATAATGACAAGCTCAGTAAGTGTGACTTTTCTAGAGAAGCCACCTGGCCCAGAGCTTATTCTTGTGACAAGATCTTGTTTTTCAGTTTTTGGGTTTTCCTTTGAGATGGAGTTTCGCTCGTTGCCCAGGTTTGAATGCAATGGTGCGATCTTGGCTCACTGCAACCTCTACCTCCTGGGTTCAAGAGATTCTCCTGCCTCAGCCTCCCAAGTAGCTGGGATTACCAGTGTGCACCACCACACTTGGGTAATTTTTATATTTTTTGTAGAGACGGGGTTTCACCAAATTGGCCAGACTGGTCTAGAACTCCTGACCTCAAGTGATCCGAGTGCCTCAGACTCCCAAAGTGCTGGGATTACAGGCATGAGCCACTGCACCCGGCCGTGACAAGTTTTTAAATTATTAATTCAATCTATTTACTTATTATAAGTCTATTTAGGTTTTCTTTTATGGAATGCTTCACAAATTTGTGTGTCATTCTCACACAAGGGCCATGCTAATCTCTGTATTGTTCCAATTTTAGTATATGTGTTGCCAAAGTGAGCAACTATTCAGATTTTCTATTTCTTCTTGAGTTAGCTTCGGTCACGACTTTCTAGGAATTTGTCCATTTCAACTAAGTTATCTAATATTTTGTTACACAATTATTCATGGAATTCTCTTATAATCCTTTTTATTTCTGTAAGGTGAATAATAATCTCCCCTCTCATTCCTGCTTTTAGCAATCTGAGTCTTCTTTTTATCTCAGTCAGTCTCACTAAGTTTGCCAATTTTGATGATCTTTTCAAATAACCAATCTTTGCTCTCATCTTTGCTATTTTCTTCCTTCTTGTTTTAGGTTTTGTTCGTGCTTTTTCTGGTGTCTTAAGGTGAAACACAGGTTAATGATTTGAGATCTTTTTTAATGTAGGTATTTACAGTTATAAACTTCCCCCTCAGCCCTGCTCTCACTGCAGTGTATAATTTTTGGAATGCTGTGTTTTTATTTGCATTTATCTCCAAGTTTTTTTAAGAGACAATGTCTTGCTTTGTCACCCAGGCTGAAGTGCAGGGGCGTGATCATAGTTCATTGCACCTCAAACTCCCAGGCTAAACAATCCTCCTGTCTCAGTCTCCCAAGTAACTGGGACTATAAGGGCACATCTCTGGGCCTGGCTAATTTTTTTTTGTAGAGACGGGGGTCTCACTTTTGTTGCCCAGGCTCTCGAACTCCTGGCTTTAAGAAACCCTCCCACCTTGGTCTCCCAAAAGCGCTGGGATTACAGGCGGCGTGAGCCACTACATCTGGCCTGTCTCCAAGTACGCCACCATGCCCAACTAATTTTTGTATTTTTAGTAGAGATGGGGTTTTGCCATGTTGACCAGGCTGGTCTCGAACTCCCAACCTCAAGTGATCCGCCCACCTCGGCCTCCCAAAGCGCTGGGATTAGAGGTGTGAGCCACCGCGCCCAGCCAACTAGCACCTTAACTTAAAACAATCCAGTTTTGATTAACACAAACCTAATTCTAATGGTACGGAGAAATGTTGCTCCTATAAAGCTCTTCCCTCACTTCTCTTTTGTGCTGTAACTGTCAAATCACACCTTTATATGTTATAAGCCTATCAAAACAGCTTTATAATTATTACTTTGTACAGTTGTCTTTTAAGGCAGATAGGGGCCAAGCGTAATGGCTCACGCCTGCAATCTCAGCTCTTTGGGAAGCCAAGGCAGGTGGATTACCTGAGGTCAGGAGTTCGAGACCAGCCTGACCAACATGGCAAAACCCTGTCTCTACTAAAAATACAAAAATTAGCTGGGCCTGGTGGCGGGAGTCTGTAATCCCAGCTACTCAAAAGGCTAAGGCAGGAGAATCACCTGAGTCCGGGAGGTGGGGGCTGCAGTGAGCCGAGATCGGCGCCACCGCACTCTAGCCTTGGCGACAGAGGGAGACTCCGTCTCAAAAAAAAAAAAAAAAAGAAAAGAAAAAAAGACAGGAGACTAAAAGTTACAAAAGTGCACTTACATTGTCTTTTAACTTGACATATGTAGCTGTCTTCACCGTTGTTCTTTTATTTCTTCACGTATCCTACCACCTAGTGTCCTTTCATTCCAGCCTGAGACATTCCTTTCAGTATGTATTATAAGGGAGGTTGGCTAAAACAACAAATGTCCTCTGTTTATTGTTTACCTGGAAATATCTTAATTTCTTTTTTTTTGAGACAGGATCTTGCTCTGTTCACCCAGGCTGGAGTGCAGTGGCACAATCTTGGCTCACTGCAACCTCCGCCTCCCAGGTTCAAGCAATTCTCGTGACTCAGCCTCCTGAGTAGCTAAATTACAGGCGTTCGCCAACACGCCTGGCTAATTTTTGTATTTTTAGTAGAGACGGGGTTTCACCATGTTGGCCAGACTGGTCTCGAACTCCCGACCTCAGATGATCCACCCACCTTGGCCTCCCAAAGTGCTGGGATTACAGGCATGAGCCACCACACCCAGCCAATTCCTCTATTTTCAAAGGACAGTTTTACTGGACACAGAATTCTCAACTGACAGTCTCTCTTTCAGAAACAGGGTTTTCACACTGAGCTAGCTCATACGATGGCAAGCTCAGTAAGTGGGACAGGTCCGAGAGTGACATGCTCTGCAGCCGGGACTTGCTGAGGAGCTCCAGCCTTCATGTGTCCCCTCCAGTAGCTGCTAGGCTGCTGGCTTTCCCAGCTACCATGGTTATAAGGCAGCTGGTTTCCATGGTTACCACGGAGCTGGGGAGAAGAGAATGGGAGGAGGTTGAGTTAGAGGTGCCACAGTTGTTCACAGATAAAAGCTCCTCAGAGTGTCGCAACCGTTGGTTAATTTCGCGTTCTGACAGTTGATTTTGACCATTTTTGCCAGTGTTTTCACTGCTTTTATGGAGGATTGGATTACAGAGGCCTCACTCCACCATTCCGGCTAAGTGGCATTTCTGATGCAGACTCAAAGCTGTCACGAATGAAGAATGTTTAGCATGCATGCCTCTGTTGATTCTGTTTTCTAAACCTCCACATGTCACTCCTACCTTTCCACTCCAGATCCTCGCCGTCTCCTCTGGACCAAAGCAATCCATCTTTTCCTAACTGGCTTTCCTGCCTCTAAGCCTCACCTAAAACCCATCCTCTATATCCAAAATGACCATTCTTTTCCTTTTCTGTTCTTATTTTTTGTAGAGATAAGGTCTCACTAAGTTGCCCACACTGGTCTTGAACTCCTGAACTCAAGAGATCCTCCAGTTTTGGCCTCCCAAAGTGCTGGGATTACAGACCTCAGCCACCATGCCTGGCCTCAAAATGACTATTCTACCAGCAAAACAGAAAGTGAGGCTGGATGCATTAGCTCATGCCTGTAATCCCAGCACTTTGAGAGGCCGAGGCGGGCGGATCACCTGAGGTCAGGCATTCAAGACCAGCCTGCCCAATGTGGTGAAACCCCATCTCTACTAAAAATACAAAAATTAGCCAGGCGTGGTGGCAGCACTCATAATCCCAGCTACTCGAGAGGCTGAGGCAGGAGAATCGCTTGAACCCAGGAGGTGGAGGTTGCAGTGAGCTGAGATCATACCACTGCACTCCAGCCTGGGTGACGAGAGAGATTCCATCTCAAAAAAATTTTTAAAAATTGAGTGTCATTCCCCTGCTTAAAATACTTAAACAGCCCACATCCTAGACAGGAGGTCCTACCATCTGGTTTTGGCTGCCTCTCCCACCTTGGTCTCCAGCCACATTCCCGTGCCCCACTAGGCCCTACCCACGCTAGGAGTCACCCTCAATGTATCACATGTGTCCTGCTGCTGCTCATGCCTCTCTGCAGCGTGGCACACGGGACTGCCCACCCTTTCCAGACCATCCCCCACATCCCATCAGCCTAGCAAGACCTGAGCCAAGCATCACCCCTGCATTCCATGCCTGACCTCTCCGAAGCTGTTCACCCCTCACACCATTCACCACTCTGCATTACAAAGGCCTGAGCTACTCAAGGATACTCAGTGTTTAGCATTCTAGTAAGAGCCACAGTCTTTATAAAGCTCTAGGAAAGGCCCTACTCCACCTGTCCCCCACCTTCATTCCCCCCAACCTAACCCCCTACTGCCTTTCCACCCAGGATTGCTGTCCTAAAGCCACATGCGCCTCCTGCTGTTTCTTCCGTGCAGCAGTCATCCTCCCCGACAAAGGCCTCTGCACTTACCACTCCCTCTGCCAAGACGCCCTCCCCACTAACTTCTACGTGGCCACTGCCTCACTAGCTCCAGGTCCTTGCTCAACTGCTGCCTTCACAGAAGGGCCGGCCCTGATCATTCTACTTAAAATTGAACACCTATACCCTCATTTACCCAATCACCTTCCCCCCTTAATATCTCTCTGTTGTGTTTATCATCTTCTAACATCTCACCAAATTTCGTGTTTATTTTCGATCTCTATCCACTAGAATGATATTTCTCTGTTGTGTTTATCATCTTCTAACATCCCACTAAACTATGTTTTTCTTTTTGATCTCTGTCCACTAGAATGCAAGCTCCATGTGAACACGGAGTTGTTTTTTCCCTGCCATAGTCCCAGAATCCTGGGAAGTGCCTGGCATTGTAGCAGGCTCTCAATAAATACTTGGTAAGAATAAATGCTCTGCAGACAGCAGGTACCCAGCAATAGCACCACATCTCTGAGTGCTCATAATGCACCAAAAACTGTCCCAAGAGCTTCTGAGCAACACAGCTGGAAAACAACGAGCATTTCCTGAGCGACGGGATCACCAGAGGTGCCATGTCAGTCTCTACAGCATCCTCTCCTTCGGGGCCCCCATCACATCCATCCTGTCGACCTGTCCGCTTTTCCTCCAAACGAGTGCTCTATTCCGGCCATCTCCGCTGCCACCTGCATCTCCAGTCAGACTCCCTTACTCGCGCCATCTCCACTGCCACCTGCATCTCCGGTCGGGACTCTCTTACTCTCGCCATCTCCACTGCCACCTGCATCTCCGGTCGGACTCTCCTATTCTCGCCATCTCCGCTGCCACCTGCGTCTCCGGTCGGGACTCTCTTACTCTCGCCATCTCCGCTGCCACCTGCATCTCCAGTTGGGACTCTCTTACTCTTGCCATCTCCGCTGCCACCTGCATCTCCGGTCGGACTCTCCTATTCTCGCCATCTCCGCTGCCACCTGCGTCTCCGGTCGGGACTCTCTTACTCTTGCCATCTCCGCTGCCACCTGCATCTCCGGTCGGGACTCTCCTATTCTCGCCATCTCCGCTGCCACCTGCATCTCCGGTCGGACTCTCCTATTCTCGCCATCTCCGCTGCCACCTGCATCTCCAGTTGGGACTCTTCGCAGCTTTCACCTTCCACTCACCTCCAACCTACTTTCCACAGAGAAGCTGGCATTAAGGGAGGAGACCACCCCTCACATTGTCTTATTCCCAATTTCTGCCTCCAAAGAAAGAAGAAGCAAAAACTAAAAGGCAGAAATGAAATCCACAAGCAGACAGCCCGGTGCCACACCCTGGGCCTCGTAGTTAAAGATCGACCCCTGACCTAATCAGTTATGTTATCTATAGATTCCAGACATTGTATAGAAAAGCACTGTGAAAATCCCTGTCCCATCCTGTTCCGTTCTAATTACAGGTGCATGCAGCCCCCAGTCACATACCCCCTGCTTGCTCAATCGATCACGACCCTCTCACGTGGACCCTCTTAGAGTTGTGAGCCCTGAAGAGGGACAGGAATTGCTCATTCGGGGAGCTCGGCTGTTGAAGATTTGACTCTTGCCAAAGCTCCCGGCCGAATAAAGCCCTTCTTTAACTCGGTGTCTGAGGGGTTTTGTCTGTGGCTTGTCCTGCTACAGTGTAATATTGTCATATAATTACATCAGACCTGTTACTCACTCGCTTTCCTTTGGCAGCTTCCTACAAGGCACCCAGGATAAAATCAGACTCATGCCGGAGCCTTCAAGGCCCAGCACGTTCTGGCCTCCCCCAGCAATCCGGCTTATGCCAGCTCCTCTCCTCGCTCACTGAGTTCCAACAGTACAGCCTCTCAGGTCCTGAAACACAACTGGCTCTCTACCACCTCAAGCCCTTCTCCCCTCCAGGCTGGGACAAGGCTGGTCCCAGGCAGCTTCAGGACCCAGATGAAATGTCACTTCCGCAGAGAGGTCTTTCAGCAACACTCGACCTAAGGGAGTCCCCTTTTATCATCCACCATGATAAACTGCCTTGGTGTCACACAATATGCCCACATAACAAACCTGCACATTTACCCCCAGAATCTAAAATAAAGGCTGAAATTATTTTTTAAAGTCATCAAAAAATACATGAGAAAAAACATTTCAGTTCAGGGTTTAAACAAATCTCTCTGGAAAATTCAAGTATCCAAACTCCCCTGGACTCACCCATCATTACCAATAACAGAATCTACTGACTAAACTACTGAGATAAATTTCCATTTACTATATTCTATTACCAGCAAGAAACAAAGGTCAGTCGGTCAAAGGCCCCATGCCTTTCCTTTGATTTCTAGGTTTCAGAGCACTACAGACTAATCCCATACGTAGGTTTGCAAAGTACATACCACACCGTTCATTCCCTTGAATGGGGAACAAGGTCCTTCCTACTTGCTTACTTCAGACAAGGAATAAATGCCGAGTCACCATTCTATTTAAAATTCCACTGAGAAATACATGCCACACAAGCTCTCAGAACCACCTGCCCAAATTTGATTTACTAAAAGGTCAGGTATTGCTAAGCGCGGTGGCTCACGCCTGTAATCCCAGCACTTTGGGAAGCCGAGGCGGGCAGATCACGAGGTCAGGAGATCGAGACCATCCTGGCTAACAGGGTGAAACCCCCCTCTCTACTAAAAATACAAAAAATTAGCCGGGCATGGTGGTGGGCGCCTGTAGTCCCAGCTACTCAGGAGGCTGAGGCAGGAGAATGGAGTGAACCTGGGAGGCGGAGGTTGCAGTGAGCCAAGATCACGCTACTGCACTCCAGCCTGGGTGACAGAGCGAGACTCCATCTCAAATATAAATAGATAAAAAATAAAAGGTCAGGTATTACTACTTCATTTAAGCATGAGAGGCCGGGCATGGTGGTTCATGCTTGTAATCCCACCACTTTGGGAGGCCAAGGCCACCAGATCACTTGAGATCAGGAGTTCAACACCAGCCTAGCCACATGGCAAAACCCCATGTCTACTAAAAATACAAAAATTAGCCGGGCGTGGTGGTGCATGCCTGTAGTCCCAGCTACTTGGGAGGCTGAGGTGGGAGAATCGCTTGAACCTGGGAGTCAGAGATTGCAGTGAGCCGAGATCACGCCACTGCACTCCAGCCTGGGCAACAGAGTGAGACTCCATCTCAAAAAAAAAAAAGAATAAGAAAGCAGCCAGCCACAGTGGCTCATGCCTGTAACCCCAGCACTTTGGGAGGCTGAGACAAGAGAATCACTTGAGGCCAGGAGTTCAGGACCAGCCTGGGCAACATAGTAAGACCCCATCTCTAAAAAAAATAAAAATTACATAAAGTCAAATTATTCCTCCCCAAAGCCTTCTCTCAGGCAGTGATAAATCAAGAATATATCAGAAGTCATAAATGGGGGCCGGGGCATGTGTGTAGAAACAATCAGTCATCAAGGACAATAGAGTTATCACAATCCTGGACATTGCCAAGCAATGGTCAAGCAGTAACTGACTCAGCCAAGGAGAGCAAGCTGCACCCCAGCTACCTGCAGGAGGGAAGACAAATTAAGAAGCAAACCGTCTCGAACAGAGAACCCGAAAAGGCTTGGGAATGAAAGGAACCTCAGGAGACCGATGTCAGGAGGATGGGCTTCAAGTCTATACAGAGAGCAGCAGATCCCTGCCATGAGACCCTGCAGCCAGGCAGGCCCCTCGGCCCCCATCTCAGAAAAAGACAAGCTGGAAAAGTGAGAACACAAAAGCTCCGAGCTCCACGGAGTGTGGAGCAAGGGGCCTCGTGAGAGCAGCACAGCGCAGTGACAGACTCCCCGAGGGGTGAGATGCCCCATCCCAGAATGATGGCAGCCGGGCTCACAACACCCACCTGCTCACCAAGCAAGAGAAGAGAGTCGAGAGTCCTCTGGAAGAACTGAACCAGCATTCAGGCTCCTCCTCAGACCTCACCCTGCAGCGAAGGCCCCTGCCAAAGCCCTTCAGGTTGGCAGGCACTGGTACACATGGGTGGACAGCCACCAGCCACCAAGCACAAAGTGAGAGCTCAGAACCTCACAGCATGGGCCAGAGACCAAACAAACCTACACAAAAGGCATTCAAAGCAATGAGACAATGCACAGAAGGAAACGCCAAAGGAAACACCTTTACACAGACGAGATAAAATACAGCTTAAAGAAACAGATGCCACCAAAAAAGGGGCACTTGGGTCATGAGAAAGCTCTCAAGCTATAAAACTGACAGCAGAAATTAAAAATGCAAAACAAGGGCTAGAGGACAAACTTGAGAGTCGTGGAAACAGAACGCGAAAGGCAGAAAGGCAGGAAAATCTACACCAGGAGGTATAATTTCAACTACCATAGAGAAATACAGAGAAAAGAGAAAGTGAAATGAAACAGAAGAGGTTAGCAACAAAATACAACAAGAATATTTTCCACTAGAGCCCAAAAGACATAAGTTTCCAGATTGAATAAGGCCACCAAATGCCACACTTGGGCACATCGTCTTAAAATTTCAGACACGGGCCGGCGCAGTGGCTCACGGCTGTAATCCCAGCACTTTGGGAGGCCAAGGCGGGTGGATCACTTAAGGTCAGGAGTTCAAGACCAGCCTGGCCAACATGGCGAAACCCCGTCTCTACAAAAAACACAAAAATTAACCAGACAGGTGGCACACACCTGTAGTTCCAGCTACTCTGGAGGCTGAGGCAGGAGAATCGCTTGAACCCGGCAGAAGAGGTTACAGTGAGCCGAGATCGCGCCACTGCACTACAGCCTGGGTGACAGAGTGAAACTCTGTCTCAAAAAAAAAAAAAAAAAAAAAAGTAAGCAAAACAAAAGGCAATCATTAACTTTCAAAAAAATTAAAAACTGACCCAAAAGTTGAACTGTTATTCTCGGCTGAGAACAGTACTTTCAGACATGAAATAGACATTAATCAGGTAAAATATTACACATATACAAGTACAGGAGAAGAGAAACTTGAGCAAGAGTTAAAAGACTCATCTTCTAGAGTAAGGCATCAATAAACAGGCCAGGCACGGTGGCTCACGCCTGTAATCCCAGCACTTTGGGAGGCCGAGGAGGGCAGATCAGTTGAGGTCAGGGGTTCAAAACCAGCCTGGTCAACATGGTGAAACTCCGTCTCTAATAAAAATACAAAAAATTAGCCGGGAGTGTGGCAGGCTCCTGTAAGCCCAGCTACTCGGGAGGCTGAGGCAGGAGAATCACTTGAACCTGAGAGGCAGAGGTTGCAGTGAGCCGAGATCCCACCACTGTACTCCAGCCTGGGCAACAGAGCGAAACCCCGTCTCAAAAAAAGTCAATAAGTAATGACTAAATGGGGGAAAGAACACCCATAAATAGTAGGAACACACAATTTAGACTTAAAAAGCAATCATTCTTAAAGTAAATTTTTAAGAAGAAACAGCTATAAAATGAAAATAATTCACTCAGGTTTAGAAATGTGGGCAAGGCAGGGGCAATGTTTTATAATTAACTTCTTAAACCTTTTTTTTTTTTTTTTTTTGAGACAGAGTCTTGCTGTCACCAGGCTGGAGTGCAATGGTGCGATCTCGGCTCACTGCAACCTCCACCTCCCGGGTTCGAGTGATTCTGCTGCCTCAGCCTCCCAAGTAGCTGGGATTACAGGTGCCCAGCACCACACTCAGGGAATTTTTTTATATTTTTAGTAGAGACAGGGTTTCATATTGGCCAGGCTGGTCTCAAACTCCTGACCTCGTGATCCACCCGCCTCGGCCTCCCAAAGTGCTAGGATTACAGGCGTGAGCCACCGCACCTGGCCTTAAACTACATTCTTTAACTTTTTTAATCTTTTAAAACATTTAAGTAAGGACAAGCCTAGACAAGAAAGTCACAAGAATAAACGCTATTAGGAAGACCTGCCCAGTTACTTCCTAATAACTAAAAATAAACATATCAACATTTTCATAGAACAGACTAGAAAGCACAGAAGGAGTCTGTAAAAACATACAAACATTTGGGCCGGGCACAGCGGCTCATGCCTGTAATCCCAGCATTTCAGGAGGCCAAGGCGGGCAGATGACGAGGTCAGGAGATGGAGACCATCCTGGTTAACACGGTGAAACCCCGTCTCTACTAAAAATACCAAAAATTAGCCAGGCGTGGTGGCGGGCACCTGTAGTCCCAGCTACTCGAGAGGCTGAGGCAGGAGAATGGCGTGAACCCGGGAGGCAGAGCTTGCAGTGAGCCAAGATCGCGCCACTGCACTCCAGCCTGGGGGACAGAGTGAGACTCTGTCTCAAAAAAAAAAAAAAACATACAAACATTTGAGAATACAGTTGACGATGCATTGCAAGGAGAAAAAAGCATTACCTCATAAATGTTCTAGAACATATTTGGTAATCGATGCGAGGAATGATGGAGACCCATCTCACAAGAAAATAAACTACAAGGGGTTAACGGGATAAACATAATTTCAAAAGCTTTAAAACCTCAGTATCGTATAGGGGTTTGGTGGGGACTTCAGGCGATGGGAGAAGCCACAGGGAGGGTCGGTGTAGCCAAGGCAGCATCTGTAAGGAAAGGCTGGCCTTCGTGCGGCACCAGCCGGCACACAGGCGACCCAGGTGAGAGGCCCCAACAGAGGGTCTGTCACCATCATAAAGCAACACCCCAGTGACTCATCAAATGCAAAGGGGCACAGAGAAGTCACAGGAAAGACAAACCAATAAGCATGCGTTTTGTTTCTTGTTTTTAAATGAGACTGCTCCCTCCAGGCAGAAGCATAACCTGGCTGCCTGGTGCTCCAGGCAATCAGAGGCAGAAAGGTGGCAGGCAGGCATCTCAGGGGCAAACCGACACAGTTCAAGCTCCAGCTCCACCTCTCGGGAGCTCCGGGACTTAGGCTAACTGACAACCTCTCCACGCCACAGTTTCCTTATCTGTAAATAAGTATAGACAGTCTCCAATTTGTGATGGTGAAGCTGAACGATTTTTTGACTTTACAATGGCATGAAAGCAACACGCACTCAGTAGAAATCGTACATCAAGTGCCCAATCACCTTGTTTTCCACTTTCATACAGTATTCAATAAATTACATGAGATATTCAATCCTTTTTTATACATAGGGTTTGTGTTAGATGGTTTTGCCCAACTGTAGGCTAATGTGAATTTGGTGGTGGTGTTTTGAGACAGGGTCTCATCCTGTCGCCCAGGCTGCGCAATGGCGCAAACGTGGCTCGCTGCAGCCTCAACCTCCTAGGCTCAAGAGATCCTCCCACCTCAGCCTCCCAAAGTGCTGGAATTACAGGCATGAACCACCTTGCCTGGCCCCAAAAGTGAACTTTTAAAAGATACTGTTCAAAGTGTGCTTTGAGAAGATGGCAGAGATCTGACATGCGCTCACGGCACTGAAGGCCTCTTTCTGGAGACGGACAATGGTGTTGCGCTGTGGTCAGTGGTAAATAACAATAGGCTGGGCACGGTGGCGCACACCTGTAATCCCAGCACTTTGGGAGGCCGAAGCGGGCGGATCACCTAAGGTCGGGAGTTCGAGACCAGCCTGGCCAATATAGTGAAACCCCGTCTCTACTCAAGATCCAAAAATTAGGCAGGCATAGTGGCGGGCGCCTGTAATCCCAGCTACTTCAGAGGCTGAGGCAGGAGAATCACTTGAACCCAGAGGCAGAGGTTGCAGTGAGCTGAGATCGCGCCACTGCACTCCAGCCTGGGCGACAGAGACTCCATCTCAATAAATAAACAAATATAAATACATTAAATAGAAATAAAGGAAACTCCCTGGAGCAGAGGGAAGAGTCTCAGGAAAGAGGAGAGAAGAGCCCCTGCCGCAGCACAGGCCCAGCAGCCGGAGGAAAAACCACATCAAACAACGGCCTCAAGAAGCATTCAGAGAAGACACTGCCTCGAGTGAGGTAAAACTAGCCCCAGACTACAGGCTGCGGTGGTGCTGCCTTGTAGGAATCACACTGTTCCCAAGGTACTTAGCCTCCTCCCAGAACCAAGCTCAAGAATATTAAAAGAAACACAAAAATATTCTGCTCTAAGAAGGTGAAATTCACAACGTCAAGCATCTAATAATAAACCAGGCCAGGCGTGGTGGCTCACACCTGTAATTCTAGCACTTTGGGAGGCTGAAGCAGGTGGATCACTCAAGCCTAGGAGTTCGTTATCAGCCTGGGCTACAAAGCAAGACCCCATTTCTACAAAAAAGTTTTTTAAAAATTAGCCAGGTGTGGCTGTGGTCCCAGCCACTCAAGAAGCTGAGGCAAGAGGATCACCTGAGCCCAGGAAGTCAAGGCTGAAGTAAGCTATGATTGCAACATTGCACTCCAGCCTGGGCAATGCGAATGAGACCCTGTCAATAAATAACTAATTTATTTATTTATTTAAAAAATTAGCCAGGTGTGGTGGCATGTCCTGTAGGCCCAGCTACTCAAGAGGCTGAGATGGGAGGACTGCTTGAGTCCAGGAGGTCGAAGCTGCAGTGAGCTGTGATCACACCACTGCACTCCAGCCTGGGCGACAGCAAGACCCTATATCTTTAAAAAAAAAAAAAAAAAAAAAAAGGCCAGGCGCAGTGGTTCACGCCTGTAATCCTAGCACTTTGGGAGGCCGAGGCAGGCAGATCACGAGGTCAGGAGATAGAGACCATCCTGGCTAACACGGTGAAACCCCATCTCTACTAAAAATAAAAAAAAAAAAAATTAGGCAGGCGTGGTGGTGGGCGCCTGTAGTCCCAGCTACTCGGGAGGCTGAGGCAGAAGAATGGCATGAACCCAGGAGGCAGAGCTTGCAGTGAGCCGAGATAGTGCCATTGCACTCCAACCTGGGAGACAGAGCAAGACTCCGCCTGGGGGAAAAAAAAAAAAAAAGGAATAGGCCGGGCGCAGTGGCTCACGCCTGTAATTCCCAGCACTTTGGGAGGCCAAGGCGGGTGGATCACGAGGTCGGGAGTTCAAGACCAGCCTGGCCAAGATGGTGAAACTCCGTCTCTACTAAAAATACAAAAAATTAGCCAGGTGCCTGCAATCCCAGCTACTCAGGACGCTGAGACAGAGAATTGTTTGAACCCGGGAGGCGAAGGTTGCAGTAAGCCGAGATCACACCACTGCACTCTAGCCTGGGCAACACAGCGAGACTCTATCTCAAAAAAAAAAAAAAAAAAAAAACTGGCCGGGCACAGTGGCTCACACTTGTAATCTCAACACTTTGGGGGCCCAAGGCAGGCGCATCACTTGAGGTCAGGAGTTCAAGACCAGCCTGGCCAACACGGCGAAACTCTGTCTCTACTAAAAATTCAAAACCGCCCAGGCACAGTGGCTCATGCCTGTAATCCCAGCACTTTGAGAGGCCGAGGTGGGTGGATTGCTTGAGGTCAGGAGTTTGAGAATAGCCTGGCCAAAATGGTGAAACCCCAGCTGGGCGCGGTGGCTCACACCTGTAATCCCAGCATTTTGGGAGGCCGAGGCTAGCGGATCACAAGGTCAAGAGATCAAGACCATTCTGGTCAACATGGTGAAAGTCCGTCTCTACTAAAAAAAATACAAAAATTAGCCGGGCATGGTGGTGCGCGCATCTGTAGTCCAAGCTGCTCGGGAGGCTGAGGCAGGAGAATCACTTGAACCTGGGAGGCAGAGGTTGCAGTGAGCAGAGATCGCACCACTGCACTCTAGCCTGGCAACAGAGGAAGACTCAGTCTCAAAAAAAAAAAAATGGTGAAACCCCATCTCTACCAAAAATACAAAAATTAGCCGGGCATGGTGGTGCGCTCCTGTAATCCCAGCTACTCCGGAGGCTGAGGCAGGAGAATCGCTTGAACCCAGGAGACAGAGGCTGCGGTTAACCAAGATTGCGCCACTGCACTCCAGCCTGGGTGAGAGAATGAGACTCCATCTCCAAAAAAAAAAAAGAAAAGAAAAGAAACACGTACTTGCTATTTCAGCTACATTACATGAAACACAAAGGCGGTCCACAGAAAAAGCAAAACATAAATCCTAATACAGTGCCGCCTGCCCTAAGGAGCTCAAAGTTCTTTAGATATGCTAAATAACTAATCCTCATTACACCCTTGTGCTGCCATCAGAGGGATTTTAAAGGTAAGAAAAACACCCCACAACGCAAAAACAAAAGCCAGGCACCCCATGTTGGCTGTTGGTCTCTACACTTCTAAGCAAACCCGTAGACAGACACCAAAGCTTAGGGTGGGTGAGAAGAAAGGTAAATGGGGAGTATCCTGAAGCCAAGCACAGAGATGAACACAAAACCATCACAACTCGGAGTCTGAATTTCAGGCAAAGATGAAGACTCCAGGCTCTCGACAGGGCTACAATTTGAAAAGGTGGGAAAGGGCTGGGCGCAGTGGCTCACACCTATAAATCCCAGCACTCTGGGAGGCTGATGGGGGAGGATCACTTGAGCCAAGGAGTTCAAGACCATCCTGGGCAACATAGTGAGACCCTGTCTCTAAATTTTAAATATAAATATAAAAAATTTAAAAGTGGGAAACAAAGGAGAGTAGAATCAGGATCTGACCCAAACCCCCGGCTAGAAGTGTTATTCCTAAGAACGCACCCAGCAGGAGGTCTGCCACTCGACCTGGAGTTTCGACCTGGAGTTTCCTGAGGTATCGGGGTGGGGGCGCTGAGGGAGCTACATGGGGCAGAAAGAACCTAGCATGGGAGTCAGGACTTCCCTGGCCTCAGGGACACACAGCAGCTGTGGGCACAGCACTCCTCCTAAAATCCCGGAGCACCCACCAGCCCCTCAGCCCACCCCTGGCACCCTGTGCTCCTGCCACCTTCCCAGCCTGCTGAAGCCTTGATACCCCCAACCATTCCCACACTCCAATCACCAGGTAAGGGGAAGTGCAGGCTCCAAAAGGCAACAAACGTTTAAAATCGAGAATCAACTGAACAGAAGATACAAGTTCCCCTCTGCCAACAATGTTTCAGGAAAAAGCGTGCAAAGCTGGCAGAAAGTCATGTCTGAATACAGAAGCATGGTTCCAAGCTCCCTGTGTCTCTGGGGTCATCCCCGCTCCTGAGTGCCCACGAGTCACTGGAACTCGCCTCTCCCACCCTGGTGCTGGGCATCTCACTGCCTCACACTCTTCTTGGTCCTCTTCCCAATTCAAGTCTCCAGGGCGCTATTTAAAATAGGGCTGCTTCCTACTCACATGCTATTTCTTCTATGCGTCTTGGCCAGACCCTTACAACCCTGTCCCAAGCACAGAGCTCATCTTACCACACAGCTTCAGCCCCCACTTCTACACGGGAACACCCACCTCAACCTATCCCACCCACCCGGAAATTCTCTCGTGACAAAACTGCACATACTGCTTTTCAAGACGTTTCAACCAGCTCAGCTTTCAAGCTAAAGTCAGGAAGGTTCTGAAGAAGGAACATGCTGCCAGAATCAGCAAATGTGGTTTTATAATCTAAGTCTGGGACATCATGTGGCCTGGTAAAAACTGTTCATTTCTGGGGTTTTTTGTTTGTTTGTTTTTGAGACGGAGTCTTACTTTGTCGCCCTGGCTATAGTGCAGTGGCGCAATCTTGGCTTACTGCAACCTCCGCCTCCCAAATTCAAGTGATTCTCCTGCCTCAGCCTCCCAAGTACCTGGGATTACAGACACGTGCCACCACACCTGGCTAATTTTGTATTTTTAGTAGAGACATGTTTTTCCATGTTGGTCAGGCTGGTCTCGAACTCCCGACCTCAGGTGATCCACCTGGCTCGGACTCCCGAAGTGCTGGGATTACAGGCGTGAACCGCAGCGCCCGGCGTATTTGATTTTTTTAAGAGCCAAGGAAATGCCATTTAATCCTTCACTGACAGCCTTTCCAGGAACTCTTCTACTACAAAATCTTGACACAGATTGTTACCAAAAGTAACAGTTCATTTTAAGAGGAAAGAGAAGTAATAGTAAGTATCTGGCACAAAATATGTTCACCACCAGGACACTTCAACTTGTCATAAAAGAAAGTGATCCTGACCTTCAGAGGAGCCAGACGGAAAACACTGTGAAGAGAACCAGGGTGTCCCAGAAGCAGTGACCACCAACCTTGGCAAGAAAAATTCAACCCGAGCAAGGACTTCCTTCCTTCTCTCCATAGCCACCATGACACATTTCCTAAACTGGTTTCTAAGGAACACACATTATGCAGAAGCATGCAAAAGAAGACATGCAAGGAGAGCATTCTTTTCTAAGAGTCAGCACTTTTTAGGAATGTACAGTCAAAAGGACAAAATGAGCTTTTAACTGTGAAGGTTATTTAAGAAATGCAAAAGCAGACTGACCAATTCTGATGCTGATCTTCACTCGTCTGCACGAAAATCAGTATAACTTTATGTTTAATTTTTATACTGAAGTTTAAGCAGAGTTTAAAATTTAGTGTTCAGTTTCTCCATATCTAATTTATGACTCCATAACTGGAATTGCATGAACAAATAAAATTTAACTTTAGTCCCACTGAAACACAATTCAAAGGGTATCTAATTTCAAGAAAGTTAACAGAAATGGCCAGGCACAGGGGCTCACGCCTGTAATCCCAGCACTTTGGGAGGCCGAGGCAGGTGGATCACTTGAGGCCAAGAGTTCGAGACCAGCCTGACCAACTTGGTGAAACCACGTCTCCACAAAAATTAGCTAGGCGTGGTGGCAGACACCTGTAATCCCAGCTACTCGGGAGACTGAGGCACAAGAATCACTTGAACCTGGCCGGGCGTGGTGGCTCACGAGGTCAGGAGATCGAGATCATCCTGGCTAATACAGTGAAACCCTGTCTCTACTAAAAAATACAAAAAATTAGCCGGGCGTGGTGGTGGCGGAGCCCCAGCTACTCAGGAGGCTGAGGCACAAGAATCACTTGGACCCAGGAGGCAGAGGTTGCAGTGAGCCGAGATCACACCGCTGCACTCCAGCCTGGGTGACAGAGGGAGACTCTGCCTCAAAAAAAAAAAAAAAAAAACAAGAAATGGAAGGGACCAAGTTTTATGCCAACCACAATGAGCAGAGCACTGATAATTTTTCTAATTTATCGTGAAACCTGCAGCAAAACTGTATCACTTTCTTCAAGACCATGGAAATTCATTTTTGCCATCTTGCTAATAACATCTCTCCATCTGTTTCCCCTTCATGTGAGGACCTGGGGGGGTTAAAGAAAACGCCTCCAAGCATCTGCACCACACCAGCACCACATGTAGAGAAATAAAAATGGTCATTTCCTGCCTGAAGTTGTTTTCCTGGCAAACTGACCGGTCTCAAAAGGACTTATCACTTCTTCCCTTTCCTTGCAGTCCTGATTGTTTTGCAGTCAATTCTCAGAGCCTGACAACATTTTCAGCAGTGCTGTGTCTCTCCAACAATATTCTAGTGTTGGCATGTCAACAGCAATGCATAAAGACATGCATTCACTAAGTTAGATACAACTCTCCTCTGCAGATATGTCATTTGTGTAAAAACAAACGAAAGTTCCAAAATAACTGAATAAATAGCAAATAATTATGGTCTTGTTTCCCCAATTTCAGCAGTTATTTTGTTTTCTCGGTATCTTTTGCTCAAATACAATGTCAATCAATGCACCAGCCTGAATGGACCTCGATGGGACTGTACTGAGGGGGAAAAAAGCAATCTCAAAAGATCACATATGATGTGATTCCCTTTATATGACATCCTTGAGCCCACAAAATTACAGAGATGGAGAACAGATTAGTTTCAGGAGTATGGCTATAAGGGGTAGCTTTGTGATGATGGTATAGTTCTGTATCTTGACTGAGGTAGGGAACCGGTTACACAAAGCTACAGGTGCTAAACTGCATAGAACCACACACACACACGTGCATGTCGATCTAACGAAATCTGAATATGCCTGGTGGTGTGTACCAGTGTCTGTTTCCTGGTGTTGAATATGTCCTGTAGTTATGCAAGATGTCCACATTAAGAAAGGTAGGGCACCAGGCACAGTGGCTCACGCCTGTAATCCCAGCACTTTGGGAGGCCGAGGCCGGTGGATCACGAGGTCAGGAGACCGAGACCATCCTGGCTAACACGGTGAAACCCCGTCTCTACTAAAAATACAAAAAATTAGCCGGGCGTGGTGGCGTGCACCTGTAGTCCCAGCTACTCGGGAGGCTGAGGCAGCAGAATGGTGTGAACCCGGGAGGCGGAGCTTGCAGTGAGCCGAGATCGCGCCACTGCACTCCAGCCTGGGCGACAGAGCGCAACTCCGTCTCAAAAAAAAAAAAATTCTAAAACTGGGACTAAATAAAAGGACTAGAATTTTTTTAATGCCAATTTAAAAAAAAAGAAACAGTTTATTAACTCTCACACACTGAATGCATGCTGACCAAATGCAGTGGCCGCTGGGTTGACGTCAATCAGAAAGGATGAAGTTAATTTTAGGAGACATTAAGTTAGTTCACTACCTGAGCCACAAAAGCTACAACTTTGAGGGGCAGAGCTTGACACGAGGCACCTTTTCAAATCCTGGAGCATATTCATTGCTGCCTATGCTAAGAGGAGTAATGCCCCAAGCCAGTCTGCTGGGAGTGGGTTACTTGAAGTGAAAACAGAGCATCCTAGTGTCCACATGCTCCCTGTCCGCTACCTCAGATACTTGGCACAGGGCTTTTTTTTTTTTTTTTTTTTTTTGAGACAGAGTCTCGCTCTGTCACCCAGGCTGGAGTGCAATGGCACAATCTCAGCTCACTGCAAGCTCCGCCTCCTGGGTTCAAGCGATTCTTCCGCCTCAGCCCCCGGAGTAGCTGGGACTACAGGTGCATGCCACCACGCCCAGCTAATGTTTGTATTTTTGTGGAAACAGTGTTTCCCTATGTTGGCTAGGCTGGTCTTGAACTCCTGACCTCAGGTGATCCGCCCACCTCAGCCTCCCAAAGTGCTGGGATTACAAGCGTGAGCCACCGCACCCGGCTGGCACCAGGTCTTGGAGGGGAAAAACTTTTTTTTTGAGGCAGGGTCTCAATCTGCTCCTCAGGCTGCCCAGGCTGGAGTGCAGTGGCGCAATCCGAGTTCATGGCAGCCTCAACCTCCAGGGCTCAGACAATGCTCTCACCTCAGCCCACTGAGTAACTGGGACCACAGGTGCGTGCCACCACGCCTGGCTAATTCTTTTTTCTCTTTTGAAAAGACAGGGGTCTCACTATATTGCCCAGGCTAAAGGAGGAAAACTTAAGAAACTGGTCAGAAAGACGCAAATTTGGAGCTGAAACAGGCTTTAACGATATTTCAGCTCAAAATCCGCCCCTTCAAGCGTCAGCTGAGGAAACTGAGGCTCCGTGGCTAGTGGCCTCCACTCACGCAGCTTTAATGATATTTCAGCTGAAAATCCAGCCCTTCAACTGTCCGCTGTGGAAACTGAGGCTCCATGGCCAGTGGCCTCCACTCATGCAGCTGCTAAGAGGCAGAGTCAGGGTCAAGAGCCTTGGCTGTTGGCTCAGAGTCCTCTTTCCACAGGGCCCGACTACTCCTATCATTCACTCTCATGACAGGAAAACAGCACACAAAATCAGAGCTGGCCAGGGAAAGGGGAAGCGGGGACCCCTCTGCCTGTGACATGGAGGTCAAGTTCAGATCAGCTCAAACCCTGGCTGGCTCTCCAATCCCGTCTCCAGGCACCAGCCAACATTCATTAACTCAATACGTATATACATTAATTATTTGCTGTTCCTCTAATACCTTCTTGGTCTTCTGCCTGAATTGCCCAAGAATCACCTTCCTTGTGAGGTCTTCTCTGGCATGCACCTCGCATGCCAGACGCTCGCCATGAGGAGAACAGCAGGAAAAATGTGATGAGCAAGATAGGGTGCGCACCTTGTAGAGGCCACCCTAGAGGGCAGTGGGGGAGATGGGGCCACTCAGGTGAAAAGCAGCACCACAAGCTGAAGACACTGCCCAGGAGGAGAATGGTGGGCGCTGCAGCTGATGAGAGGCCATCCAACAGCAATGAGGGAAAGAGGATTCCGAGAAAGGGGCCGTATTAAAGAGACCTGGCTCCCCCAGCTAGGACTAAGCACCCCTTCTTCTACGAGCTCCTTCAGGGGAGGGGCTGTGTTATTCAATGGGATACACTAGTGGTTCTCGACGGCGGACAACTTTGCCCTAAGGGCACATTTGTCAATGCCTGGAGACATTGTTCCTTATCACAACTAAGGCAACTGGTGCTGCTATAAACATCCTAAAAGGCACAGAACAGTTCCCCACAATAAAGTGTGATCCAGCCCCAAATGTCAGCTCTGCTGAGTTGGAGAAAGTCTGGTCTATATAGTCAAGTATTTTATAGAGTACAGCAGTTTCCCCATATCCACAGGTATACGTTCCAAGGCACTCAGTGGGTGCCTGAAACTTCAGATGATACTAAATCCTATACAAGCTGCTTTTTTCCCACACATACCTATGAAAAAGTCTAACTTACAGATTAGGCACAGTAAGAGATTAACAGAAGCCAATAATAAAAAAGAACTGTAATGATATACTGTAATAAAAGTTATATGAATGTGGTCTCTTTAAATATCTTATTGTACTATGCTCACCTATTTTCAGATCACCAGAGGTAACTGAAACCTCAGAAGGTGAAACCACAAATAAGGGAGGACGGCTATACCGCACTCACTGTGGTAGGCGCCATCCTGTCAAACGCAGGCCCTGGCACAGACAATATATCTGACAAGTGGGTGACTTGCTGTCTGAGGAAATGGCTTTCAATCTCATTGTCCTGCCTAACGCAATTTTCTTCAAAAATGGAAGGACAGACATCATAGCGCATTTAAGGGTACTCAGTCTTTGTCCCAGAGGTCCCCTTAAGAAATAATACACACACTTAGTTTTACAAAATGCATGTTGGTCTCATTATGTAACAAACAAAGAGAAAAAATGCTACTCGTAAAAGTGCTGATCTGAGGGTGTTTCTAAGCCTTTTTTTTTTTTTTTTTTTTTTTTGTGAGAAAGGTCTCACTCTGTCACCCAGGCTGGAGTATGGCGCGATCTCAGCTCACTGCAGCCTTAACCTCCTGGGGTCAAGTGATCCTCCTCTCTCAGCCTCCCAAGTAGCTGGGACTATAGATGTGTACACCAATACGCCCAGCTAATTTTCGTATTTTTTTGTAGAGACAGGGTGTTACCACATTGCCCAGGCTGGTCTCAAACTTCTGGGCTCAAAAGATCCACCTGCCTCAGCCTCCCAAAATGCTGGGACTATAGGTTTGAGCCACCGCACCCAGCTCTATGCTTTTTTTTTTTTTTTTTAACAGAGTACAGGAAGGGTTAGATGGTCCTCTACCCTTCCACAGAGTGTGGGAGAACCACTATCCTCCTGATCCTCCATCCCGTCTAAGGAGATGAGAATTCAAAGGGAAGATCACAACAGTCCCTCAAAATACACATTAAAAATTATGAGGGTGCCGTGGCTCACGCCAGTAACCCCAGGACTTTGGGAGGCCAAGACAGGTGGATCACTTGAGCTCAGGATTTCGAGACCAGCCTAGGCAACATGGCGAGACCCCCCCATCTCTACAAAAAACACGAAAATCAGCCAGGCATGGTGGTGGTGCACGCTTGTAGTCCCAGTGACTCCGGAGGCTGAGGTGGTAGGATCACTTGAGGTGGGAGGTTGAGTGCGCCGTGATGGAACTACTGCGCTCCAGCCTGAGAGCCAGAGCAAGACCCTGTCTCAAAAAAAAGAAAAACAAAAATCATGAAGTCAACTATTTGCTGGATAACAAGGAAAAAAATCAACGCAGCAGACAGGAAACTGGCTTTGTTTCTCCCTCAAATTAAATAAGGAGATGGCCTCTGAAAGCCAAGAGGAGGTTCTGCACACCAAAGTCAAATTAATTGGTGGACCGGTGCACCCACCCAGCCACCCTGCACATCCTTCTAACAGGCCCAGCCTTCCTGGCTTGTTTAACGGTTTGGTGTGGATTTTTCCCACCCCGAGGGGACAGGCACGGGGCTGAGAACGAGGTCTGTGATTGGAGCAGCAGGCAGCGAGGCCATCCCACACCCCGACTGCTGCTCGTGTCCAGATTCCCTCCGGGAATGAGTCATTTTAATCGTCGTAGGTGAGATCTAATCAGGGGTTAATAAGCCTCCAGAACCCAGGTCACAAAGCTGTTTCCTGGGAAGACACTGATTTCCAGATTTCTGCTCCCAAAGCTAAAATCCACGCCGTTTTGGAAAACGCTGGGTTAAACGCTCCAGTACTAGAAAGACCAAGGTGACATCATGCTGGGGAGGGGCGTCTTGGCCCGGAACCCCCTTGGTGGTGCCGCAGCCCCCCGCACGGACCAGCAAACGGGAGTGGAGATGTGGATGAAGGGCCGTGCCCTAAACCCCTAGACCCCGCACCCCTAGACCCTGGACACCCCACCCCGCACCCCCAGACCCAGGGCCCCGCTCTGCATCCTGACCCGCACCCCCATACCCGATACCCCAAGACTCTGAGCGCCGCCCGCACCCCCAGACCCTGGACCCCCACCCCGCACCCTGGCCCCCACCCCCAGACCCGGTACCCCAAGACCCCGAGCGCCGCCCGCACCCTCAGGCCCCGGGCCCCGCCCGCATCCCAGCCTGCACCCCCGCCTCGAGGCCCCGCCCCGGGCCTCCGCTCCCAGACCCCGTCTCCGCCGGCGGCCCCGGCCCCGGCCCCACGCCGCCCCCGCCACTCACAGTTGCGGATATCCGAGATGAAGACCGCCAGGCCCCGCATCCCGTCCCCCTTGGACACGGCCGGCATCTTCCGACGCTCGGGAGCGGCCTCGGCTGGCGGACCCGGGCGGAGGAGCGCGGGGAGCGGGAAGCGGGGAGTGCGGTCGCCGTCACCGCCGCGGAGGAGCCGCCGGGGAGCCGCCTAACCACGGCCGCCTCAGGGTCCCAGCGCCGCTTTCTGGGCCGCCGCGCGCGCGCACGTACGGCGCCCGCACCAGCACGCACGCGCACGCACGCGAGCGACGACGGACGGCGGCCGGGGCGGGTGTCGCGTGAGGCAGCGCGCGCGCGTCCGCGGCACGGGGGCGAGCCGGTCGAGGCAGGCGCGGGGGCGCCCCCTGCAGGCGGACACCATGGACGGAGCCGCTGAAGCCACGCGTTCGCGTCCCGGGGCCGCGCCAAGCTGGCGATGCCGCCCGCGTCCCCCACGGGAAGGGCGTGGGTCCGGGCGGGAACCCGCGTGTGCAGCGGGCCGCCTCTGTCGTTGTTGGTGGTCACTGCAAAAGAGGCGGCCACGCAGGCACACGCGTACGGCCTCGTCCTGGGCCTCGGCCCCGCTAGCTTGCCCCGAGCAGTCTCCGTTTTCTTACTTGGAATAAACGACCTGTGAGCGCTGGGCGGCGGGGCAGCTCCGAGGCCAGGGCCTTGTTTGTTCCGCGGGGGCCGGGGCGGGAGGGCGGCGCCGGGAGGAAGCTGGGGCTCCAGGCGAAGGGGTCACAGCCGCTGGACGGCCTTTGGCGAGGAAACCCTCCCCTAGCACGGTATCCTGAGACGGTGGGGCTGGCCCGCCCCTCCTGCCGCCCTGAGCCGCCAGGGCCACATCTCTTGCGGTCCCTGAGCTGGGGGCGAGGCAGGCCCCGTGCCCGACCCAGCCCAGGGTCTGTGTGGCAGCCCAGGTGCCCCCTCCACATCACCTGGGCCTGCAGAGAAACAACCACCCACCCCACCCCAGTGACAGCGGCCGGGGGCGGCAGCCCCTGCGGAATCTAGTCCCTCGGCGGCGCCAGGACTTTTGGCCACTGTTGCCAGGGCCCCCTCTGCTCCCCAGCCCTCTGCACCACTGCAAGCTGGAGGCCTAGGCCCACCCCTGTGGACACATCGCAAGGGAGGACCTGCTGGGCCAGGCTGCACAGCTCCAGGTCCCGGCCAGGAAGAGACCCCAGGGAGTGGGGAAGCAGATGGCCCTGCCTCACTGTCCTTCCCAGAGCCAGATGGCTTTGAACAGGAAGCTCCCTCCTGCTGCAGTGGGGGGATCTGGACCCTGTACCTGGAACTGGCCCAGACCCACCAGCCAGGGCTTTGTCCCCACCCTGGCTCACTTCCGCAGCCCCAGATGAGAGCTTAGCCCTGGTGGAGCCCGGCCAGGAGGAGGGCACAGGACCCATGCCCCTCCCCAATGAACCGGGTGCCGCACCCAGGCTCTGGGCCTCCAGAACTCCTGGGGAAAACCAAGATCTGTGACAGACCCCAGTCAGCATAAGGCAACCAAGTCCATCACTTCCCAAGACAGAGGCACGGAGCCGACCCAGCAGAGGGCTTCCTGGAGGACGGTACACCCCTCCGGAGTCCCTATCCTCTCCCAGTGCCACCTCCTGGCAGAGAAAGTGGTCCCGGGGCTGTTCATTCTTCAGCCTCTCCCTTCCACCAAGAAGCTTCCCTCCCCTGTCCCTGACAACAAATAAAGGCCATTCTGGACACAAGAGCATCTTGTGCCATGTGAGGGGTCCTGGGCTGCTCTCCAGGACAGTCCCAGCAGTCACGAGGACCGTCCACTAACACACGTGGGCAGAGCATGGGCTCTGGGCGTCAGGAGGCTGGCATGCCTAATCCAAGCTCCCATTGGCAGTGGCAGTGCAGAAGACCGAGACAAGCAGACCACTGTGCCCCCCCACCAGCAGCCACTCACAGAGCAGGGCAATGGGGGTGCTGCAGGGGCTGCCCACAGGAGGGCTTGGGCCTGGCAGGCATCCCCCTCCGCCCACTCGGAAGACTCCTCCTCAGTGCCAGCTCTGGGATTCCCACAGACATCCTCCCGTCCACACAAGAGTGTTTAGGGGTCCCAGAAGGCCCGACATGCAGCCATGCAAAAGACTTCCCACCTCCTTCCAGCGTCGTTGCCCTTGCAGACACGCAAGCCCTCCAGATGATTCACTCCAGTCCCAGCCTTGGGTCTGAGTCCATGTGGGCCTCTCTGACCACTGCCACTCCTCGGCTCGGGAGAGGCCAGCTTCGGGAGTGCGCAGTCCTAGGAAACAGTTTCTTTTTCTTTATTTTATTTTTTGTAGTGATGGCATTTCACCACGGTGCCCAGGCCGGTCTTGAACTCCTGTAATCCCAGCATTCCGCCTGCCTGTGTCTCCCAAAGTGCTGGGATTACAGATGCAAGCCACTATGCCTGGCCTATTTATTTATTTATTTATGTTTAATTTTAGAGACAGGGTTTCTCCCTTTGACTCCCAGGCTGGAGTGCAGTGGTACAATCATGAATCACTACAGCCTCGACCTTCTGGGCTCAAACCATCCTCCTGCCTTGGCTCCCAAAGTGCTTAGACTGCAGGTGCACGCCACCACACCTGGCTAAGTTTCTGATTTTTGTGGAGATGGAGTCTCACTATGTTGCCCAGGCTGGTCTTGAACTCCTGGGCTCAAGCAGTCCTCCTGCCTTGGCTTCCCAAAGTGCTGAGATTACAAGCCACTGTGCCTAGCCTCAGTATCTTTCTTTTTTTTTTTTTTTCTTCCTTGAGATGGAGTCTTGCTCTGTCGCCCAGGCTGGAGTGCAATGGCATGATCTCGGCTCACTGCAACCTCCACCTCCCGGATTCAAGCGATTCTCCTGCCTCAGCCTTCTCAGTAGCTGGGATTACAGGCACGCACCATCACGCCCGGCTAATTTTTTGTATTTTTAGCAGAGGTGGAGTTTCACCATGTTGGCCAGGATGGTCTCAATCTCCTGACCTCATGATCCGCCCTCCTCGGCCTCCCAAAGTGCTGGGATTACAGGCGTGAGCCACCGCGCCCAGCCATTTCTTAAATTATTTGAACGTTTGTCATACTTTAGCCACGCAAGGTCACAGTACTATTCCCAAGGGCAGAGGTGGGGACGAGTCGCTTTCCTTCATCCACAGCCATGGGGAAGCCAGGGTCCACAGATACAAGCCCGACGTGGGCATCATGAAGGGAAAACAGGCTGGGGCCCCAAGCTGCGGTGTGGAGGTGCTGTCTCACTGCAGCAGGGTTCCCCAACATATAGCCCCTGCAGCGTTAGCTGGCCATGCCCTGGGTCCTACCCAGACCTGAACATGTCTGTTTTACAAATGACCCAGTTTCCTTCTCATCATCTCTGGCGTAAGTTGCAGACAATGACCCTTCCAGAAGAGGGTCTGGCAGCATGTTCCATGTACAGTTGGTCCCTGTGCACTCATGAGAGTTCAGGGACAATGAGGTGGCATGCTCAGACCCTGTGGCCCCCCCGTGATCATCTGAGCACCTGCAGTCCCCAGGAGTGACATGCTCAGGGAAGGCTGTGGGAACTGACTGTCCCCTGCCATGGAAGGGTGGGAGGCATGAGGGGTGCATTCTGGAACTCTGCGGTGGGTGGGTGCGTCAGGTATAGCCAGCCCACCTGAAGGAGGAGAAGATGAGCTCAGGCTCCTGAGTGCTCATCACGGGGCGGGTGGGAGCTGCCATGACCACACATCTTTCTCACCACTGCAAAGCCGGAGGAATACAAAGCCATTCACAGCTGGGCCCAGACAGCAGCAAAACAGCCACCAGGGTGGGAGGTGCAGCCTCCCCAGACGTCTGGCGGGAGAGCTGCAGTGCTGTGCGGGGCCCAGAGAACTGGCATGGGGTAAATTCGATAACCTGGGACCCCAAGCCCCACTTCCCAAGAGTCCCCGCCCAGCTCAGCCCTTGATCCTGAGTCAGGCCCCAACACATCCACACCCACAATCGCACAGAGGGGGATGACTGGGCACCTGTGAACAGCGGGAAGCTGAGTTTCTGTCAACAAAACCCCACAGAACACTTGTAGGATGGCTTTTGAGACACAGGCCCCGGACAACAGCTGGGTCCTTTGCAGCACCCACGGTGTCTGGATCAACTGAGCCAGCCTGGCAGCCCAGGGTCCGTCCGGCTGCTGCTGGGCCAAATTCCTGGAAGCTACATGCAGGGCAGCCCCTAAAACATGGTTACAATGACAGAAATCCCTGGACATAATGCAGAAAAAGGGGCTCAGAGGACTCAGGGACTGAACCTGCCCAGCTTCTCCTAAGGAGACCCTTCCTGCCAAAGGCTTGGAGATGTGTAACTTGCACAAGGCCAGCACCTTCACAGGCTCTCAGGGCCGTCCTCTGAGGCTGTGGGGGTGCAGCCACATCAGCAGGCCCCCTGCTCTCAAAGGAGAAGGGCAGCTCGGGGTGACTAAGGCCAAGGAGGCCAGACACCCCACTAGGTGGCAGGGTGATGACATCATCAAGGTCTGTCCCAAGCAGCCCCTAGTACGGGTTACCGGCTCAGGGCACCCTTGGGCCAACAGAGGGGCAGCCCTCTAAGCTCCTGCATAAGATGTGTGGTCAAGGCCAGGCACGGTGGCTCACACCTGTAATCCCAGCACATTGGGAGGCCGAGGCGGGGGGATCGGGGGATCATGAGGTCAAGAGATCAAGACCATCCTGGCCAACATGGTGAAACCCCGTCTCTACTAAAAATACAAAAATTAACTGGGCATGGTGGCACGTGCCTGTAGTCCCAGCTACTCGGGAGGCTGAGGCAGGAGAGTCACTTGAACCCAGGAGGCAGAGGTTGCAGTGAGCAAAGATCACGTCACTGAACTCCAGCCTGGTGACAGAGCGAGACTCTGTCTCAAAAAAAAAAAAAAGTATGGTCAAGAAAATTCCAGGCCAGGCGCAGTGGCTCATGCCTGTGATCCTCTCCCATAGGAGGCAGAGGCGGGTGGATCACTTAAGGCAGGGAGTTCAAGACCAGCCTGGCCAACATAGTGAAACCCTGTCTTTACTAAAAATATAAAAAATTAGCTGGGCATGGTGGTGGGCACCTGTAGTCCCAGCTACTAGGGAAGCTAAGGTAGAAGAATCGCCTGAACCTGGGAACTGGAGGTTGCAGTGAGCCAAGATCCCACCATTGCACTCCAACCTGGGCAACAGAGCAAGACTCTGCCAAAAAAAAAAAAAAAAAAAGCCAGGCACAGTGGCTCACACCTGTAATCCCAGCACTTTGGGAGGCCAAGGCAGGTGGATCACGAGGTCAGGAGTTCAAGACCACCCTGGCCAACATGGTGAAACCCAGTCTCTACTAAAAATACAAAAAATTAGCTGGGCGTGCTGGCGGGAGCCTATAGTCCCAGCTACTCCGGAGGCTGAGGCAGGAGAATGGCGTGAACCCGGGAGGCGGAGCTTGCAGTGAGCCAAGATTGCGCCACTGCACTCCAGCCTGGGCAACAGAGCGAGACTCAAACAACAACAACAACAAACAAACAGCTCCCTGACCATCACCTGATGGTCAACTGACTTTCCTGGTTGGGGGACGGGGAGCAGGGGAGCCCTCTCCCGCACCGCTCACGTCTGACTGGCTACCTACTGTAATAGGAAGGCAACGTGGAAATCCTGGGAGCCCCCTTCCCAACCCAAGGGGTAGACCAGTGGCGCGGCTGACGACTAGTGACACCCTCAGAGGGTCTGATGGGACAGGCCAGGGTATATAGCCTGAGTGCTGCGGTTTTTAAGAGCACACGAGGCAGTTCTGAGGTGTGACCCATTTTACCAGCCTGACTAGCCCGCACTGGACTTCCATGCTGTCAGACGCCAACCACACGGTGTTATAGCACATGCCCATTCCGATCCCCTGCCCAGCCAGCCTGGCAGCAAAGTGGGGCTGGGGGACTGTCATGAACCTCTGTGGCCTCACTCACTGACAATGCCAAGGAAAGCCACTGTCCTGGCCATTTCTCCCACGGCAGCAAATCCCATCAGCCCAGGCCCACGCCTTGGCCTCCCAAAGTGCTGGAATTACAGGTGTGAACCACTGTGCTCGGCCCAGCTCTGGGAATTCTAATATTAAAAGGAAGAGTGAAAGAATGTAAACTAAGAAAAAACCCACAACCGGCCAGGCATGGTGGCTGACCCCTGTGATCCCAGCCCTTTGGGAGGCCAAGGCAGGTGGATCACTTGAGGTCAGGAGTTTGAGACCAGCCTGGCCAGCATGGTGAAACCCCGTGTCTACTAAAAATATGAAAATTAGCCAGGCATGGTGGCGGGCACTTGTAATCCCAGCTACTGGGTAGGCTGAGGCACGAGAATTGCTTGAACCCTGGAGGTGGAGGTTGCAGTGAGCCAAAATCACACCACCGCACTCCAGCCTGAGTGACATGAGTGAGAGTCTGTCTCAAAAAAAAAAAAAAAAAAGAAAGAAAGAAAGAAAAAGAAACAAGGAAAAAACCCACAGCCTCTGGCACTCCAAATGTACAGAGAGTGTCAGCACTGCTGATTGCTTCGGGCCTAGCAGGGATGGTAGGACACCTTTATTACCTCCCTGCAGAGCTGAGCCAGAGTTCTCTGCTGGTTTAATTCCCGGGGACTCGGATGTCACATGGTTCACTGGCTACCCAATGAGCAGGAAGCAGCATGTACACTGTGTGCCCTGCAGACCTGCACGTGTGCCGACGGCAGAGACTGCGAGTCCAGCCCTGCCGCTGAATCTCCCCTCCTTCTACAGTAGCTGATCTCCTGACTTGGTGGGCATGTGGCCGCCCAGAATCAAGACTACATTTCCCAGCCTCCTATGCAGCTAGGCATTGCCTGGTGATAGCAGAACGTGCAGGGAGATTGTATCTGGGCCTGCCCTGCAATGTACCATAGCCTGGGCAGTTGGAACAACAGAAATTTGTCTTCCTATAGTCCTGGAGGCTGGAAGTCCAAGATCAAGATGTCCACCGGGGCCGGGCCCGGTGGCTCACACCTGTAATCCCAGGACTTTGGGAGGCCGAGGAGGGCGGATCACGAGGTCAGGAGATCAAGACCATCCTGGCTAACATGGTGAAACCCCGTCTCTACTAAAAATACAAAAAATTAGCCGGGCGTGGTGGTGGGCGCCTGTAGTCCCAGCTACTCGGGAGGCTGAGGCAGGAGAATGGCGTGAACCCAGGAGGCGGAGCTTGCAGTGAGCCGAGATCGCACCACTGTACTCCAGCCTGGGCGACAGAGCGAGACTCCATCTAAAAAAAAAAAAAAAAAAAAGATGTCCACCGGCATGCTCTTCCTGAGGCCTCTCTCCTTGGCTTTATGGATGCCATCTTCTCCCTGGGTCTGCACAGGGTTGTCCCTAGGTACTCCTCTGTGTCCTCATCTCCTCTTTTTTTTTTTTTTTTTTTTGAGATGGAGTTTTGCTCTTGTCCCCCAGGCTGGAGGACAATGGCATGATGTCAGCTCACTGTAACCTCCGCCTCCCGGGTTCAAGTGATTCTCCAGCCTCAGTCTCCTGAGTAGCTGGGATTACAGGCATGTGCCACTACATCCAGCTAATTTTTTTTTTTAAACTTTTAGTAGAGCTGTGGTTTCACTGTGTTTTCCAGGCTGGTCTCAAACTCCTGGCCTCAAGTGGTCTGCCCGCCTCGGCCTCCCAAAGTGCTGGGATTACAGGTGCAAGCCACTGTGTAAGGCCATAATCTCCTCTTCTAAAAAGGACACCAGTCCTATTGGATTAGGGCCCACCTTACTGACCTCATCTGAACTAATTACATCTGCCACAATCCTCCAAATTAGGTCACATCCTGGGGCACTGGGGTTAGGACTTAATATATGTGTTTTTAGGAAATAAAATTCACCCCGTAACAGAGGTGACGTGTGCCCATTTGGGGCAGGATGTTGAATTCCTGCCTGCCTTTCCACCCCCTCCTCAGAACACAGTTTGAGGGCTAACACTCCGTCAGGAACAGCATGGCTGGGGGCTCTGCCACACTCAGACAAACCTAGATCCTAACAAACACCTAATGATTACCAGGCCTCAGTGTGCAAGGTGCACCCTAAGGACAACGTGGGGGGCGTCATAAAGCCTCTGGGGCTCCAGGGCATATCGGGACGTCCCCCATTCTGTCCTGTGTCTCATCATCAGTACCGCCAAGCCCATTCCCACAGGCACCATCAGTCATCAGTAAATGCTCCCCCACCTCCCCAAATGCCCAAAGCCACACAGGAGCCATACAGCAGGTGACACCAGCTGGGGGAGGGGTGGGGAGGTGCCATGAAAATCCTGTTGTTCCCCCACCCACAGATGCTGCTACTCCTGGCCTCCTGTTAGCCCCAGAGCAGGAGTCTATAGCCTCTGGGCTCCCTCAGACCCCCGTGGAGCAATGCCCCCCGGCTCTACTGGCCAGACCAGCTGAGGCCAGACCGGCCCTGCCCACAGTCAGTTTCCCAGCACCCGAGGGGCTCCCTGGCCAGGGGGTTCTGCAGCAAGCACTTCCTTCCGGGCGGGCCAGCACCCACCCACCTGGCCTCCAGCCCAGGCTTCTCTGTGGGCCCAGCCAGGTGAACTGGTGGAATATTCGTCAATTTTAAGGTTGGTCTGAGAAAAAGAAAGTTAGAAAATAAGCACGGCACAGTGGCTGACACCTGTAATCCCAGCACTTTGGGAGGCCGAGGCGGGCAGATCACCTGAGGTCAGGAGTTCAAGACCAGCCTGGCCAACATGGTGAAACCTTATCTCTACTAAAAATACAAAAATTAGCCGGGCATGGTGGCGGGTGCCTGTAATCCCAGCTACTCGGGAGGCTTAGGCAGGAGAATTGCTTGAACCCAGGAGGTGGAGGTTGCAGTGAGCCAAGATGGTGCCACTGCATTCCAGCCTGGGCGACAGAGCGAGACTCCAAAAAAAAAAAAAGGAAATAAAGCATACTGACTAAAATTATCACTGCAGGCTTTCCAAATGGCCATATGAGCTTCCTAGGACTCTCTGAAAAATGACCACAAACCAGAGGCTGCAACTCAACAGAAACGCATTCTGGCCTCGCCGTTCGAAAGGCAGAAGCAGGTGTCAGTGGGGTTCGTTCCTTCTGGAGGCCCCACCCCCACGTTCACCCCTTGTATCTCTCTCAGTGCTGCCTCTCCCTTCTGTTCCCTTTTTTTTTTTTTTTTTTGAGACGGAGTCTCACTCTGTTGCCCAGGCTGGAGTGCAGTGGCGAGACCTTGGCTCACTGCAACCTCTGCCTCCTAGGTTCAAGCGATTCTCCTGCCTCAGCCTCCTGAGTAGCTGGGACTACAAGCGTGTGCCACCACACCCAGATAATTTTTGTATTTTTAGTAGAGATGGGGTTTTGCCATATTAGCCAGGCCGGTCTTGAACTCCTGGCCTCAAGTGATCCACCCGCCTCAGCCTCCCAAAGTGCTGGGATTAGCATGAGCCACTGTGCCCGACCTCCCTTCTCTTCTTACAAGGACCCCTGTCATTGGATTTAGGGCCCACCCTATATCCAGAATGATCTCATCCCAAGATCCTCACCCTAGATACCTCTGCAGAGACCCTATTTCTATTTGTTGTTGTTGCTGTTGTTTGAGACAAGAGCCTCACTCTGCCTCCCGGGCTGGAGTGCAGTGTCGCGATCTCAGCCCACTGCAGCCTCCACCTCCCAAGTTCAAGGGATTCTCCTGCCTCAGTCTCTGGAGTAGCTGGGACTACAGGTGCACGCCACCATGCCAGGCTAATTTTTGTATTTTTAGTAGAGATGGGTTCTCACCGTGTTGGCCAGGCTTGGTCTTGAACTCTTGATCTCAGGTGATCCACCCACCTCAGCCTCCCAAAGTGCTGGGATTACAGGCATGAGCCACTGCGCCTGGCTGAGATCCTATTTCTAGATATGGTTGCACCGTTGCATTCATGGGTACAGGAGTGAGAACTTAGACAAGCTTTCGGGGGCTGCCATTCAACCCACCACCACGGAGAAATACTACCTCTTGATCTCATCAAGGCCAGGCAGCCGGCCCTTCCCCTTTGCTTTCAGATTTTTTTTTTTTTTTTGAGACAAAGTCTTGCTCTGTTGCCCAGGCTGGAGTGCAGTGGCGCAATCTCAGCTCACTGCAAGCTCCAACTCCCGGGGTCACGCCATTCTCCTGGCTCAGCCTCCCGAGTAGCTGGGACTACAGGCGCCCGCCACCAAGCCCGGCTAATTTTTTGTAATTTTAGTAGAGACGGGGTTTCACCGTGTTAGCCAGGATGGTCTAGATCTCCTGACCTTGTGATCCACCTGCCTCAGCCTCCCAAAGTGCTGGGATTATAGGCGTGAGCCACCATGCCCAGCCTAGATTTTTTTTTTTTTTTTTTTGAGACAGGGTCTGGCTCTGTCACCTGGGCAGGAGTGCAGTGGTGTGATCACAGCTCCCCGCAGCCTCCACCTCCCTGGGCTCAGATGACCCTCCCAAACAGCCTCCTGAGGAGCTGGGACTATAGATACACGCCACTAGGACTCACTAATTTATAAATGTTTTTGTAGAGACCAGGTTTCACCATGTTGTCCAGGCTGGTGTCAAACTCCTGAGGTTCAAGCAATCTGCCTGTCCCAGCCTCCCTAAATGTGAGCCGCCACACCCAGCCAGCTTGCGGTACTTTAAGTTGGCTGTGTGATAGTGAGAAGTATAAAACCCACAATGGTGCCGTGACGCACGCAGCCTTTGCAAAGGGCAAATACACAAAGCTAGGGCCACGTGCCACCACACATGCCCACCTCGGGGCTCAGCATCAGCCCAGCAACCAACCAGACACCTACACGCAACTGTCACTGGCCAGGGCCGGCTGGGCCAGCGGGGGCCCACACGTGGAACACAGGCAGAGAACTGCTGTGCTGGCTCTGGCACTGGATCCAGAAGCTTCCGCTGGGCGTGAGTGTGCCACTTCCCCCTCCTGCTTGCCCTGGATTTGCTTATCCCAGCACCCAGAGAGGATGTCTCCGTCCACAGGTGGGGAGGGCTAGGCAGCAGGGAGTGCTGGTGTGTGTCCCTCTCTTCCTGGGCTTCCGGCCTCTGAACTAGAATGTTTCAAGGCCTAGGAGTGACAGGACGTGGTCAGCAATAGTGGCCCAGGTCCTGCCCTTGGGTGACCCAGGCCAAGGTCTCCTAGTTAGAACAGGACAGAGTCACGAGGCTGCCACTGTTGGGAAGGGCCCTGCCTGTGCTGACTCTGCAAATGAGGAGTCGCCCAGAGCCGCCGCGACCCCACCCAGGAGCACTGGCCAGCCTGGGGAAGACACAAACCCAGCCCCAAAGGCCCCACAGCCACCAGGCACCTCCAACAACCAGGTGTGAGTAATTTTTTTTTTTTTTTGAGACAGGGTCCTATCTGTCGCCCAGGCTGGAGTGCAGCAGTGCAATCACAGCTCACTGCAGCCTTGATGTCCTGGGCTCAAGTGATCAGCCTCCCGAAGTGCTGGGATTACGGCGTGAGCCACCACTCCCAGCCTTCGAGTGCTTTTGAGGATGTCTGTGAGAGGCATCCTCAGGCTGGGGACCCAGGAATATCCCAGGTAAGGCATGGGGTCTCCTAAAGCAGGGATCCAGTCAGCAGCAGAAACACTCATCTCTGCAGGCCTCCTCACCCCACCGGCCTGCCCCTGCCCTACTCTGTCCCCCCCATGCCCACGGCAGACAGGCAGTGGGCAAGCAGGAGGGCCTCAGGGCAGGTCAGACCTGGGCCTACAGGGCAGAGCCTGGACCTCCGCCAGGGCACTCCACACCCACCCCGGGTAAGGAGGGCTGGGAATGGGGGCTGAGGGCTGGTTTAGTGCCTGGGCAAGGTGGTTATGCTTGGATTTATATTAAATTTCAACAATTAGGATTTGATTTATTAAAATTTAATTTCAATACATTGAAGTTAGAAATTCAAAACCCAATTTATTAACCTGTTAAGTTCAATTTTACAAACCCCCTATTATTCCCTTTTAAGCCTAGAAGACTTTACAGTCACTTTTTTTTTTTTTTTGAGATGGAGTCTTGCTCTGTCACCCAGGCTGGAGTGCAGTGGCGCGATCTCGGCTCATTGCAACCTCCGCCTCCCAGGTTCAAGCAATTCTCCTACCTCAGCCTCCTGAGGAGCTGAGATTACAGGTGCACACCACCACGTCCGATTAATTTTTTTTGTATTTTTAGTAGAGACGGGGTTTCACCATGTTGCCCAGACTGGTTTCAAACTCCTGGGCTCAAGCGATCCTCCTGCCTTGGCCTCCCAAAGTGCTGGCATTACAGGCATGTGCCACTGTGCCTGGCCTTTTTTTTTTTTAACAGAGTCTCACTCTGTTGCCCAGGCTGGAGTGCAGTGGCTCAATCTCAGCTCACTGCAATCTCCACCTCCCCAGTTCAAGCGATTCTCATGCCTCAGCATCCCAAGTAGCTGGGACTATAGGTGCATATCACCAAGCCCGGCTACTTTTTTGTATTTTAATAGAGATGGGGTTTCACCATGTTGCTCAGACTGGTCTCGAACTCCTGAGCTCAGGCAATCCGTCCACCTCGGCCTCCCAAAGTGCTGGGATTACAGGTGTGAGCCACTGCGCCTGGCCTGCAGTCACTTTAAAGGGGCTTCTGCATAATATTTGGTCCCATCTATAAACTCAATTAAGCAATTTTCAACATTTCAAACAATTTATAAATGAAGCCTCTTTTCACTCCTTTTTGCGTGCTTTAGGTTGTCTGAATTGATAACAGAATCTCGGGTGCTTCAGTAACTCATGCATTGGCCTGGTGAGGTGGCTTATGTCTATAATCCCAGCATTTGGGGAGGCTGACGCAGGAGGTTTGCTTAAGCCCAGGAAGTGGAGGCTGCAGTGAACCATAATCCACTGCACTCCAGCCTGGGTGACAGAGTGAAACCTTATTTCATTGTGATACTTTTTTTTTTGCGGGGGGGGGCAATTTTCCTGCCTTGGCCTCCCAAAGCATTGGGATTACAGGGGTCAGCCACTGCACCTGGCTAAAAACTCATACAACTTAACAGATTCAAATTTTAAATGTGGTGAACTGCAAGTTATCTTAGATGTTCCAAAAACATAAAATACGAAATGTGTTCAAGTTTCACTTAATACAGGAATGCTAACACTTCGGTTCTGATTCTCCTAAATCTTGGTATGTATCATTCAGCATCTTCCTAAGGCTAAAAGGTGGGTGCCCACCTAAAGAAGTCAGTTTTCTTTTTCTTTTTCTTTTTTTTTTTTTTGAGGCAGAGTCTCACTCTGTCGCCCAGGCTGGAGTGCAATGGCTTGGCTCACTGCAAGCTCCGCCTCCTGGGTTCACGCCATTCTCCTGTCTCAGCCTCCCAAGTAGCTGGGACTACGGGCGCCCGCCACTACGCCCGGCTAATTTTTCGTATTTTTAGTAGAGACGGGGTTTCACCGTGTTAATCAGGATGGTCTCGATCTCCTGACCTTGTGATCCGCCCGCCTCAGCCTCCCAAAGTGCTGGGATTACAAGCGTGAGCCACCGCGCCCAGCCAAGAAGTCAGTTTTCAATGCAGGTACACGGGGCCCATTGGCACAAACTATGCAGATTGGGAAGCGGACCGCTTTGTGCTGGCAACTGACAAGACTCCCCCAGGAACCCGGCCGTTGGGAGCTCTGCAGAGGGGCCTGGCTCTGGGCTTCCTATCCTCCCATCTGCGGGCCCCATCTGCTCTTGAGGTCTGTAGTTCTGGCCCAGAGTGAACCCTAAGTAGATTCTGCAATTCTTTTTTTTGTTTTTTTGAGACCGAGTCTTACTTTATCACCCAGGCTGGAGTGCAGTGTGATCTCTGCTCACTGCAACTTCAGCCTCCCAGGTTCAAGTAATTCTCCTGCCCCAGCCTCCCCAGGAGCTGGGATTACAGGCATGCGCCACCACGCCTAATTTCTGTATTTTTAGTAGAGACAGGGTTCCACCATGTTGGCCAGGCTGGTGTCGAACGCCTGACCTCAAGTGATCTACCCGCCTTGGCCTCCCAAAGTGCTAGGATTAAAGGCGGCGGCTGCCCGATCGATTCTGCAATTCTTTAGCGCCAAAGACCTCTGACCTCAATGAGATCCTAAAATGGCTAAGTGCCTTTCCTAAGAGAAGTTGGATGTTGCCATGGCCTCCTTAGCATTGGGAGGACTGCGCATATGTCCCTGAGGACACCTGCCATAGCTTACTGGGACCCTCTCCAGAGCTCTGCCGACTTGAGGTCTTCACCCCCAAAGGTCAGGCTTCAGGCCACCATCCAGGCCGTTTGCTGAGAGCGAGTGCTAAGCTGAGTAAGAGCCCACAGCTGGTGGGGGACGTGCCTCGCACCGCATGCAGCCCCCAGCCCCTTCTAGGAAAGGCGTGGGCGTCAGCTGGCAGAAAATACCGGGAAGGGAAAGAAGGAAACGTGACTAGAAAGAAAGACAAAGCTTAGTTTAAGGAGAAAGCTCCCAAGCAGCAGAAATGGAGAAGCAGCTGTGCAGGGTGTCTTGGAGCCCACGCGCGCCCCGGGAACGGCTGAGCGGGGCAGGGTGGGGCCCGGCCGTGCGGTTTTCTGTAGGAAACTGCGCTGGGAACGGCTAGGGCTGGGGGTGGGGGTCGGACAGCCTGTGCCGCGTAGAATGCGCGGTGACTCAAAAGTGCTGGCCACGCGCTCGTTCATCCAAGCGCGAGGGGCTGAGTTGGGAACTTGGTTTGCCTCCTGGGGCTCCGGCTCGTGCAATGTGCAAGGCGGGGGTGCGGACCGAGAGAGCGCGCGTTTCGGGCAGTCCCCGCTGGAGACAGCGCAGTGGGCGCCATCGGCCTGGGGATGGAGATGGTCCACTCAGGCGGGGGTCGGGGGGACGCCAGGAGTGGTGACTCCGGGTCCCCGGGGGAGCGTGCCGGGGCGGAGCCCACCGCGCGGTTCTCCCGGCACCGCCGAGCCGGGCAGAGGCCCTGGAGCCCAAGGCCCCGCGCGGCCCCACGCCAAGGGCGCCAGGCCTGCCTAAGAGCCGTGGCGCTGGGAACCCGGCTACCCCTGGGCCGGGAACCTGATAACCAGCTCCAGCGCGAGCACCAGGGGCGCTCAAGGTGAACGCGCCGGGCCCGGGGTCCGCCCCCGGCGCGGCCCCGCCCCGGCCCCGGCCCCGGCCCCGGCCCCGACTTTCGGGCAGCCCTGCCCAGTCCCCTGTCCTGGCCCAGCCCCTCTCCATCCCAGCGTGCCGTGCGCGGCGGCGGCGCGCGGGCGCCTGGGGCGGGACTTCCGGCGCGCTGGAGCGTTTTCCGGCCGTGCGTTTGTGGCCGTCCGGCCTCCCTGACATGCAGGTGAGCCCCGCGGCGGCCGGCCCCTGCTCCTCCTCCTTGCACGGCCTCAGTTTCCCTCCCGCAAAGTGGGCGCGCCGGGCAGCGAGGCTCGGCCCCGGGAGGACGGGCGTGGGGTCGCGGGCGACGCCGGGCGGGTGCGTGAGAGAGAGCAAGTGTGTGAGGGGGCGTGTGAGAGGGTGTGAGGACGAGGGTGAGAGAGGGTTGCTATGAGAGCGAGGGTGAGCGAGAGCGGGGGTGGAGGGCGAGTGTGGACGGGGGCGCGTGTCGGGGGGACCGCGAGTGGGAGGTGGAGCGCGTGCGCTGGGGCGAGCAAGCCTGAGAGCTAGGCGCGCTGGGTGGAAGGGGCCTGAGTGCGCAGACAAGGGATGTGGCCGGCGGGTGAGGAGTGTGTGAGCGCGCGGCTCGTGTGGCAGAGTGGTGGCCATCGGGTCCCCAGGACCCCCAGAGGGAGCAGAGGCAGTAGGGCTCCAGGCGGGCTGCCCTCCCAGTGAGGGGCACGCGGTCCCCGTGAAGGGTGGGCGCATCAGACGCGATCCCACCCACCCTTGGTTCAGCCCCAACCCTTGAAGCTTCCATTGCTGACTGTCCAAACTGGAGGGTGACCCGCCCGCCCGTCCGCCTCGACTTCCTGGGCTCTAGTAATCTCTTAGCCTCCTAGCTACTTGGGACTACAGGTGTGCGCCAGCGCACTCAGCTAAGAATTTTTTTTTTTTTTTGAGACAGAGTCTCACGCTGTCACCCAGGCTGGAGTGCAGTGGCGCGATCTCGGTTCACTGCAACCTCCGCTTCTGGGCTTAAGGGATTTTCCTGCCTCAGTCTCCCGAGTTGCTGGGAGTACAGGCGCACACCACTGCACCCAGCTAATTTTTGTATCTTTTTTAGAGACTGGGTTTCATCACGTTGGCCAGGCTGGTCTTGAACTCCTGATGGGGTGATCTGCCCGGCAGAAAAATATTTTTTGTAGAGACCAGGTCTGGCTGTGTTGCCAAAACCAGTCAAAAACTCCTGGCCTCCCAAAGTGCTAGGATCACAGGCCAGAGCCGCCATGCACCAGTTAGTTCTTCAAAACACAACAGAACAGGAGTTGTCAGTGCGTCCATCGCAGAATAGAGTTAGCTCTGATTGGCTGCTGTCGCTCTACACATGTACACACATGCACAACACATGTGCACACATGACATACACGTGTGCTGGGCTGTGACGTAAAGTGCATTTCTTACTGCTGGTCTCCATGAAAAGCATTGGAAAGCCCCTGCTGTGACTCCCATCATTTCCATCAACACCACCGAGGAGGTCCTGGACCTACGGACTGGGAGCGCAGGAAAGTGGGAGCAGTAGCGCTCCACCTTATCTTGTTACAGAGCGGTTTCTGGGACCCCTTTGGGTGACCAGGGTCGGGGCCTGTGCCTCTTCATAACACAACACATTCCCTTTGTGTGCGGGGCCGTTCTGCCCAAGGGAAGGTCATTGGCATTTGGGGAAGAAACGGTTTGATGCAGGAACACAGTGTGTGTGAACCTGGGAGTCTGTGTTATGTGAAGAGCATGATGGAGAGTGTCCTCACGGGCCTCAGAGCCGAGCGGCCGGTGAGCAGTGGGGAGCGGGAGAGGTACCAAAGCCCAGACAAGGGCCTGGTTGCAGTGTGAGCACCCCTCACACATCACACACACCATCTCCCTGGGGCAGTTGTCTGGAAAGTTCCATGGCAAGTCAAAGAAGCAGCCCAGCATTTGTGAGCAGCCTGTATCCAAGCACTCCATCACAGAGCGGGCAAGTTAAGCGCGAGTGGACAGAGGCAGTACCCTGGCCTTGTGTTCAGTTAGGTTCTCCTAGTGTCCCCTCTGCTGGACACATGCTGGCAGGACTGTCTTCCTCTTCCACCCTTTCCTCTTCCTTCCCTGAAGTGTGAAATCACAGGTTGGGGGGCAGGGAGGTCATAGGCAGAGGGGCCACTAGGTGGGTGGACAGTGGCCCTGTTTCAAATCTGCAGGACGGCAGGTAGGGGCAGAGACCCAGCCCTATAGTGGTTGGTCACTGGGTACCTGAGTGTGCCCTCCAGTTACTCCTGGGCCAGTCCCCTGGAGAACCACCGTTTGGTTTTTCATTCCTTTCCTTCCTCCCTGACCCAGATTTCCACCCAGAAGACAGAGAAGGAGCCAGTGGTCATGGAATGGGCTGGGGTCAAAGACTGGGTGCCTGGGAGCTGAGGCAGCCACCGTTTCAGCCTGGCCAGGCAAGTGATTCTGGGCCGTCTTCCCTGTGCCATGGCCAGAACCCTCCCCACCTTCCCTGGGGCTGTTGCTGACTCAGACCAAGCCTCAGCTGCAGCAGAAAGATAGTGGGGCTAAGGGGAGGTGGCAGCAGGCTGCTGCCCTTGGTTCTGATTCTGGGATGTATCACTGAGGAGAGGGGCTGGAGAGGTTGATCGGGGCAGAGGGTGGTGATCTGTGCCTGGGCCTTCTTATTCCCCCTGCACAGCCTCTCGGAACTGCCGTGGCTGTTCAAGCACTCACTGCCTTTGCCTGTGGCTCCATGTACTGGGTGCTGCTGTGCTTGCCCTGTGAGTTCCCTTCCTAACTCCCCATAAGCCTGCAGGTCAGGCTGTCTTGTGGCTCCCTGCCTCCTAGGTGGGGGAGCTTCACTGGTTGATCTTGCTCCAGGAGCGTGTTCTTTCTATGCAGGTGTGTTGTGGGTGTATTGGGTACCAAAGCATGCAAACTCCCTGCCTGGGGGTAGCCACAGTCTCCTCAGTCTGCACCAGGAGCACCAGTCTCACCCAGGGAAGAGACAGGGCAAAGTGGGGCAGCGTGTGCCTCTGCAGAAGAAAGCAGGTCAAGGGGACGGTTTCAGAGGAAGTGAAAACAGGTTCCTGGCCAGGGAGTCTTTTGGGTAGGAGGGTAGGCACTGTGGTAGGCCTGGCTCTGGCAGCATCTTCTGACAGGTGCACCTGCCTGGCTGGGGTTCCTGGAGCCTCTTGGGCCTGAGCTCCCATATACTCAGGAGCCTGTGACCCAAGGGGAAGGCCATGTGCCCAGCTGCTGGGTAGTGAGTTGGGCTGAGCTCCCCACCTGTCAGGTATCTGCCTCTGCCCAGGCTGTGTGGGCCTCTCAGCTGGTCTAGAGGGGTCTGTGCTGCCAGAGCTGTGAAACTAGCCAAGAGCTTCTTCCCAGCAGTGTCCCAAAGCTTCATGAAGGACTAACAGTCTGGCTGGGCTATGGTGGTGGTTCAGCTCCCACCGCCGCTGCCCCCAACCCCAGTGAAAGATAGAAAGTAGAATCACTTTTTTTTTTTTTTTAAAGACAGTCTCGCACCGTCGCCCAGGCTGGAGTGCACTGGCACTATCTCGGCTCACTGCGAACTCCACCTCCTGGATTCACACCATTCTCCTGCTTCAGCCTCTCGAATAGCTGGGACTACAGGCGCCTGCCACCATGCCTGGCTAATTTTTTGTATTTTTAGCAGAGATGGGGTTTCACCGTGTTAGCCAGGATGGTCTCGATCTCCTGACCTCGTGATCTGCCCGCTTCGGCCTCCCAAAGTGCTGGGATTACAGGCGTGAGCCACCGCGCCCGGCCGGAAAGTAGAATCACTTTTGTTGGTGGCCCCTAGAACCTGAAAGTGAACAGTGTAATAAAAGTTTAGTGCAGGAAGACCAGAAGATACAGATAAAGTAAAAGAGAAGAAACAATGACCAGTAATTCCAGATAGCCTGCTCATTTATTTTTTGTTTTGTTTCTTTGTTTTTGAGAGGGAGTTTTTGCTCCTGTTGCCTAGGCTGGAGTGCAATTGCGCGATCTCGGCTTACCGCAACCTCTGCTTCCCAGGTTCAAGTGATTCTCCTGTCTCAGCGTCCCGAGAAGCTGGGATTACAGGCATGCGCCAGCACGCCCAGCTAATTTTGTATTTTCAGTAGAGACAGGGTTTGTCCATGTTGGTCAGGCTGGTCTCGAACTCCCGACTTCAGGTGATCTGCCTGCCTTGGCCTCCCGACGTGGTGTGATTACAGGCGTGAGCCCCCGCGCCCAGGCTACTTTTTTGTTTTGTTTCTTAAGCTTCCACGTGAAGGGCATGTCGTTTGCTTTCTACCACCCCTCCCTACATGCTTTCTCTGTGGGACTGAACTGTGGAAGTTCTGTCTTGTAGCGTCTTCATTGACCGGCACACCACGAGCATGGCAGTGCCTGTCTGTGTTCCAGCATCTGGGAGAGCCAGGTCCATGAACATCCTCATGTTTTCAACGTATGTGGAAAATCCCCCATGGCTGGGCGCGGTGGCTCATTTTGGGAGGCAGGCAGATCACGGGAGGCCAGGAGCTTGAGACCAACCTGGCCAACGTGGCGAAACCCCATTTCTACTAAAAATACAAAAACTAGCCGGATGTGGTGGCACGCGCCTATAATCCCAGCTACTCGGGAGGCTGAGGTAGGAGAATCGCTTGAACCCAGGAGGTGGAGGTTGCAGTGAGCCAAGATGGCGCCACAGCACTCCAGTGTGGTGACATAGCAAGATTCCAACTCAAAAAAAAAAAAAAAAGTCCCACAGCCGGGCGCAGTGGCTCACACCTGTAATCCCAGCACTTTGGGGGGGCCGAGGTGGGCAGATCACCTGAGGTCAGGAGGTGGAGACCAGCCTGGCCAATGTGGTGAAACCTCATCTCTATTAAAATACAAAAATTAGCCAGGTGTGGTGGTGGCTGGGATCCCAGAGTGCTGGGATTCCAGGCATGAGCCACCGTTCCCAGCCGGGACATTTTTTACTGGAATGTCTTTTCTTGATTTGTGAGATTTATTTGCATGTTATGAATAGATTATGGGTAGAAATCCGTTGTCAAGTGTGTTCCAAATATTCTTTCTGGTTTATTATTTGTCTTCACATTTCCTTCTTTATTTCCTGAATGAAAGTCTTACATTTGTATGTAGTTCTACTCCAGTGGTATTTTCTTTCCTAATCTCTCCCATTGCTCATATAGCTGGAAAAGCCTTCTCCACCCTGAGACTGCATAAATAGGTAGCTATATTTTCTCCTAGTACTTAACGTGGCATCACCACCATCATCGTTATTATCGTAGGCTTCTCTGAGCCTACGATTTTTTTCTTTTTTTTTTTTGAGATGGAGTCTTGCTCTGTCCCCAGGCTGGAGTGCAGTGGCATGATCTTGGCTCACTGCAACCTCTGCCTCCTGGGTTCAAGCGATTCTCTTGCCTCAGCCTCCCGAGTAGCTGGGACTGCAGGTGCACGCCACCACACCTGGCTAATTTTTATATTTTTAGTAGAGATGGGGTTTCACCATGTTGGTCAGGCTGGTCATGAATTCCTGACCTCAGGTGATCCGCCCGCCTCAGCCTCCCATTAAGTGTTGGGATTACAGGCATAAGCCACCGCACCCGGCCCAAATATTTAATTTTTGTAGGATCTCACTATGTTGCTCAGGCTGGTCTCGAACTCCTGAGCTCAAGTAATCTTCCCACCTCGGTCTCCCAAAGTGTTGGGATTACAGGCGTGAGCCGCCACGTGGCCCAGCCTGTGGCTTCATTATTTTACACTTAAGCCCTACCATGGTTTGGCTTTCTTTGGGTTTGAAGGAGGAGGTGGGAACCAATGCTTTTCTAGATTGCCAGTGGTGGTCAGGGCGGCCTTGGGCTGTGAGGGGAGGGTTCTGTGGCTGATGGTGAGGAAGCTTCTTTCTGGGTATCTAGGAGGAACCAGTGGCTCAGTCAGGAGGCCCAGGAGTACTGGAGAATAGACTGTGGCCGCCAGGGCTGGTCCAGGTCAGGGCTCTGTCCCAGTGGCCAAGGGTCCATCCAGTGCCATGAGGACCCAGGCCCTATTAGGAGAAAGTGGCCCCATCAGCAGAGGGGTTGCCCATGTGCTGCATTTCTCTGCCGGTTGTTTGAATGTGCTCTGCTTTCCCTGCAGCCCTCTGGACCCCGAGGTTGGACCCTACTGTGACACACCTACCATGCGGACACTCTTCAACCTCCTCTGGCTTGCCCTGGCCTGCAGCCCTGTTCACACTACCCTGTCAAAGTCAGATGCCAAAAAAGCCGCCTCAAAGACGCTGCTGGAGAAGGTAAGGGTGGCCTGGGGACTTGAGGTGACTGTACTGGCTGAGGGCTGATCCATCATCCTCTTCTTTCTGTCCACTGGGGCCTGTGAGCCAGGAGGCTCGAGGGGCTTGGCTCCTCACAAAGGCACCTGATGAGCCCGCAGCCGGTGGGTGGCCTGTGTGGCTCTGGGGCTCTGGCCAGTCAGCACCTCTGAGTGAGCAGCCTCTGGAGCCAGGTTTTGAGGGCAAGCAGGGTGCCTCCCCACTCACCCCACGTGGGGCTTGTTTTATGTGCCAGTTGCCAGTTTCCATGCTCTACCTCTCGTTTATATCACCTGCATCTTCATCTTGCTGTCTTTATCATGGCCTTGAGCTGTGTTTGCCTCATGCTTTTTGGGACGTTCCCCTGGGATGGCCCTGGGGATTGCACCTTCAAGGGTGTAAACTCATAGAACCACCTCTCAGCCCCAGCAGTCCCCATGCCGCTGGCCAGACCCTGCCACAGGACTGTAACTGTGACCTAGTCCTGGACTGGCAGATGCTTTCTCTGTGCTGTATGGGGGCAAATAAACCATGCAGTGGACATCTCTCTCTCACGGGGCCGCTTGGGGCGAGGTCAAGGGGAGGCTGAGCCGGGCCACAGAGTGTGGACAGAAGAGACAAGTTGATAACTGGATGGAAGGTTTCCAGGAGCAGAGGTGGAGTAGGGGCAGGTGTGACATGGCAGGAAAAGACTCGCATTGGCCAGGGGGGTGGCAGGCAGTGGTTGACCAGCAGGGTTGCATTGGTGGGGGTGGTGGCAGGCAGTGGTTGGCCAGTAGGGTCGTATTGGCGGGGGCGGTGGCAGGCAGTGGTTGGCCAGCAGGGTCACGTTGGCGGGGGCGGTGGCAGGCAGTGGTTGGCCAGCATGGTGGCGTGTGCCTGGCATGTTCTTTTCTTTTTTTTTTTGAGGTGAAGTTTTGCTCTTGTTGCCCAGGCTGGAGCGCAATGGCGCGATCTTGGCTCACCGCAACCTCTGCCACCCAGGTTCAAGCGATTCTCCTGCTTCAGCCTCCCGAGTAGCTGGGACTACAGGTGCCCGCCACCATGCCTGGCTAATTTTTGCATATTTAGTAGAGATGGGGTTTCACCATGTTGACCAGGCTGGTCTCCAACTCCTGATCTCAGGTGATCCACCTGCCTCGGCCTCCCAAAGTTCTGGGATTACAGGCGTGAGCCAATGCACCCAGCGCACCTGGCATGTTCTTGTCCAGCAAAGCGTATGGCCCTGGAGTGCCCGGATGGGTATCGAGTGGCCAGAGCTGGTGCAGACCGTCCACCCTCACATGCAAGGAGGGAGCCACCATAACTGTCTGTCTGCCTGCCTGCCTTCCAGCCCGGAGCAAGGGTGGGAAAGGCCCTGTACCGTCGGCCAGTGTCTGTTGACGGCCAGAGTGCTTCTGAATTGAATTGCCTGCTGTGGCCTCGATCCTCAACATACAGGGTCTCCGGGTCAGCAGCACTGTGTGGATCCAGAGACTCGGCTGCTGGCTGAATGGAAGGGACTTGCTGGGTGGGGCTCTGTGCTCTACACTGTGGACAGATGACTGAGGCTTTTCTCTCACTCCTTTTATTTCAGAGTCAGTTTTCAGATAAGCCGGTGCAAGACCGGGGTTTGGTGGTGACGGACCTCAAAGCTGAGAGTGTGGTTCTTGAGCATCGCAGCTACTGCTCGGCAAAGGCCCGGGACAGACACTTTGCTGGGGATGTACTGGGCTATGTCACTCCAGTAAGTTGGGGCCCTCACAGTGCAGAGGGAGGTCCTGAGGCTCAGGTGGGCTGCCCTGGCCCCGTGATGGCCTCTTCTGGCCAGTCAGTGATGGGGGTCTATGTTCTGATCTCCCGGAGCTGCTGCTGCTGTGAGGCTACGGTGGGAGAGATGCCATTCTGGAGATGTCAGAGTGTAAGACCCTGGGGGTCTCTCCAGGGGCTTGCTGTGCTGATCTCTGTGGGTTCCCCCTGAATCCAGAGGTGGGCTCGCAGGTCGTCTGGGGTCAGGAAGTGGATGTGCAGAGCCAACCCTGGGCCAGGGAGGGGTGGGTTCTCACACCCAGCCTCCTCTTCTCTTGCTGTTCCCAGCTGCCAGCCTGCAGCAGTGGTGTGCACTAGCTCCAGGTGGGGCTTAAGACAAGCACCAGTCACTTTTGGTGAAAGGGATGTCGTGGCCTGGGTCCCAGGCTGTGAGTGGCAGTCCAGAGTAGGAGAAGGATACCCCAGGCCAGGAGCTGATGTCAGTCCGGGCTGGTATCTGTCTACGCTGGCCAGCCCTGGGCACGTCCAGAGGCGCCAGAATGACAGCACCATGGTGAGACAGGTGCTCACTCACCTGTCCTCCGTCTGATGTCTCCATCTTTTGCCAGTGGAACAGCCATGGCTACGATGTCACCAAGGTCTTTGGGAGCAAGTTCACACAGATCTCACCCGTCTGGCTGCAGCTGAAGAGACGTGGCCGTGAGATGTTTGAGGTCACGGGCCTCCACGACGTGGACCAAGGTTCTCATCCTTCCTGCTTGACTGTGCTTGCCCCACAGGCTGAAAAGAGTGTGAGTGCGAGAGCAGGGGTGTGTGTGTGTGAGTAGGTATGTCTCTGTGGGTGTCTCTGTATGGGAGTGTGTGTGTGTCTCTGCGTGATTTAAGTGTGAATGTGAGTGTGTAAGTGTGAGACTGATGATGTGGGAGAGAAGAGATTGTGAGTGTGTTGAATGTGACTGTCGGTGTGGACATGTCTAAGTGTGAGACAGTGGGTGTGAGTGTTGAGTGTGGTGACTGTGAGAACCACGCCCTCACCCCTTGGGGCCCAGCCGGCAGAGCAGGCCCATGGTGTGGGCTGGTGTGCTAAGTGGGAAGGTGAGTGTGGAGCAGGGCAGGCCTGGTAGAGGGGGTTTCTGAGGTGGTCGCCACGGTGGGACCCTCTGCAAGGCCAAGTTGGTGCCTCAGAGTGTTCCGCCCAGGTCTGCGTGTGGTCCAGGTGGCTGTGAGGGTGGCCTTCCCTTGCACTTCCGGGCTGCACACAGGCGTGTGCAGGACAGGCTCTACAATGACTCAGGCAGCCTCTGGGCAGCAAACGGCACGGGCCATTGGCTTCTCCTCCTCTGTCCCTCTCTCAGCGATTTTCATTCAATGCCAGGGAGGAAGGTGGGGTTCAGGCGGAGGCTGCCTCCTGATGGCACATCCTGACCTGATGACGTCTGCCCGAGTTTACGTGGCTGCGCCTTGCGTTTGGGCTCGGACAGAGAGAAATGGCAGGGGAAGTGTTAGGCAGTTTTGGAGTTCAGAGAGCAGGAGTGGTTTTCCCTGACACTGAGAGAACCGTGGGGAGGTGATGGAATGTCAGCCAGTGTCAGGGCCTGGCGGGTCTGGCCATCCCTCAGCTCGGAGAAACCCTGACCGTCCCCAGGCCCTAGGATGCAGCTGCCTGTTCCCCTGGCCGGCCACAGGCTCTGAGCTGTCCCAGCTCAGGGAGGGTAAGCTCAGAGCTGCTCTGCAGGGTCAGGAAGGGGGCCTTGGCCAGAAGGGTGGAGAGTTGGGGTCAGGAAGAGGGTGTGGAGAGCCAGCCCTGGGCCAGGGAGGGGTGGGTTCTCACACCTGCCTGCCCGCCCCTGCCCTTCCCATTGCGTATTGTGCGGCTGCCACGTTTTCCTCCTCAGGTAGGCTGGGTCTTCCAGTTGGGCGCACGTGCCTGTGTTGACTGTCCCCTCCATGTCCCACAGGGTGGATGCGAGCTGTCAGGAAGCATGCCAAGGGCCTGCACATAGGTAAGTGCGGCAGGCCAGGAGTGGAGGCCCTGATGGCTCAAACTGCGGGGGTGGACAGGTGGGCACTGGGGTCTCCACGTGTTCCTGATCACCCGGCTGTGCTGCTGCGGCACAGGTTACTTTGACCGCTCAGAGATGAGGCTGGCCCTGGCCTGGCATTCACAGCCCTTAGTCTGGCTGGAGTCCTGAGCTCTCCTCCCCACACAGGCTGTGGCCCTCCAAAGCCAGCACCTCCTTGGCCAGTGGCATTGCCCTAATTGTTCTCAATCCCATTTCTTCCTTCATTCACATGATGAGTCCTATCAGGGCAGCTGGGGCCAAGCCCTGGGCTTGGCCTGAGGGTGATGCTGACCCTGGCCCATCTGTGCCCCTGTAGCTCACGGCTGGGGAAGGGGGGACATGTGTCCCCACGTCCAGTAGCAGCCTCAGAGGCAGTGGATTAAGAGCACAAGTTGCCAAGGGAGAGACTCTGGGGGATGCTAGAAGCAGGTGACAGGGCTGAGCTGGAGCAGCCAGAGTCTGTCCCAGCCTCCCTCCTGTAAGGTGGGGCCACAACCATGCTGAGCCGTGTGGGGAGCTGGTGTCAGGGGACCAGGACTGTCAGTGTCTGCTCGCTCCTTCCCCACCACCCCTCCCTCTCCAGCCTGTGAGGCTCTGGGACATCCTCTCTGGACATGTGGGTGCTCCAGGTGGCCTCCCTGCCCCTCACTGTCTGGTCTCACTTCCCTCTGGAGGCCAAGGGGATGCCTTTTTGAGGCAGCAAACAGCAGGGGCCCTCCAGCATCTCCCAGTCACGGCCCCCGTGTGTGTCTGTTGCCCCTGCAGTGCCTCGGCTCCTGTTTGAGGACTGGACTTACGATGATTTCCGGAACGTCTTAGACAGTGAGGATGAGATAGAGGAGCTGAGCAAGACCGTGGTCCAGGTGGCAAAGGTGAGACCTGTGTGCTGCTCCAGCCTCTGAGCACAGCCCCCCGGGTCCCACCTGGCCGTCTGGCTGGGCCTCCCGCGAGGCCTCCACTCGGCTTTTCTGTCTTCTGCCCTGGGCACCTTCTGGTGCAGCCCCCATCTTCCAGGGAAGGCAGCATCAGCCAGGCTCAGGCTGCTGCTCGCTTTCTTGACCATGGGTCCTCTGGAGGTCCCAGGCATGGGAGACCTGTCTGCTGGGCCAGGGTTCTTCCCTTGGGCAAAGCCCAGCTGCCTGCTACCCTCCTGGGAGGGGACCCAGCCCTGCTGGCTGCCAGTATGCCTGGGCCTCGGGTCAGGGAGCCCCCAGACCCCCGGGGTGGGGTTGGGGGAGGTGCATGGGTCGGCAGAATGCACGAGACCACTGGCCCCTCCACTCCTGTTCCTCTGGGACCCCCACACTTCCTCCTTCAGACAGGCCCTTCTGGGCATACAGCCCAGGCTTGGGTCTTGCCTCGTGAGTGACCAGGCCACAACCTGACCATGTGGGCCGAGGTGGCGGGCTTCTTGTCTTTCCACCCATCCCTCCTGGGCCTCCAGGCCCTCCTCACCTGTGACTGCTTCTTTCAGAACCAGCATTTCGATGGCTTCGTGGTGGAGGTCTGGAACCAGCTGCTAAGCCAGAAGCGCGTGTGAGTGGGCACAGGTGGTGGTGGGTGGCCCTCCTCCTGGCCCTGGTGTTTGAAGGAGGCTGGAGGAAAGACCAGGGGTTTGGGGAGGGCCTTCCTTCCACAGTCCCTGTGCCTGGGGTGGGGACGGGGCTGCACAAAAGATGGACACCTGCTCAGAGAAGTGGAAGCAGCCTGTGGCAGGCAGCCGGCTCCGAACAGAAAAGTGGAAGCAGCCTGTGGCAGGCAGCCGGCTCCGAGCGCATTGCTGCGCCAGGCCTGATGCCTCCCTTGGGCGGTCAGAGGAACTCGAGGACCCTCATTCATGAGGTCTTGGCAAGAGAAAGATGGCCCAGATGGTGACAGCAGGTTGAGCTTGGACACAAGCAGAAACTCCTCACTGAGCTTCGGGGAGCCTTCCTGGGGGTGTCCCTGAGCACGGCCAGGACCCGTGGTGTGGACCGCCATGGCGGCCTCTGGGGAATGCCTCCCAGGCCCCCAGGCTTTGTAGCAGTCCACTCCACCGGGAGGCGGCCACAGCACTCCCTCACGCCTCCTTTTGCCACATCAGAGCCCAGCCCACCCATGACCCTCGCGGGTTCCCACTCCCTGTGGGCCACATGACCAGGAACGGAGGGAGTGATAGGAAGTGCCATGGCTCCCCCACCTGGCCTGGACTGGACTGACCACAGCCCTGAGGAATGGCCCTTCCTTGGTCCTGCCCAAGCAGCCCTGCCAACTCACCGAAACAGCTACCTTCCCTGTTCTGCCAAAGTGGGCGACTGCCCCGCAAAAGATAGCAGGGGGACAGTACTGCTCCCCAGGATGTTGGTAGGGGGCGTCCTCGACATGCTCAGGACAGGTGGACTCCTCTCACTCCACTGGTTGCAACGAGCGAGGATGGTGCGGTCTCCACCGCGGGTGCCTGGACAGCAGAGCCCTATGGCAGCTGTCCAGCCCTTCAGCCTTCTGTGTGAGCCGTGGGTTCTGGAATCGGCTCCCCCGCCCCCACCACCTGAAGTAGTTCTGGTTGGGCTTTAAGAGCCCGGGCCTGAGCTCAGGCTGCATGGTGTCCCCTGCAGCAGCCATGGCACTTTCATCCCATTGCTGCTGTGGGCAAAGGAGCTGCAGGTCCAGGCTCTGCCCACCTGGGGCAGCGTCCCCACACAGATCTTAAGCTTGAGGGAGGGAAGGGACATTGTTGAGGCAGAGCCCATGAGGGGTAGGGCAGGATTCCTGCCCAGGGGCTCAGAGGACCCTCAGCCTGGAGCCGGTACAGGCCCTGCCCCTGTGAGTGGCTCCAGCCTCTGCAGCCCTGCCGCTCCTCCCACTGTGCTCTGAGGGACTCACTGGCTGGGAGGCAGCAGTCCAAGGCTCTTCCCGGAACTGCTCCCAGGCCCCGGCTCCAGAAGAGCCCTGGAGTCCTGTTTCCTGGTGTCCAGACCCCCACACCCTCCGCCAGCACCCCTCAGTGTGGTTCCCCACTGGATCCTGGTGCCCAGATCCCCACACCCTCCGCCAGCACCCCTCAATGTGGTTGCCCACTGGATCCTGGTGCCCAGACCCCACTCCCTCAGCCAGCACCCCTCAGTGTGCCCCCCACCGGATGTGTCCAAGAGGCTCCTCTGTCTGCTTCCCTCCTGGGAGGCCTGGCAGCAGCAGGAAGACAAGGAGCTGTGTGAAGGGAGGCTGGGAGGCGCACTGCAGTGGGGGTAAGGATGTCCGCAAGGCTATGGGGAGCCTGTCGTCTGCACAGCCTCTGAGGGGCCCCAGCTTTGCCGGAGGATCAGGTGCCTGCGTTCCTGGCTGAGGGACAATCCCAGGCCCTGCCTTGGGGGGTTCTTGCTGAGCCGTGGGCAGTGGACCCTGCCGGGGCTGACCTTCCATTACCCTCTGAGGAGAGGGGTGTCTCAGCAGGAGACAGAGCCCGCCTGCTTCCAGCCTTCTCACTAATCCTGGGAGAGTGGGTCTATTAACCAGAGATTTGCCACACTCATTTCCGTTTCAGAGCATTAGGTAGGCAGTGAGATGGCACCAGAGGCTCCTCAGGAGATAGCCTCTTGTCTGGGGTGGAGGCTGGAGGTGCTGAGACAGCCTCGTGTCTGGGGTGGAGGCTGGGGGTGCTGAGACAGGCTCGTGTCTGGGGTGGAGGCTGGGGGTGCTGAGACAGGCTCGTGTCTGGGGTGGAGGCTGGGGGTGCTGAGACAGGCTCGTGTCGGGGTGGAGGCTGGGGGTGCTGAGACAGGCTCGTGTCTGGGGTGGAGGCTGCAGGTGCTGAGACAGGCTCGTGTCTGGGGTGGAGGCTGCAGGTGCTGAGACAGGCTCGTTGTGTCGGGTGGAGGCTGGGGGTGCTGAGACAGGCTCGTGTCTGGGATGGAGGCTGGGGGTGCTGAGACAGGCTCGTTGTGTCTGGGGTGGAGGCTGGGGGTGCTGAGACAGGCTCGTGTCTGGGGTGGAGGCTGGGGGTGCTGAGACAGGCTCGTGTCTGGGGTGGAGTCTGGGGGCCCTGAGACAGCTTAGTTTCTGTGGTGGAGGCTGGGGGCCCTGAGACAGGCTCATTGTGTCTGGGGTGGAGGCTGGGGGCACTGAGACAGCCACACGTCTGGGGTGGAGGCTAGGGGTGCTGAGACAGCCTCACGTCTGGGGTGGAGGCTGGGGGTGCTGAGACAGCCTCATGTCTGGGGTGGAGGCTGGGGGCCCTGAGACAGTTTCGTGTCTGGGGTGGAGGCTGGGGGCACTGAGACAGGCTCATTGTGTCTGGGGTGGAGGCTGGGGGTGCTGAGACAGCCTCACGTCTGGGGTGGAGGCTGGGGGTGCTGAGACAGCCTCACGTCTGGGGTGGAGGCTGGGGGTGCTGAGACAGCCTCATGTCTGGGGTGGAGGCTGGGGGTGCTGAGACAGCCTTGTGTCTGGGGTGGAGGCTGGGGGTGCTGAGACAGGCTCGTTGTGTCTGGATTGGAGGCTGGGGGTGCTGAGACAGGCTTGTTGTGTCTAGGGTGGAGGCTGGGGGTGCTGAGACACCCTCATGTCTGGGGTGGAGGCTGGGGGCACTGAGACAGCCTCGTTGTGTCTGGGGTGGAGGCTGGGGGTGCTGAGACAGCCTCATGTCTGGGGTGGAGGCTGGGGGCCCTGAGACAGTTTCGTGTCTGGGGTGGAGGCTGGGGGTGCTGAGACAGCCTCGTTGTGTCTGGGGTGGAGGCTGGGGGTGCTGAGACAGGCTCGTGTCTGGGGTGGAGGCTGGGGGCACTGAGACAGGCTCGTTGTGTCTGGGGTGGAGGCTGCGGGTGCTGAGACGGCCTCGTTGTGTCAGGGCTCGACGGGTCATTAACGTCAGGGTGGGAGGGCAGGAGGCAGTAGGGGGATTGCTGAGCCGGAGTGGCCACTGCAGGGGAGGACGGTTGGGAGCAGCCTGCGAGCACCTCGTGTCCAGGCTCCTGCAGGAAGGTGGGGAGCTGCGGGAAGGTGGGGAGCTGCAGGAAGGTCGGGAGCTGCCAGCATGGCAGGGGCAGGCAGTATCCAGGCTCCTCAGAGCAGCTTGGCAGATTCCTTTGGGCATTCTGCTGCCTGGGAGCTGCCTCAGCACAGTCCTGCCTCTGACCACCACTTGGGACCCCAGCCCGCATTGTGCCAGGCCCGAGACTGGGCTCAGCAGGTTCGGTCCCATGCACTGGGCCCTGGACAGAGGCTCAGGGGCAGCTTTTCCTGCAGAGTTTGTTGGCAGTGCCCTTAGAAGGGATGTTGCTGCCTCTGGTCCCTCCTGAGCTCTGGATCAGCCCCTTACAGTTGTCCGCATGCCCAGAGGGGCTGTGTTAGGGGCGCTCGGAGCCACCAGTGCCAGCAGCTGGCAGTATGAGGGGGTCTGTCGTGAGGAGCGCTCCGGGCAATGCTGCAGCACTGTAGCTGCAGCTCACGTCGCCTCCGGGGCCCATGTTGTCTCCTGGGGGCCTGGGTAGACCTGACTCACACCTGTCCTCCTTGAAGGCCAGCTCTGGGCCACACCGTGAGCCTGACTGTGGGTGGACACCCAGGCTCCCTGGGCCCCTCACAGAGTGGCTGGGGGCACCTTTTGGCCCTCAGGTCTGGTGTGGCCCTGGAGGAAGGCCATCCCACCACCATCCTGGGGAGCTGTGGGTACCTGCAGACAGCATAGAGCCCACAGGCTGGGAACCAGGCAGGAGACCCCCAGGTAGGGTCAGCTTCCCCAGGCATCTGGGCAGGGCTTACTCTGCTCACTTTGCTCTGGTGTTTCAGGGGCGGGGGCAGCACCCTCCTTGACCACCACCTCTAAGTGGCGCACAGTGTGTGACAGCCTCTGGTACCCATAGAGTTGTGGACACAGCTGCAGAGGCGTGAGGACGGGCTGCCCAAAGACACTGCTCCCCACTGAGGACTGTACCTGCATTGCAGCCGGCAGAACTAACACCAGATGATGTGGGCCAGAGTTACCCAGGAATTGACGGGGGCTTGGCTTGGAAAATGACAGTCCCACTTGGGCCATGTCAGGGAAACAGGAGCTGCCACTATGCAGCAGTTGCACATGCCAGGCCCTGGTCCTGGCACCATTGGGAGCACCAGGGCCTCTGGGTACTGGCTGAGGAACCGTCACCTCGTCCTGACCTAACCCGGTTCTCACTGAGCCCCACAGAGGCTTGTGCTGGAGTGGGGCGGGACCTGGGGCCACCAGGGGCCGGCTCTTGCCCCACTCTCAGTCCTCCTGTCATCCCCTAAGGGGTGGGTCTCCTCCCCAGATGGGGCTGCTCCCAGGGGCCTGCAGCGTGAGAGTGACAGTCTCCTACGTGCGGTAACAGCCAGAGCCTGCCCAGTGTGGACGTATCACCCTGAAACCCAGCTTTGCAGCAGCATGTGCTCCAGGCCAGTTTCTGCAGAGGCCACCTGCAGGGTAGACTCATGGGCACCAGCGTGTGCACACGGCCGGCCTGGGGTCCTGACGGCTGCTCCTAGGCCGTGCTAGGAGGGAGGCTAGTGCCATCCCTTGGGGAACACTGCCAGCCTGCTCTGAGATGCTCCTGCCCCCTCCACCTCCAGGGGCCAGAGGAGGCCTAACTGCTGCTCCCTGTCTCCTGCCCTGCCCGGTGCCCTGCCCTCTCCTTCCCTGAGCTACACCAGGCAGGTGGGGCCCTTGGAGTGCCCTGCGGCCACCCTCGGATCAGTGTCCTGGGCCTGCTGGGGGCCTTTTCTTACCTGGTGTGTCCTTTTTTTTTTTTTTTTTTTTTTTTTTTTTGAGACAGAGTCATGCTCTTCAGCCCAGGCTGGAGTGCAGTGGTGCGATCTCAGCTCACTGCAACCTCCACCTCCTGGGTTCAAGTAATTCTCCTGCCTCAGCCTCCTGAGTAGCTCGGATTACAGGAACCTGCCACCACACCCTGCTAATCTTTGTGTTTTTAGTAGAGGCGGGGTTTCGCCATGTTGGCCAAGCCGATCTGGCCTCGGGTGACTGCCCACCTCGGCCTCCCAAGGTGCTGGGATTACCGGCGTGAGCCACCGTGCCCAGCTTTTTTTTTTTTTAATCTGCCATGTCTTTAGGTGTCTAAAGTGTGATGTACACACGTGGGGCTGTCTCTGGTTGTTGGAGCCCCTCTTTCTGGGGATTCCTGGGGTACTGCACAGGCCCCCACTCTAGGGGGCCCACTGGGGCATGAGACAGTGTTGTTGGGGCTACATCCAGAGATGGATAGGAAGTTCCCACGAAGGGGCCCACCTGCCCTGCTGCAGGGTGTCAGGCTGGGGACCAGCCCCACCCCTCCCTGAGGCAGCGGGTGTCACAGAACCCTGGGAGAGGCCTCAGTGCCAGGCACTGCTGACCCCATCTCTCGGTTCTTGCAGGGGCCTCATCCACATGCTCACCCACTTGGCCGAGGCTCTGCACCAGGCCCGGCTGCTGGCCCTCCTGGTCATCCCGCCTGCCATCACCCCCGGGTAAGTGCCGCTCTTGAGATGTGGGGGTGGCTGTGGAGGGCTCTGGGGTCGGGGGCAGCCAGTGCAGGGTGTCGGCCAAAGGGCCCAGGCCCTCCTGCTCAGCACCCAAACCTCATCCCGTCTGTATAGAGGCTTCAGCTGCCACACACTCTGTGCCCCTGTGCTGGGCACAGAGAAGGCTCCAAGTCAGCACGTGAGTCCCAGGGGCAGACCTGGGGGCCAAGTGGACAGAAGCAGGCTGGGTTGGGGAGTCACAGAGGCCAGGCAGGGCTGGCTTGGCTGGGGGCACCCCAGGGTGTCGAGGCAGAAGTCCCAGGGTTCTGCCCAGGGCAGCCCCTCAGGCAGACACTGGGCTTCCCGGCCTGCCACTCTGGAAAGCTGCCAGCCCTCTGCACCTCTGCAGCCTCCTCTCCCTCCAGAGGCAGAGAGGTGACTGCGGGCCACTCGCTGTGTGCGGTTGGGTGCACCCCCAAACCCAAGGTTGGCTAGAGGGACTCACAGAAGAGCCAGTTTGTGCTCACAGGAGGCGGCCACCCTGCACATGCCTGTGCCAGCACAGGCCGGCCATGCCCTCAGGGTAGCACCCCTGGCTAAGGAGGCAGCTTGGTGGCCTCCTTCACAGCCTGTAGGTTGCTGAGGGCCCTTTGCACAGTCAACCGACTTTTCTCTCCAAGCTTTCCAGGGCTCTCCGCTGATCAGTGTGGGCTGCAACTGGGCAAGGCAGTGCTGGGACAGACACAGCAGCATGTCCTGCAGACCAGGTTTCAGACCTGTGCCCGTGGTCCTGCTGTCGTGGCCAGGTTCCTCCCCTGGAGCTGGGGCAGGCAGTGCTTAGACCCTTCTGGCTCCCAGCACAGCGCAGTTGCTAGTTCCTGTTGGGCTCAGACTGATCCTTTGATGGAAGACCCTGGAAAGTGGAAAGCAGAAGAGGTGCTGAGAGCTGAGCCCTGGGGGCTGCTTCGTGCATGGCCTGAGCTTCTTGCACACGTACCCAGCATTGTGCAGACAGAACTCCCTCTGCCTGTGACCAGGCGTTGGGGGTCCTGTCCCAGGCCGAGCCCTGGGGAGCCTCCCGTCTGCAGCACTGCTGTGTGCCCTGGCCCCTCCCTCTCCCTTATGTGCCAGCTGGGCTGACCTGTGGGTGGTGCTGGTGGGCAGGGGCCTGGCTGTGCCTCGGCAGTTCTGCTCCTGCAGCCCAGCAACCTCAGCCTCCCCGGCAATAACGGGCCCAAGTCCAGGGCTGGGGTCTCACCTGTGTCCCGGGTGTGGGGCCCCCACGCTGCGTCTTTTTCTTTTCTTTTTCTTTTTTTTTGAGATAGAGTCTCACTCTGTCGCCCAGGCTGGAGTGCAGTGGTGCAATCTTATCTCACTGCAACCTCTGCCTCCCAGGCTCAAGTGATCCCCCACCTCAGCCTCCTGAGTAGCTGGGGCTACAGGCACATGTCACCACACCCAGTTAATTTGTGTTTTTTTTTTTTTTTTTTTTTTGGAAATGAGGTTTTGCCATGTTGCCCAGGCTGGTCTTGAACTCCTGGGCTCAAGCGATCATCCCACCTCGGCCTCCCAAGCCACCGTGGCCAGCCTTTTCCGATGTAAGGCACTAATGTCTGACCTGTGTTCCCAGGGTTTGAAGGGGGCTGGCAGGGGCTGGCTGTGAGGACACGTCCTTCCAGAGCTGACAGCACCTGTCTCAGGTGGTTGGGAGGACTACAGGCCTGGGGCTGGGTGAAGATTCCTCGGGGCAGCAGACACTCCTTGTCCAGAGGCCATGGGCATGGCCACCTCTGTGAGGCACTGATTTCATGGGGCTCCCAGGTTGCCCTTTGTGCTTAGGGGAGCTGCAGAAGCAGCCATCGGTGGGGACCAGCTCAGGAGCCCAGGGCAGTTCTTGAGGCTGGGGCAGAGGACCAGGTGCCTGTCTTCTGCTGGTGGCAGCCTCTGCCTGAGCTTCTGGCCCTAGGCAGGAAGTGGGCAGTTGGAGCTGGGCCAGGTCCCTGCCCCTCACCCCACAGCAACCAAAGCTCACAACTCCATTTGCATGGCGCTGGTGGGGGTTGCAGCTGTAGGGTGGGATGCACGCCAGGGCTACGGGCACGGTGACGAGGCTGGGGGCGGGGCCGAGGCCCACGGTGGGGGTCCCCGGGGAAGTGGGACCCAGCTCGGGGGAGGGCTGGGCACTGCTGTTGTGCGCCCGCTCCACTGGAGCACAGGGCTGTGCCCTCCCAGTCGGCGGGGCCGGTGAAGGTGCTGAGGCTCCCGTGGGTTCTCCCGAGACTCTGGCTACAGCCCCAGAGGTGAGGAGGGCTGTTTTGTCATCTGTTTATCCTTCCCCCATCCCACTCTGAGGGAAGAGCAGCCACTGCAGAGGAGCCTCGTAAATCCCTGTCCCTGGTGCTTTTGCAGCAGCGCGTAATTGTGCTTGTCACTCACCTCCCAAGAGCAGCGCTGCCAGCACACAGGCTCGCTCTCTCCAGGGGCACTGTCTGTGGAACAATGGCCCCTGGAGAGAGGTCTGCGTGCTGCGGGGAGGGGCACCCCAGTCGCCAAATGCCAATTTTATCGTGTCCTTCGTCAGCAGACAGAGGCAGCCCTAACTCAGCTGCCACAGACCCCAGGGTGTCTGGTCCTGGAACTGAGCACTCTGCGGACCTCCAGCCCTGCTCCCACAGTCAGTCTCAGCAATGGAGGAGACCCAGGGGCAAAGCCACAGCGTAAACCCCACAGGCCAGTGGGACCAACAGGCTGTCCCCAGGTGCCCATGTGGTGGTGCCATCCTTAACATGGGAGCAGAACCCTTGGGTCACTCTCTAGTTGGCCCCTTGTGTTTTCTGGGCATTGTTAGCTACTGGGACCCCCTTGGGTCCAGGGAGCTGACCTCAGGAACCCAGGAAGGGCTGGTTTCCTTCCTGGGCCCTGCTGGCGCCGTTGCCGGCCTTGTTGTCAGTGGTCCACTCTGAGGTGGGCGGGGCCGCGACCCTGGCCAGCTCCTGCAAGCCCCGTGGTTCAGGGCCGGCCATCGCTATATGTGGAGCCCAACTCAGCAGTCAGAGAAAGGTGACGCATGGGGGCGCCGTCACCGTATCCCCAGCAAGCACGTTTGCACAGAGGCCCCTGCTCCCGTCGCCCACCTGCCTCTTGCCCGCAGCCTCAGGGGATGGGGCAGGCCGCGTGCTGGCAGTGTGTGTTGAGGCCTCTGTGGGGGACCGTAGGCACCCCGTGCGGTGTGGACGGGCCGAGGTCCAGGCTGAGGTCAGGCCCCAAAGGGCCAAAGGGTGCTAACCGGCCAGTCAGGGAGCGGGCTAGGCCTGCAGGCTGAGGAACAGTAGAGCAGCCATCGTGAGGGGGCGAGGACGCCAGCAGCAGCAGACAGGGGCCAGGGGACCCAAGGCCATGGGGAGCGGGCTAGGCCTGCAGGCTGAGAACAGTAGAGCAGCCATCGTGAGGGGGCGAGGATGCCAGCAGCAGCAGACAGGGGCCAGGCGACCCAAGGCCATGGGGAGCGGGTTCAGAAATCTCTGACAGGTGGGCAGAGGGGGAGGGGAGCTGTGGGTGGAGGAACAGCTGTGGCCGCTGGCTGCTGGGGGCAGATGCCCTGAGCATGGGAGATTGCAGGGACAGTGATGCCAGCATCTGTTAGGGTTGGGGAAAGGTATTCCCTTGGACTGCTATGGGGCCTGACAGTGATGCCACCATCTCTGTTAGGGTTGGGGACTGGCATTCCCTCAGGGCTGCTGTGGGGCCTGGCTCTGCAGGTGGCAACTATAGGGCCAGGCGGTGTGGCTGGCAGGGACTAGGGACCATAGGCCAAGCCCACGCCTTCCTCACATTCAGCCTGGAGGGAGGTCAGCTGAATGGAGGTCAGAGACTATGGCTCTCCCCTGCTGGGTGGCTGGAAGATGACAGTCTAGGGAGACAGGGAGGCTAAGCCCACAGGGTCTGGTAGCTGGAGTGCAGGAGCAGGGAAGAGATGGGCCCACCCCAGCAGATGGCGGCGGGAGGGGTTGACGTGGAGCCGACGTTCCTTTTGCCTGGCGTCAACTACAGTGATGCAGATGTCACCCAGAGATGGCAGCTGGTCGGCCGAGGGAAGAGGGGGCATCTGCCACGTGGGCCCAGTGTCAGGACCAAGGTGGGTGGGTGGGGGTTTCAGGGAGTTCGCAGGTAGAACGTGAGAGTCGTGCTGTGCTGGAGGGACGGTGTGGGTACATGGCAGGAGACTGTGGGCTCACTCGTGTCACCGTCTCCCCTCGGATCTGGGAGGACGCTGTTCTGGAGGCCGCAGCCGCCCCGGCCTCTGGCAGCTGTGGGGTCCACGTGGCTGGAGGGACCTGGTCAGGCCCCAGCCTGGGATTGTTCAGTGTGAGGCAGCCAGCTGGGCAGTGCACCCCCAGGGCCCTGGGGCACAGAGCGGCCTGTCTCAGCACAAAGCCTGAGCAGGGGCAGCCCGGGAAGAGCAGAGCGCGTCCAGCCGTCTGGAGGGGGAGGGGCACTGGCGTTGCTGTGGGCCCCGGGGTCCAATCGAGGCCAAGTGGGCAGGCACTGGCGTTGGTGTGGGCCCGGAGTCCAGTCGAGGCCGAGTGGGCAGGCACTGGCATTGGTGTGGGCCCGGGGTCCAGTCGAGGCCGAGTGGGCAGGCACTGGCGTTGGTGTGGGCCCGGGGTCCAGTCGAGGCCGAGTGGGCACTCAACTTGCATGCCGCTGCCTGCATGGGGCCCACCCACGACATGGCGATGGGAGGGTCGGCAGCTGGCTGTGATGAGCTCCTTTTCCTTCTTTCCTTCCTCCCGGGGCTTTCGTTCCTCAGAAATGAATGCAGAACATGGTGTTTTCGGTGTGAGCAGTAATTCCTGTTCATCGGAAGTCACGCTGCGTCTAATCCGTGACAAGCTGTTACCTCATTGCTCAGCCGTGGTGATCCCCTCTTGTCCAGGTGCCACGGGGCACGGAGACAGATGGCTCTGCTGCCGGCTCTCGCATGTGTCTGGGTGAAGGACACAGGCTGGGGAGGACACCTGGCAGTGGCCCTTTTGCAGTGTTTCTTGCAAGTAGGAGGAGGTCCACATTCCCGGGTGGTCCTCAGGGCCAGCACCAGGTGGGGGTTGGCAGGACCGGGGGCACAGGACTGGTGCCCTCCCCTCTTTCTCCCACTGATCACCACCGTGAGCTGCTTCCGCCTCTGAATGGGGCCTGCTTTGTTCCCTCGTGTTGTGTTACCACCCTTGAAAGCGTGAGGACCGTTCTTAGCCTGCGGCCGTGGTTGGTGCCCAGCTGTAGCAAAGTTGTTGGGTCAGTGGGTGGCTGCGTGAGCCCCGAAGGGAAAATGCAAGCTGTGCCACAGGCATGTCACATGTCAGCATGCTGCACTGAGGGGCGTGGTGTGGAGCCATGTCCCCTGGCAGGACTGCCCCTTCCTGCTTGGGGATGTCGTGGAGCTGCATTTCTGGTGGACGCATGGGGAGCATTCGTGGTTTCTGTGCCACATTCTGTAGCTGGTGGGAACCAGATCCTGGACACGTGGCCTCACCTACCAAGGCCTTGTGGAGTGAAGCCAGCTCTGCCAGGAGTGCCTGGTGTGGCCAAGGCCATGAGGTGGTGGAGGGCATGGCGCCCACGAGAGGGACAGGGGCGTTGCAGCACCGTGGATGTGGGGGAGGCACACGAGCCCGGCTCACGGCAGGACCCCACATGTCTGATAGCAGCGTGTGAAGCGGGACGGGGTGCTTGGAAGGGCATCATGGGCACAGGGGAGGGGTTGGACTGTGGGACAGGCCCCTGCAGAGTAGAAGCTGCGGCTGACAGGGCTGCCATGAGATTGGCAAAGTAGGAGCCAAAGGGACAGGCAGTCCTGCTGGCCATGGTCCTAGGGGCAGCAAAGGCCCAAGTCAGAAGCAGAACCGTGGAGCACGTGAGAGGAAGGAGTGACAGACACAGACAACTCGGACCAGGATGTGGGTGCATCAGAAGACACCACAAAGGAGCGAGAAGACCAGCCTCTCGCCAGGTGGACGATGCTGCCCACACCACTGACCAAGAGCACATGACCACCTGAGAGAGCTAGAGGAGAGAAAATGGGAACACGGTGGTGGGAAAGCAACGACGGGCTGCGTGTGGAGGTACGCGCCTGTAATGCCAGCATTTGGGGAGGCTGAGGCAGGAGGATCGCTTGAGCCCAGGAGTTTGAGACCAGCCTGGGCAACATAGTGAGACCTCATCTTTACAAAAAATTTAAAAGTTAGCTGGACATGGTGGCACCTGTGGTCCCAGCTACTCGGGAGGCTGAGAGGAGGAGCTTGAGCTCAAGAGGTCTTGAGGCTGTAGTGAGCCGAGATTGTGCCACTGCACTCCAGCCTGGGCAACAGAGCAAGACCCTGTCTCAAAAACAGAAGAGAAGAAAAGAAAGAAAGCAACAAAGACCCCAGAGAACAGCGGGCAGGAGACCTGGACTCTGAACCACGAGAGGCCACAGTGGATGCGTGCATGGAGCTGATGGGCAGGCCAGGAGATGCTCAACCATGTTATTCATGAGAGAACCACAAATGAAAGCCACGGGGAGATCATGGCTCAGGAGCAGCCAGGCTGGGATGGAACCGACGCAGCCAACGCTGCCTGGCATCTGCCGCCAGGACCTGAGCGATGTGGGGCTGTGAGCTGGGGGGCTCTGTGTGGGAGGGGCCAAGGTGCCACCTGGGACCGACTCGGAGAGGCGCTGGCAAGCCCGAAGCCCACCTTCCGGCAAGGCCTCTTCCTGGTGCAGTCGGCACCTTTTTGCTGTGTCCTCGCATGGCAGAGAGCTGTGGTGTCTCTTCTCATAGGGACACTAACTCCACCATGGGGCGCGTCATCATGGCCTCGTCTAGCTCTAATCACCTCCTAAAGGCCCCGTCTCCAGAAACCATCGCATCAGTGGTTAGGGCTTCAACATAACCATTTGTGGGGACACAAGCACCCTGTCCACAGCAAGACCGATTCATCAATTGTCTTGCTCTGTTGCCCAGGCTGGAGTGCAGTGGCATGATCAGGGCTCACGGCAGCCTCCACCTCCTGGGCTCAAGCCATCCTCCCACCTCAGCCCCCCAAGTAGCTGGGACTACAGGCACATACCACCACACCCGGCTAATTTTTTAATTAATGTGGAGACAGAGTCTTGCTGTGTTCCCCAGGCTGGACTCCAACTCCTGAGCTCAAGAGATTGACCTGCCTCAGCCTCCCCAAATGCTGGGATTACAGGTGTGAGCCATCACACCCCGCCATTTTTCCTTTTTTTTTTTCTTTTTTTGAGACGGAGTCTTGCTTTGTCGCCCAGGCTGGAGTGCAGTGGCACGATCTCGGCTCACTGTAAGCTTCACTTCCCGGTTTCACACGCCATTCTCCTGCCTCAGCCTCCCAAGTAGCTGGGACTACAGGCGCCCACCACCACGCCCGGCTAATTTTTTTGTATTTTTAGTAGAGACGGGGTTTCACTGTGTTAGGATGGTCTCGATCTCCTGACCTCGTGATCCTCCCGTCTCGGCCTCCCAAAGTGCTGGGATTACAGGCGTGAGCCACTGCGCCCGGCCCATTTTTCCTTTTTGAATCAACTAAAAAAGGCAAGAGGATTGCTTGAGCCCAGAAGTTCAAGGCTGTAGTGAGATAGGATCGTGCCGCTGCACTCCAGCCTGGGTGACATAGAGACCCCATCTCAGAAATAAAAAAGAAATGATCTTGGGTTTCGGTGAGAGGACCTGGGTGGAGGCCTCGGCCCAGAGGGAGGTTGCAGGGCAGGAAGGTTCCAGTGGACAACTGGATTTGGGGCTGAAGTCTTAGGGGCACTTGGCTATAGAGAAGGGCCCAGGCACTGAGGGAGGCCACCGGGAGTGATGGGCATAGTGCTGGGAGGTGTTTGTCGGGGATCTGGGGAGGCTGACCGTGCCTGAGCGGTGGGGCTGGCAGGCATCAGGAAAAGAGGTCGGGGCTGAGGGGACCATGGATGATGCTCCACGTACCTGCAGGCCGGGACAGCCTGGGGTGGACAGACTCTGGGGCCTGGGCCTCTCATTGTGCTCAGCAGAGGAGGAAGGCCCAGACCTTGGTCCTGGTAGACTCAAGGCAGGGGCTGGGATAAAACTGCACATCTGGAGAGGCGCTCCTCAGACCTGCCAGGTGGGTCCAGGGATCTGCAGGAGGTGTCTTGGGCCCTCAAGCCCCTGACAGAAGCCCCAGCACTGAGGCCCTTGGCGTGGTCCAGATTTGGTAGCCCAGTGACCCTTGAGCAGAGGAGGGGTCACAACTGAGGGAGATCAGGGCCCACTGCCTCACAGGGACCCCCTCCCCTCACTTCAGTGCATGCTGCTCCTCCGGCCGCGTCCCCCATGCTGTTGTCCTACGTCCTGCTGCCGTGGGGCCCTCCGCCCCCTCGGTGTTGACCTTCATGTACTGCTCCTGTCTCCCCTTGGCTTATAGATCTGGGTGTGGAGGGGCCGTAGGCCAGCACCCAGCTCTCCCTGGGCCAGGCGGGAAGGCTGCCCCAGGAGACACTAGTCCCCAGTGGATCCAGGTCAGGAAGGAGCAGGTCCCCGAGGGAAGGGCGGCCATCCAGAGATGGCCCAGGGGCCAGGCAGACAGAACAGGGCCGCTTCCTCCGCGGTGCCCATGCCACAGGTGTCCGCAGCCGACCACCTGCCCTGGCGCCCCTTCCCCCATGCTGGGGAATGTGCCACACAGCCTTGCTCCATCCCTGGGAGCCAAGCACTTGTCCTTCCCGTCTACCTGCTGAGGTCCAGTGAGGGCTTTGGACAGCCTGGCTGGGCCAGGCCGACCCTGAGTGGGCTTGAGGGCTGCATCCCAGGAGCTGCTTCTGCCTTCAGGGAGGCTTTGCTGCAGACCCCGGGAGGGGACGCTCCTGGGAGCCTGGATCAGTCACCTCCATCTCAGCAACCCCAGCTCTTGGGAGTGGCCCATCCTCTTGGCCACTCTCCACTGACCTTGCCCCTCCATGGGCAGCCCTGGCCCAGGTCTCCCCGCCATTAGGTCTGTCATTCTCAGCTGTACCCTGGTCTCAGAGAGGCCTCTGGGCCCCGATGACCACATCCCCCTGTGTCTCCCAGCCCCCAGCCTCTGTGGCCCCAACCAAGCTGCAGGCTGTCCCCACCCCAGAAGAACACTTTTCCCCTTGGGAAAAGTGACCCAAGTCCCCTACAGGCAGCTTGCTCGAACCGCAGCTGGGGAGGGGCTTCAGGCAGGGCATAGCAGCCTGAGGTGGCTGCACCTGTCTGTTACAGGACCGACCAGCTGGGCATGTTCACGCACAAGGAGTTTGAGCAGCTGGCCCCCGTGCTGGATGGTTTCAGCCTCATGACCTACGACTACTCTACAGCGCATCAGTGAGTGTGGGCTTGGGGGGCTCCTGGGCACAGCAAACTCCACAGTGCAGCAGTGAGTGTGGACCTGGGGGGCTCCTGGGCACAGCTGATGCCCTCTTGCCTGTGGTTCTGTGCACAAGGTCACCTGCTGAGTCTGGACACCCACCTGAGGGAAGCCAGTGGGACTGCACCTGCCCCATGCCCTGTGGTGGTCACGTGGGTGGGGCCCTGCCTCTGGTGGAGCTGGGTCACGGCCAGAGGTACAGGCATAGTCCTGCTGCTGCCCGATGCCGCCCTGTCCTCTTTCGCCTGAGCCACACTGTTGTGGGAGGGCCGTGTGACACAGGCGCAGGCAGGGAGACCTCAGGAAGGATGCCCAGAAGGCCTTGTGTCTGCTGACCTCCTTCCCACTGTGTCATGCGGACTCCTGCCTGTGGCTGTGGGGTGGGGGCCGCACATGAGTGCCTGGCCCTGGGTGTGTTGTCCCTCATGGGCCCGCTCTGCTGACAGCCCTTTCTGATGGGTGATCCTGGCCCTGGACATGCCTCATGGGGCCACTCTGCTGACAGCCCTTTCTGATGGGTGATCCTGGCCCTGGACGTGACGTCCCTCATGGGCCCGCTCTGCTGACAGCCCTTTCTGATGGGTGACTTCTGTTCTTTACAACTCTCTAGAGGTGTCAGCCGCAGCATGGGGAGGATGCACCCCTCAGTGGAGGGCCCCAATGATGGCTCAGGTGCGGGGCCCTCCCTGTTGCTGAAACTCGCTCACCCCTTGCCCTGCAGGCCTGGCCCTAATGCACCCCTGTCCTGGGTTCGAGCCTGCGTCCAGGTCCTGGACCCGAAGTCCAAGTGGCGAAGCAAAATCCTCCTGGGGCTCAACTTCTATGGTATGGACTACGCGACCTCCAAGGATGCCCGTGAGCCTGTTGTCGGGGCCAGGTGAGCCAAGGGCTCTCCCTGCCGTGCTGAAGGTGTCACTGGGCGCGGGTGGGTGTGGGTGTAAGGAGACAGAGTGATGGGGAGGGTCTCGGTCCCCTGGGGCTTCTGCCCCACAGAGTCAGAGATAGGGGCTGGGCCAGGAGCCGGTCCTGCTTGGTGCCCACCCCACCGCAGCCCCCACTGTGGTCACCACCCATAACACGGCCACACATCTGCGTGAGGCTGTCCCCACATCTGCGTGAGGCTGGGACTGAGGCTTCCCCCACCCGTCAGCCTTGCCCCACAGCATACAGGCCGGGCCGGGGCCTCCTGGGTTGAATGCTCCTCCTCCTCTCCTCTGCCCGGGAGTAATTTCCTGCTTTGTGTGTTCTTGGTATGCTCTGCGAGTGTGGTTTCTTGTTGGCATTACTTTACTTTATTTCTGGAGGACATCTTTCCTGGCTGTAGAATTCTGGCTGTCGGTTTTTTCACTGGCACCTTAAGCATGTGGCCGCCCTCTCATTCGGACAGCGTTTCACCGCCACCTCTTTCTCCTGCCTGTGTTGCTGTCCTCCCTGCTCGTAGGAATATCTTGTATTTATGGCTGGTTTTGAACAATTTTATTGACGTGTCTTCATTTTCCTTTTGCACAGTGTTCATGGAGCCTCTTGAGTCTGCATTCGTACTCTTAGCAAACTTGGAAAATTTGAGGCCAAATTCTTCAAATATTTTTTCTGTTTCTTCTCTTCTGTCTTCTCGTTTGGAGACCACAAACACTAGATCCATTGAATTTGTCCCACAGCTCACGAATACACCTTTTACCTTTTGGAATTCTTTTTTTGTTGAGACGGAGTCTCGCTCTGTCGCCCAGGCTGGAGTGCAGTGGCGCAATCTTGGCTCACTGCAAGCTCTGCCTCCCGGGTTCACGCCATTCTCCTGCCTCAGCCTCCCAAGTAGCTGGGACTACAGGCGTCTGCCACCGCGCCCTGCTAATTTTTGTATCTTTAGTAGAGATGGGATTTCACCGCATTAGCCAGGATGGTCTCGATCTCCTGACCTCATGATCCGCCCACCTTGGCCTCCCAAAGTGCTGGGATTACAGGGGTGAGCCACCACACCGGGCTGGGATTCTTTTTTCTCTGTTTTCTTTTTTTTTTTTTTTTTTGAGACAGGGTCTCACCCTGTCGTCCAGGCTGCAGTGCACTGGTGTGATCATAGCTCACTGCAGCCTCAACCTCCTGGGCTGAAGCCATCCTCCCACCTCAGCCTCGCAAATAGCTGGGACCACAGGTGCATGCCACCATGCCCCGCTAATTTTTGTATTTTTTTTGTAGAGACAGGGTTTTGCCATGTTGTCGAGGCTGGTCTCAAATTCCTAGGCTCAAGCGATCCTCCTGCCTCAGCCTCCCAAAGTGCTGGGATGACAGGTGTGAGCCCCGTGCCTGGCCTGGTCATTTCTCTTGCTGTGCCCAACCTGCCATTAATCCCATCCATCCTGAGCCCGACGTGGTCATTTCTCTCACCACCCAACCTACCGCCCGACGTGGTCCTTTCCCTCACCACCCAACCTACCGCCCGACGTGGTCCTTTCCCTCACCACCCAACCTACCGCCCGACGTGGTCCTTTCCCTCACCACCCAGCCTACCGCCCGACGTGGTCCTTTCCCTCACCACCCAGCCTACCGCCCGACGTCCTTTCCCTCACCACCCAGCCTACCGCCCGACGTGGTCCTTTCCCTCACCACCCAGCCTACCGCCCGACGTGGTCCTTTCCCTCACCACCCAGCCTACCGCCCGACGTGGTCCTTTCCCTCACCACCCAGCCTACCGTTAATCTCATCCAGTGCTTTTGTCACCTCGTGTTGTAATTCAATTTTTTTTATTTTTTATGAGATGGGGGTCTCACTATGTGGTCCAGGCTGGTCTTGAACTCCTGGGCTCAAGCGATCCTCCTGCCTCAGCCTCCCAAAGTGCTGCGATGACACGCGTGAGCCACCAAGCCCAGCCAACATGTTATAATTCTCTAGAGGCTTGCTTGGGGTCCCCTTTACGTCTTCCATGTCTCTACTAAACTTTTGCAGATTGGGATTCAGTTGTAAGAACTGCTGAGTGCCCATGTCTGCTGGTTCTGATATCAGGGTCGGTTTCAGGAGGCTGCTTTTCCTCCTTGTTTGGGGTCCTATTATGCTGCCTTCCTGTGGGCCTGGTACTCTCGGGTTGATGCCTGAGGCATTGCGAATTTTACCATGTTGCGTGCTGGGTGTTTTAGCATTTTTATAAATCATCTTAATCTTTGTTCTGGATGCAGTTGAGTTTCTTAGAAACAGTTTTAGCTGCTCACTTTTCTGGAGAACCTGGTCCTTTTTGTGGAGGCCTCGGCTGTCGTCTTTACGAGTTTTTGCAGGTCCCCCACAGGCCTGCCCTCCGTGAGGGGTGTGTGCGTGTGTCAGCCCAGGCAGGTGAGCCGAGGCCAGGCCATCACCCCTGATTCCTCCTGGTCGGCCGTGGGGAGGGGCAGAGGTAACCTGCTGGATTTGCGGGTCCTGAGGGTGGCAGCAGTGGGTAGAGGAGTATGTTGGGGCAGTGTTCCCTGCCCGGCCTCCAGGGGTGCCCTCCGTGAGCCCCTCCATGGCAGATGGCAGGTGGGCCATGTTGCAAGACCAGGGTCGTGTGTGGTGGTCCCCTTAGGGAGGCTTTCCCCCGACACTCTACGTGCACACTCCTCTCTGTCCACACGGCTGGTCCTGGGGTCCAGCACAGGCCTGGGCTCCCGCTGTTCTCTGGCTTCTGGCCCTGGGTGCGCTCTGGGTCACTGAGCAGGGCCTGACCCTGCTGCGGGGGCGGACACGAGGGGGTGCTGGCTGAGGTGGGCCTGGGGTCAGCCTGGGCATCAGGCGGGGCGAAGAGCCTGGCGTCTTCTCTCCCACGTCTCACCCAGTGAGTCATAGAGAACTCAGCCACACACTGAGACACGCGGGGCTCCGCACAGGCGAGGGCGATGCCCCAGGGCCCCTGGCTCGTTTGGGTCCCCTGTTCCTGCTGAGATGGGGCACAGGTCAGTCACTGGGTGCCAGCTCTCATGTCCCTGCAATGCAGAGTGAGGGGCCCGGCCGCCCTGTCTGCCCAACTGTCTGTTCTTTCAGTTGGGGCTGCTCTGTGCTCCTGTGTGTGCTGCACCCTCCCCCACCATGGCCCTCCTTTGATGCTGGGAATCCTGGGAAGGCTCTGGAAGCACAGCTCATGTCCCCCACCTTACCACATCCCTGACATGGTGCCTGGTTCTGGGACCTTTGGGTGGAGCCATGTACAGAGCTTGGGCTCCCAGCCCAGGATCCCCTGTGCAAAGCAAGAGGCCTCCCCATGCACCCAGCCCTGCCTCAGCTCCAGCTGTGGGCTCTGCTCACCCAGGCCTTCAGGGAAGCCTCAATTCTGGTTGGGCTTTTGAAAGGGAGACAGGTGTTGGCCTTGAGTCGCCACCGCACTAGTCTTCAAGGGTAACAAAGTACCATAGATGGGGCAGCTGAAATAACAGCTTCGTCTCAGTCCTGGGGGCTGGAGGTGGGAGATGAGATGAAGGTGCCGTCAAGGTGGGGTCGGCTCCTCCCAGGACCTCTCTCCTCAGCTGGTAGATCCCAGGGCCTCTCCTCAGCTTGTAGATAACTGCCTTCTCCCTGTGTCCTCACAAGGTCCCATGTGCGCCTGTGTCCTCTTCTCCTCTTCTTATAAGACACCAGTCATGTTGCATTACAGCCCACCCTTGTGACATCATTTTAACTTAATCACGTCTTGAAAGACTTCCTCAGTGCAGGCTCAGGCCTGTGGTCCTAGCTACTCAGGAGGCTGAGGCAGGAGGATCACTGGAGCCCAGGAGTTCAAGGCCAGCCTGGGCAACATGGTGAGACCCTAACTCTACAAAAGAAAAAGAATAAGGTGGGTGGATCACAAAGTCAAGAGTTCAAGACCAGCCTGACCAACATAGTGAAACCCCGTCTCTACTAAAAATACAAAAAATTAGTCAGGTGTGACCGGACACTGTGGCTCACACCTGTAATCCCAGCACTTTGGGAGGCCGAGGTGGGCGGATCACAAGGTCAGGAGATAGAGACCATCCTGGCTAACACGGTGAAACCCCGTCTTTACTAAAAATACAAAAAATTAGCCGGGCGTGGTGGAGGGCACCTGTAGTCCCAGCTATTTGGGAGGCTGAGGCAGGAGAATAGCGTGAACCCTGGAGGCAGAGGTTGCAGTGAGCCCAGATCGCACCACTGCACTCCAGCCTGGGTGACAGAGTGAGACTCCGTCTCAAAAAAAAAAATTAGCCGGGTGTGGTGGCGGGCTACTCGGGAGGCTGAGACAGGAGAATCACTTGGACCCGGGAGGCAGACGTTGCAGTGAGTGGAGATCGCGCCATTGCACTCCAGCCTGGGCAACAGTGCGAGACTCTGTCTCAAATTAAAAAAAAAAGAATAAAAAAGACTATTTCTTCAAATATAGTGCTACTCTGAGGCACTGGGGATTAAGACTTGTGTTAGTTCGTTTTCTGTTGCTTATAACAGAATACCTGAAACTGAGTACTTTATAAAGAAAAGGAATTTTTTTTTTTTTTAGACAGAATTTCACTCTTGTTGCCCAGGCTGGAGTGCAATGGTGCGATCTTGGCTCACCGCATCCTCTGCCTCCTGGGTTCAAGCAATTCTGCCTCAGCCTCCCGAGTAGCTCGAATTACAGGCATGTGCCACCACGGTTTGTTTTGTTTTGTTTTTTTTGAGACGGAGTCCCCAGGCTGGAGTGCAGTGGTGTGATCTCAGCTCACTGCAGCCTCCACCTCCTGGGTTCAAGCGATTGTCCTGCCTCAGCCTCCCGAGTAGCTGGAACTACAGGCACGTGCCACCACACCCAGCTAATTTTTATATTTTTAGTAGAGACAGGGTTTTGCTATGTCGGCCAGGCTGGTCTCAAACTCCTGACCTCAAGTGATCCACCCGGCTCGGCTTCCCAAAGTGCTGGGATTACAGGCGTGAGCCTCTGCACCCAGACAGGAGTTTATTTCTTATAGAGGCTGAGAAGTCCAAGGCCCGTGGCCAGTTCTGTGAGAGCGTTCTTGCTGGTAGGGACTCCGAAGAGTCCGGAGGTGGTGCAGGGTGTCCGTGGTACAGGGTCTGAGCGAGCTGCCGCCTTCCCCTTCTTAGAAAGCCACAGTCCCATGCCCATGGTCACCCACTGGTCCATTAACCCACTAGTCCATGAATGGATTAATCCGTTCACCAGGGCGGAGCCCTCATGACCCAGTCACCTTCTAAAGGCCCCGCCTCCCCACAGTGCCGCCTTCTAAAGGCCCCGCCTCCCCACAGTGTCGCCTTCTAAAGGCCCCGCCTCCCCACAGTGCCGCCTTCTAAAGGCCCCGCCTCCCCACAGTGCCGCCTTCTAAAGGCCCCGCCTCCCCACAGTGCCACAGTGGGTATTACATTTCAGTGTGAATTTTGCAGAGAACATTCAAGACATCACACACTTCACCCTGTGGATTTTAGGGGAACAGCTCAGCCCATTACACCATCTGAGGGTGATGAGTTAGGGCTCACTCACTGCACAAGAGCCTGGGTCAGGTCACACAAGGCATCAGTGTGGCTTGGCGCAACAGCTCACACCTGTAATCCCAGCACTTTGTGGGGCTAAGGCAGGAGGATTGCTTGAGCCCAGGGGTTCGAGATCTTCTATGCAAAATAGAGAGACCCCATCATTACAAATAGTTTAAAAACAAATTAGCCGGTATGGTGGTGCACACCTGTGGTCCCAGCCACTCAGGAGGCTGAGGAATGCCTGAGCTGTGGAGGTGGAGACTGCACTGCACTCCAGTCTGGGCTCCAGAGCAAGACCCTGTCTCCAAAACAACCAAAGCCTTCAGCAGCTTCCCGTGGGCAGTTGCACCCACCCATGATTGTTCTGAGAATTGGCTAGGGGGTTTGGGGCCAAGGAATTCTGATTACAAAGGTGTGTATGTGAGCGTGTGGGGGTGTATGCCCTCAGGACCCCCCAGCTTTGCACAAGTTGGGGTCTGTGTGCACCCAGTCAGGAAAGAAAGGCACTGCTTCTGGGTCCTCACTCCCAGCTGAGAAGTCCCCTCATCTGCCCTCCTCGCCCACCCGAAGTGCCCTTGTTAATGACCTCTGGGCCTGAGTGGCACAGAGGAGGGGTGTGGGCACCTGGCAGGCTCCAGCCTGGATGCAGGACCACTGGAGGGGAGCAGGCCATAGGGAGATCTGGGTCTCAGGGGCCCCTAGAGTGCCCGTCCCCACGTCCCATCCTGGGTGGCCAGTAGCTCTTGCCCTGTCTGTCCCTGCCTAGAGACCTTGGCCAGGGCAGCGGCACAGATGCCAGCTCAGCAGGGCCACCTCCCGCAAGGCTGGAATAAATAAACGGCTGCCAAGACTCGCTCACACGTGCATCCTCACAGCTGCCGAGCCGGCCGAGAGAGTGCTGACGCTGCACAGCCATGGCTCCTGCCTCAAGGGTACAGCAGGGAGGGCACGCCCACTCTAGTCCAAGGAGGACACTGGCAAGGATCACAGGCAGAGGCAACCCTGCTGCTGGGAGTGTGATGCCTGACAGCCACCAGTGTCTTCCCTGGGTAGGTTCCTGGCTCTCAACTGTGCCAGAGTCCCGTCTACGAGTGGACGGCACTCCTGCCTCCGCCTGAATGTCTGCACGGTGGAGGGGCCGTGTTCGCAGCTCCTTGGAACATTCTTCCTGACCCTGGCTCTGCCCAGGTGGTGTCCAGCCCCTCCCTGAGCCCCGACCTCCCTCTCAGCTGCACTGTTCATCTGCACCCTGTGGTCCTGCCCTGGACAGGTGTCATCCACTCTGGACACCAAATCCAGCCCAAGGGCTCACTGCCTGCAACGTGCACAGGGTGAGATGGGCCACCCGTTGTGGGGTGTCCTGTGGGTCCTCCCTATCTGTTCTAGAAGCTGGGGCTCTTCTCCCTGGCCCTTTCTCGAGGCTTATCTGTCCTTGCACCTGTGCCGGCTCCTGCTGAGCTCTGGCGACATCAGCTCAGACGCCTCTCCTCACCCTCTGTTCTCGCCTTGTGTTGGCACCAGATGTCTGCTTTTCTAGCTGAAATCTCACTTATTAGCTGCGACCGCCCTAAAGAGCAGACAGCCCCCAGCCTCACATGCCCCCACACACCACGTGCACCGCCAAGCAATGCGGCGCCTGCCACCCACACCAGCCAGTCATCCAGTCCCAGCCTCCTCGCTCCTCCAGCCTATACTGTGTCCTCTGCAGAGTGGAGCCCATCGTTCCTTCATCCTGTCTGTCACCCGCCAGGGGACGTCTGGGAGGCCGGCAGCAGCAGGGATTGAATCTTAGGCACGTGGTCCTCATCACTGCCGTGGCGTCTTTTGCTGCCACGACTCGGTGGACCTAGGCGTTTTCCTCCTCTGTCTTGTGAATCTTTTACTGTGAGAATCTTCAAGCATAGAAGTGCATAGAATGGTGTGGCGAGCCCCTCATGGCCACCCCAGGACTTGACTCCCTCGGCCTCATGTGGCGCTAAGAGTTTCAGCAACCCCAGCCCCGATCCCCGGCCTCATGCTCACCGTGTTCTCCTAACACCCCAGCGCTCTCCGATAGCCAGTGACGAGGAGCCAGGTCTTCTCCACACCCGGGGCCCTCAGTGTCTACAGCTTGTGCCTCTGGGAGCCTTGGCTGACTAGCAGCAGCTCCTGAGCACATCCCCAATGGGGCCAGGTGCAGGGACTGGCTGGCATTACCTGCGGGCCCAGCCACGCCCGCCTCCCCGAGCGGGAGACGGTGAACCTCAGGGCCTCCGGTCAGGACATGGCTGGATCCCACATTTCAGACAGGACAGCCCCGAAGAAGGATGGCCACCCACCGAGGAGGGCTGTCTGGTTGAACTCAAGCTCTGAGAGGCAACTGAAACCTGTGAAGATAGGAGCACCTGGCCTGGGGTTTCAGTGTCTGCAGGGTGGGCTTGGGGAGGGCCAGCCATCAGCTATGTCCTCCCTTCAGGAGGGGGCCTGGGCCTGGCACTGGGGGCCTCACCATTGCTCACAGCAGCCCTGGCCCGAGCCTGCAAGCCCCTCCTCCCACCAGCCAGAAGCAGCTCCACTCCCTTGGACCCGTTCCTTGGAGCTGGCTGCAGAGCCCTGTGGGGGCTCCTGAGGGGTCCTGGGAAGGGCTTCTCTCGACACACACTCCTGAGGCCAGAGCCGGGCCTCATGCACTTTTCCCTGCAGGAAGCTGTGCACCACCAGGCTGTGTCTTCTGTCTGCTGCCTCCAGGACACGGAATCGTTTTCTAATGGTGGCTCAGGGCGGCTCACAGCATACCATGACTGCTCTACCTTTGGAGCCAGGACAGCCCTAGCAGCCGGTGGGTCAAGTCCAAGGGGTGCTGCATGTGGTGACTCACGCCTGTAATCATTACAGCCTGGGAGGCCGAGTGGGGAGGATCACGTGAGGCCAGGAGTTTGAAACCAGCTTGGGTCACAGAGCAAGACCCCCATCTCTACAAAAATGTTAAAAGTTAGCAGTGTGTGGTGGTGCACACCTGTAGTCCCGGCCACTCAGGAGGCTGAGGCGGGAGGATCGCTTGAGCCTTGGAGGTCCAGGCTGCAGTGCGCTATGATCACACCATTGCATTCCAGTCTTCGTGACAGAACAAGACCCTATCTTTTTGTTTTGGAGATGGAGTTTCACTCTTGTCGCCCAGTCTGGAGTGCAGTGGCTTGATTTCAGCTCACTGTAGCCTCCACCTCCCAGGTTCAAGTGATTCTCCTGCCTCAGCCTCCCAAGTAGCTGGGACTACAGGTGTGTGCCACCATGCCTGGCTAATTTTTTGTATTTTTAGTAGAGATGGGGTTTCACCACGTTGGCCAGGCTGGTCTCGAACTCCTGACCTCAGGTGATCCGCCCGCCTCAGCCTCCCAAAGTGCTGGGATTACAGGCGTGAGCCACCACGCCCGGCCCCCTCTGTTTTTAATCCTTGCGTTTTAGACCTTGGCAAAGTCCCCAGGCTTTGGAGCAAGCCTCTCATCCCACTTATTTTGGTTTTCTGCAGCCCTTTCTCCAAAAGTTTCCAAGCTGGTCTCCGTGGGGTGACGCCCCCCACACACACACACATCAGGAGGTCCAAGGACATCTTTCTCACACTTGATCTGCTTTCTCCCTAGAAACGCGTCGAACCTCTGTCCCTGGTCCTCCTAAATTGCTCTGTGGCGCGTCTCGGTGTGTTTTGTGTGTATATCCTGTTTGGCTTTCCTTGGCCCTTTCCATTTGAGGCCTTGCAGCTGTTTTTGAGGTTGGATGAAATTCACATACCATAAAATGCACCATTTCAAAGTGGCGTTTAACACGCTTCCAGAATTGTACAGCCCGCATTACTGCTCCCCAAAAAAAGAAGCCCTGTGCCTTTTAGCAGCTGTGCCCTCTTTCTCCGCCCTAGCTTGTGCCCACCTCCAGCCCACCGTCTCTGTAGGTTTGTCTGTTCTGGATGTTTCTGTGAGGCCGAGCTGTCCGTGTTCATTGAGTCCTTATTCCTTACATCCTCCCCGTCCATGTGCTTGTCCCTCCCTTGGGCTCCTGCAGTGCTCCCTGCACCCACTCTCGGACTTTCACCTTCCCCTGCCCTCTCTGTGGCCCTTCCTTCCTCCCAGGCAGGCCCCTCGCTCGCTCCCCACTCACTGTGGCTGGTGCCTGCGCCCAAAAGACCTGTGTGGCCCTTGTTCCTCCTGGGAGCCTGGTCCCCTGGTGTGCTTGTCCATCACACCAGCCATGCTCCTTGGGGTCTTACAAGCCCTCAAGGGGGTCCCAGTTACCAGCCTGGATGGCCACTCAGGCCCCCCAAGGACCCAGCCCCTGTGTGTGTCTGCGGCCCTCTGAGGACTGTCCTCCCTCTGCTGTGGGCCTGGACTCCCTCTGCTGTGCCTGCAGCTGCCCGTCCTCACTCAGCCCCGCCCCTATACCGGGTGGCCCCACCTTCCCTCCCCAGGAGTGACTCTCAGACCCTCCCTGGGCTTTTGGGAGCTGGGCACACACCCCCACCCAGCACCTGGGCTCCAGCTTCTCCTCGTCCCCAGGGCCTGCTTGGGAGTAGCGATTCCTGGGGTTGGGGTCCCTGACAGCGCCCTGGTCATGGCTGCCCCCACAGCGTGGTCACCACCCACTCGCCAAACCACCAGGCTGGGGCTCCTGAGTGGGAGGCACCCAGTGCTCTCAGGGGTCCTGGCCACCCCCAGCCTCACCTCCTCCTGGAGGCAGCAGATTTTGAGCAGTGACCACAGAGGCCCCCCAGGAGGAGGAGTGTGTGGCGTGGCCAGAGCTCCCCACAGCCCGAGGGCCAACCCTGCCCTGAGGTATCTGCCCACGACCCTGCACATCCCATTCTTCTCACAGAGCCACCCAGCAGATATTGAGGGGGGACGCTGCAAATTACACCAACAACACCTTGAGTGGTGTTTCAGTTAAGGATAATGCAGTAATTTTAGAGCTGTCTGATGGGGTTGTGGCTATGCTGGCAGCCTCCATGACGTTGCCTGGTCTGGAGGGGCTTCTGGAAGGACCATGTTTGCATGTGGCCATTGAGGGGCCTGGCCCAGCCACAGGAGGGCAGGGGTCCAGCAGTCCTTTTCCAGGCCTGGGATGGCTGGAGCTGCCAGCCACTGCTGCCATCCCATTACCAGAGTCTAGAGGGACTGGGTGCGGTGGCTCACGCCTGTAATCCTAACACTTTGGGAGGCCGAGGCAGGCAGTCACTTGAGGTCAGGAGTTCAAGACCAGCATGACTAACATGGAGAAACTCCATCTCTACTAAAAATACAAAAACCAGCTGGGCGTGGTGGCGGGTGGCTGTGATCCTAGCTACTTGGGAGGCAGAGGTGGGAGAATTGCTTGAACCCAGGAGGCGGAGGTTACAGTGAGCCAAGATCATGCCACTGCACTCCAGCCTGAGTGACAGCGAGACTTTGTCTCAAAAAAACAGAAACAGGCGTCTAAGGGAAACTGTCTGGGTTGGGGAGGCTGCCCGAATGCTGTTTCCCACCCTCCCTGCCATGTGTTTGCCGGGGTCTGATGTCTGCAGAGCAGCCTCCATGCCCCAAAAGGCCAGAGCTACCCGATGGGGTCTGGCACTTTGTCGAGCACTGCTGGGGGGGTGGCAGCTGCTCCCATTCACAGCTCTGAAGTGACATGTGCCCTAGTCTGGAAGAGGCTCCCAGTGTCAAGGGGACTCTGCCCTGCTCAGGACAACAGCAGCCTTTCCCGTTTGGGAGCCTCAAACATCCCACTACTCCTGGGCAGGAGCAGAAAGGTGGCTCGAGGTGCGGTCCTGTGGCCATTTCTCACTTGGATAAACCCTGCACTGTCCATCTGTGACCCCTTAGGATCCTGCGGATGTCCATGCCACACGGCCCAGGTCCCTGCGCCCCTGCAGTTGCCTACTGCCTGTCCTCCCCTCCCACATGGCACCCGGGCTGTAGGCCCCACGCCAGGCCTCCTCCCTGAGGCTGCAGCCCCAGGCACGTGGGGGGCACTGTCCTCACGCAGCAGGCACTGGTCATGTTCCATTGTCAGCTGCCTCCACCTGCACAGACTCCTGTCTGTGGAGACCAGAAGCTTCTGGAACCACCTGCCCTGGTCCCAAATGTGCAGTGTGAGATGTGCACACACTCAGGGCCCCGTGACCTGGAAGCCGCAGTCGTGTCCCCAGCACCTTGGGAATGAGCCTGTCCTCTGTGTGAAGGAGGGGGTGGTTCTCAAACCACTGACTCTTGGTGCTCAGGAGGGGCCTGCTGCTGTCCTGGGCATGGGGTGGTCATTGTTCAAGACTGAGGCAGACTCAGTCTTTGAAAGGGTGCAGAGGCCAGGCGCGGTGGCTCACGCCTGTAATTCCAGCACTTTGGGAGGCCAAGGCGGACAGATCACGAGGTCAGGAGTTCGAGACCAGCTTGGCCAATACGGTGAAACCGCATCTCTACTAAAAAATAACAAAAATTAGTCGGGCATGGTGATGTGTGCTTGTAGTCCCAGCTACTCAGGAGGCTGAGGCAGAAGAATCACCTGAATCTGGGAGGCAGAGGTTGCAGTGAACCAAGATCGCACGACTGTACACCAGCCTGGGCGACAGAGTGAGACTCCGTCTCAAAAAAAAAAAAAAAAAAAGGTGCAGAAACCACTGCCCCGGGCAGCCATCCCCAGTACAAGGCACTGCCCACCCAGTACGAGGCACTGCCCATCAGTCCAGGGCCAGCAGCGGGGCCAGGGCAGCCTGAGGCCTGTCTGGTTAGCCTCTCACCTGGGGTCTGGACAGAGTGAGGAGCCCTGTCCAGCAGCCGCTGCGCGGCCTGAGGGTCACCCTCAGGCTCAGGCAGTTTCAGGCCCCGTGTCACTCTCCAGGCCACTGAAAGGACTTGGTGGGGTGGCTTCTTCCGAGGAAGCTCCTGGAAGATGTTTTTCCTGAGGTTTCCTCTAATACAGGGTTCACACGGCCTGGGGCTCTGGCCACCCCACCAGGTGTTGTCCCCCAGACCACTGGGGACAGTGGCTGCCCCGAGTGGCCCTGCCCCTGCTGAGAGCCACAGCCTTTGGGGGTACAGGGTGGGGCTGTGGGGGAGCTGGGTGGGCTCCCAAATCCATATCCTGGTCTCCCCAGGTACATCCAGACACTGAAGGACCACAGGCCCCGGATGGTGTGGGACAGCCAGGCCTCAGAGCACTTCTTCGAGTACAAGAAGTGAGTGTTTTGAAGTGCGTGGCCCACCTTGGCCTTGTGTGCAGGGAGGGGCCCTGGGGGTGGAGATGAGGGAGCAGCAGGGCCCAGGGGGTCTCAGGGTCACGAGCTCACTTGCTGCTCCCGGCCCTGGAGCACAGCTGGACAGCAGGTGGCCACCTGGTGGGTGGGAGGAGTACAGGCCGTGGACCTTGGCTGTGAGGGGAGGAGGCCTGGAACCAGCAGAGCGGATGGGCTGACAGTCCCTTTGTCTTGCAGGAGCCGCAGTGGGAGGCACGTCGTCTTCTACCCAACCCTGAAGGTGCGTGTGCTGCCAGCCGTGGGACCGGGGGAGGGGTGGGCCATGCGACAGCACAGCAGGCACTGGCCTGGGGTCCAGGCGGTGCTGCCCCTCGGCCTGGAGGACATCCCTGGGTGTTGGGGGGACAGGCCCCAGCAGGTGCTCACACCTCCATCTGTGCCCAGTCCCTGCAGGTGCGGCTGGAGCTGGCCCGGGAGCTGGGCGTTGGGGTCTCTATCTGGGAGCTGGGCCAGGGCCTGGACTACTTCTACGACCTGCTCTAGGTGGGCATTGCGGCCTCCGCGGTGGACGTGTTCTTTTCTAAGCCATGGAGTGAGTGAGCAGGTGTGAAATACAGGCCTCCACTCCGTTTGCTGTGACGGGTCTGCTGCAGTCCTCAGTCGGGGGTCCTGGGCACCATGTGACTCCCCATCCTCCCATGAGGGGTCCCTGCCCTGGATGAGTCCTAGCTGGGGGACACCCTGAGAGCTCGAGCCCCTCCCACCCGGGCATCCGCTGGCTGCCTCCTGTCAGCTGGGCAGGCGGGGCCCACAGTACCTGCCCCACCAGGACAGCCTGGCTCAGGCCTTTCTGGGCTGCTTCTCACATCCTGGGCTGGATGTGGGTTTGGAAGCTCTGGAACCATCCCGGACTCGCCCACTCCTGGATTCGAGGGCCCTCGCAGGGACAGCTCTGCCCAGCATCACCCCAGGGCCTGGCAGTGATAGAGCTGAGAGCTCCACCCCCACATACCTGCCACCCACCTGGCCAGCCACAGCACGTGTGTCACCTGCAGAGAGCCACCCAGACGTCCCCACCGAGTCCAGCACGGCAAGGGTGCAGGGGCTGCCCTAGAAATGGGCTCAGAGGAGCCTGGCCCACCCTCTTGAAACTGGTCCTGGACCTTGGCTCAGCTCTGCCGCCTCAGGTAGCACGACCCCCAGGCCAGCCTGGACACATCAGGGAGCATGGTGAGGGGCAACGGCAGGACCCGTGGGCCATATCGGGACAGGCATTTCCAGCGAGGGGTGGGGCAGAGGACATGTGGCTGGCAGGCTACACCCACCCTGCCATGCAGCGGTGTCCAGGCTCTGGGGAGGCCCTGGGGAATTTGGAGGCATCATGAGCCAAGGCCTGGTGGCCCTCGTTCCCCTGCCCCTCGTCACCATCCTGTCCTTGGCTGGCCGTGAGGACTCCCCTCCTCACCACTGGGTCCCACAGGGCTGAGGTGGGCAGTAGAGGGCATAGGTGGGTACATGTCCCGGGCAAGGTCTCTCGGGGGGACAGAAGTGAGTCCAGGGAGTGGGTGGGCCTGGGCGTCCCTCACTCAGAATGCCGTGGGGTGAGGACGGTGAGGACAGGGTGGGCACTGGGTTCTGGTTTAGAGTCAGTAATGTTAGGGCGCAGTGGGCAGGGGGTCAGGACATCTCCAGCCGGTGGTGAGGAAGCATGGTGGGGTCTCCTCCACAGGACGGGAGCTGGGGAGGGGGTCCTGGGTCGGACCCAAGGCACCCACACTTGAGAAAGCCTCCGCCTGGACGTCAGGGAGGCCTGCGAGCTGCCACAGTGCAGGTGCAGCCGTTCCCACCGCCCTGCTGCTGCTTGACACGGGCATAGGAGATACAAGTGGTGTGTGCGGCGGTTCATGCCTGTAATCCCAGTACTTTGGAAAGCCGTGGCGGGAGGAACGCTGGGCAACATGGTGAAACCCCGTCTCTACCCCCTAAAAATAGAAAAATTAGCAAGACATGGTGGCATGTGCCTGTACTCCTGGCTACTCAGGAGGCTGAGATGGGAGGATCGCTTGATGAGGTTGAGGCTGCAGTGAGCTGTGACCGACTGCACTCCAAAAACCTTGTCTAAAAAAACACAAGCTGCCACTGGCTTTGGGGCACTGACCTTGTCTCCCCAGAGGTGCTGACGCTAACATTCAAGTTGTTCTCGGGGGTCCTGTGGCTTCTGTTGGAGTGAGGGTGGGGGACACGCAGGTCTGGGAGGGTGGTGTGGGCCTGGAGCTAGGCATTGCCAGATCAGCATTGGGTGGAGGCAGGGGTGGGGATGCCACACAGGATGGGATGTCTAGAGCGGGCTGTGTCTCCCGGGGGGATGGGCAGAGGGTGGGGCAGGAATTAGCTGGAAATGAGATTGTGGGGTGCAGTTTGGGGATCAGATGCCCCAACCTGAACTGACCGTCATCCCTGTGGCCAGGGTCCCCACACAACCCTCACCCCTGGCTGTGAGAATCCTGAGGCACCTTGATGCATTTTTTTTCATGCCCTGTGACAGGTGCTTTGTGCTGCCAGCTCACTTAAAGGGGCAGAGTTCTAGGAACAAAATAGGGGAAAAGCACAGCCCCGCCTCGACAGCAGGCCCCAGGGTAGGGGGCGATGTGGAGGGAGGCCCGCCTCAGGAGGAGCCCCCGGGGTGGGGGGGTGAAGCAGAGGGAGGCCACCCCTAGCAAAGGCTGGCAGTTCAGGGACGGCCCCCCAGGGGCCTTGGCACTTTATTTTTTATTACTTTTTTTTTTTTTTTTTTTGAGATGGACTCTTCCTGTGTCATCCAGGCTAGAGTGCAGTGGTGCGATCTCGGCTCGTTGCAACCTCCATCTCCTGGAATCAAGCGATTCTCCTGCCTCAGCCTCCCAAGTAGCTGGAATTACAGGCGCCCGCCACCACGCCCGGCTAATTTTTTATTTTTAGTAGAGACAGGGTTTCACCATGTTGGCCAGGCTGGTCTCAAACTCCTGACCTCAGGTTATCCACCCACTTTGGCCTCCCAAAGCCGAAGGGATTACAGGTGTGAGTCACTGCACCCGGCCTCATCACTTCTTAGAGCTAATGTCATGATTTCCTTAAAACCAGAGGTCTGGAGACTGCTCTGCAGGCAGCTCCCCCAAGCCTGTGCACCAGGTGACCCCACAGCCCCAGGGCTCTGCCTAAGCACCGTTCATGCCAGAGGCTGCCCTGCCCCAGGCCTGGGTGCCAGAAGGGAAGATAGGGTAGGGAAGGCAGACGAGCAATAGACGCAAGGTTGCTGCTCACACTTTATTAAGATGCACCAGGAGCCCCACGGGCCCACTATGGAATGTAGGTGAGGGGTCCACGGCCCCGCCTGGAGCACCAGGACCAGTGGGGCCACCTCCAGGATGCCAAGACCCGGCTCCTCCAGCGCCAACCTGTTTTCCAGGAGGCTGGGGGCCACAGGCTGGCTCCCGTGTGAACACTGCTTTGGAGAATACGTAAATATAAAAAGTGCTGGAGGCCCCTCCCACCCCTGCCCTGGGTTCCGCAGCCAGCACGTGGCCACCCCTCCCAGGGGGGGTCCGGAGGCCCTGAAGCCACCTGAGCTAGGGCCTTCCAGAAACAGGGTTCCGGGGGCTCCAGGCACCTGTCCCTCCCTCCCTCCTCCCAGCATGGGGCAGAGCACCGAGGCTGGTGGTGGGAAAGGCAGCTGTGGGTGCGGCCATCTCCCCGTGGGCGTCCTTTTGGCAGAGAAGCGGGCGGTGGGCGGCCTACGCGCAGTAGGTGTCTGCCTTGACCACTTGGCAGTACATGGTCATGGCGAAGGTCAGGCCCAGGATCTGTAGGTAGGGGAGGAGGACTGGGCATGGCAGCTCCACAGGCTCAGGCCTCAAGCCCAGAGCAGTCCCTGTCCTCAGCAGGTGCCCTGGCCCTGACCCCGACCCCAGGGTGGGCGACACAGTGGCAGAGCCCTTCAGCTTCCTGGTGGCTTGCACGCCCCACCCAACCCCTGTGGCTCGAGCCACAGCACCCTCCCCTGAGCCTTGCAGGCATGAGGACACCCAGAACTTCCTGAGGGCTGTGGAGTTTGGAAACCAGGGGCCACTGGCACCAGGGCCCCAGCTGCCACCCTCTGTGCACTGGCCAGTCCTGGGCCACCGACCAACATGGACGACCACCGGCCTCCACCCCACACCAGCCTCTGCCTCTGTCCACTAAGAGGGAGCCCACTGTCCCCACAGGCCGTCCCTGCCCATCCCCCTGAACTCGCCCTCCTGCTTTTGCCCCGGCCTCCCCCGATCGTGGGTTCCTGGGGGCAAGGTCTTTGCTACTTTGTTCCCTGGGCTCAGAAGGTCCTAACAAAGTGGGGGCAGGGAGCCCGCAGGCCCCCAGGCCATACCTGCACCAGCGCCGTGCACAGCCCAAAGATGCCCACAGCCAGCAGGTTCTCCTGAAGCCACACCTTCACCGTCTCGTAGCACGGCTGCAGGGAGGGATGTCATGCGTGTCACGGCAGGGCCTGCTGGTCCCGCCCTCTAGGCCCCTACCAGCCCCCAGGGTGGGGGTCTCACTCACCGCCTTCCACCAGGTGCCGGGGGCGTGCAGCCCACAGCTCTCACTGAACTCCAAGCAGCAGGAGTCAGGTACCCGCGTGGCGTTGTACACCTCGAACCAGTCAGTGTAGTTGGAGACGCCACAGCAGCGGAACTGGGGGGCAAGCTCAGGTCGGGCTGAGGCAGGAGGGGAGGGGGCACCCGCCGACCCCGCCCACCTGCCCACGCCTCACGTCGGTCTGGATGATGCTCCAGGCGTTGGTGAGGCCCACGTTGCCCTGCGTGCCGTACAGGTGCAAGCCTTTCTTCAGGTCTTGCTGGGCATACCTGTCAATCTGGGGGTGCGGGGGGGGTCAGCAGGGCCCCTCCCACTGTACCCCGCCTCCCTCATCCAGACCCCCTCGCCGGCCCCTAAGCTGGGCCCCTCCTGCGCCTGGTCTTGTGTCCCCCGCGCCTCCTAGCCCACCAAGCTGCAGACACACCGGCCCCATGTCCTCCCAGCAGCCCTGAGGCCCAGGGCCCCCACCTCTGGGCTTCCTCCCCAGGCTGGGGGAGGACCATGGGTCCTGGGGGGACAGAGGACAGGGACACAGGTGCCTCCACGTATCGGGACACGTGCAGCCATGCTCTGTGAGCTGAAAGCCAGGGGCTATGAGCGCTGAGCCCACCCAGCACCCTGGCCTCGGTCCCCAATATTCAGTGAGGACCCAGAGCACCCTGGAGAAGGGGCTGATTCCTGGGCCAGGGCAGGGAATGAAGGAGCCTGGAGCGCCCTGCAGTGCCAGGAAGTCAGGACGTGCCCCAAAATGAAAAGTCTGTTGATGGGGGCACGTCAGGGGACCCAGCAGCAGACGGCAGAAGCTCCCCAGGGCCAAGGACGGACAGTGTGATTCACAAAACAAAGTAGTGTGTTCTAGCTCGGAGTGCAACCTCAATAGCCAGGACTTCATCCCAGTATAAACAAATGGCTGAATATATGAGTGAGTGACCAAGAAGAGGCCGCTCTACAGAGGAGAACCCCACGGTGCGCGGCCCGGATGGGGCGCTGGGAGCAGACGGCTCAGGACGCTGCGTCAGAGGGCGGGGGACAACCTGGGGCGCACCCTCCGGGTGGGGTAGCAGTGCCCTTGTGCCCCAGTCGCTATAGAGCCACAGCACAGCCTCCCAGGGTCGCTGGCGCTGCCCCTCCAGGCCTGGTAAATCCACACCCGCTGTCCTGGCTGCCCGTGAGGGCACATGCAGGGCCACTCTGTCCACACCGGGCCCACAGTGCTCCCTGGGAGTGAGGATGGAGCCCCCAGCCCTGCAGTTGGGCCTGCGGCCAAGGCAGCCGTACCTTGTCCGTGTAGGCGAAGAAGAGGATGGCGATGGTGGCCTCCAGCAGGAACACCAGCAGCAGCAGCAGGAAGAACTGTGGAGGGGGCAGGCTCAGACAGGGACCCGAAAGGCCGCACAGCCTCCGCCCCACAGCATGCCAGGGGCCAGGGCCACGTACCTCATGGATACCTGGTGCTGCCAGGAAACCTCTGCCAGGCCCCCACTCCCAGAGAGCCCAGAACGCCGCCCCCACCTCAGAACCCTTGGCCCCAGGTCCAGGGACTGTGGCTGTTGTGTCCTGCTCAGCCCCTGAGTGTGGGGCCCTGGGCTGGCCTGGGCTCCCCTCCCCTGCCCCCATCCCTGGGGCAACCCAGACACCCCCAAGTGGGCACAAATCCCTGTTCCTGAGGCCCCAGCCCCTGTCAGCTGCCTTCAGGACACCTCCATCCAGGGGCCTCTGAGTGTCTGGCAGGTGCCTCGCTGGGTGCCTGTCTTCATGGTGGGAAGATGTCCCAGCAGGGGCCACAGCTGGGCTGCAGAGGCCCCTTCTGCCCACACGTCACAGTCCTCAGGGCAGCCAGCGTGGCTGATGCCCCCTCCAGCAAGACCACAGGCTGCAAGCCCCACCTCTGACCATGCAAGCTTCCCCCGCCTGGCGGCAGCCCCAAAGCTCAGCCTGACCCCAGCCCTGCTGCTCCTCCATGCGGGGGTCAGTGACACCCACAAAAGAGGAGGGCAGGCATGGACAGCATGTGTCCAGGAGCTGGGGGGCCCAGGCAGAGTGGGCGTGAGTGGGGCAGACAGGGTGCTGGGCTAAGGACACAGGAGTCCTTCACCCCCAGGAGGTACCCAGGGTTCTGGTCCCAAGTCACCCATGGGAAAGGGGGTTGGGCTTCGGTCCCTGCAGGCCTGGTGGGGCCCACACACAGCAGCTTCCTCAACTGAGGAGCTCCAAGCCCCAGTAGGGCTGCCACAGACCCCCACCGACTGCCTCCAGGGGTCTCTGGGCCCCAACCTGATGCCAGGGAGGCTGATAGACTTGGGGCTTGCCCCCAGGAAGGGGTACGGAGGGGAGTGGACTGGCTGAGGCGACCTAAGGGAGGCCCCAACCCATCCAGGGCTTCCCAGACAAAGGAGTGATCGGAAGCCTCGTGATTTAGGACCTCAGCAGGCTGCACACCCTCCGCAGGGCCCACGGCCTCGGCCAGGCATGTTAATCAGTAGCAAGCCTGTGTTTCCATCTAGGAGCCCTTTTCCTTTTTAATTATCTGTGATTAACATTTCTAAGGAGGATAAACATATCCCTGCCTGTAAGTCCATCCCCGAGGCGAGGTGGGGGCTGGGATCGTCCCAGCAGCCGGTCCCAGGGAGCTGAGAGACCAGGCCCCCAACAAGAAGCTGGGGAAGGGGCCACAGTGGGGGTGGGGTGGTCAGGAATGAGTCACGGAGACCGCAAGCCCGTGAAAGGCTGCGCATGCGTGTGTACGTGTGTGCGGGGCTGTGCCTGCACTCACCAGGGCCAGTGTCCCGTCAGGGGAGGCCCCTGACAAGGTACAGCACGTTCTCTTGAGTGACCCCCACACCGCTCTGCAAATCACCCCCCAGCCCCAGTGTGGCCTGGAAGACCCAACAGTGGCCAGGGCCCCGGGCCACACTGCCAGCCTGGAGGTCCGGCCCCAGAGGTGGTGCCCACGTCTGGGGGGTCACTGCGGCAGCCAAGGCCTGGGGGCCACCGGAGCCCCACCCTGCGTGGTCCCACCCGGAGCATCGCTTGGGCCCCGGCACTCACAGTGAGCAGGAGGCACTTGTTCTCCTTGATGGCACCCAGGCAGCCCACGAAGCCGATGGCCATGACAAAGGCGCCGGTGATGATGAGCAAGTTGGCAGCCGACAGGGACGGGAAGGAAGAGGACAGCGTGGCGAAGCTCCCCTGTGTGGCGGCCAGCCAGATGCCGACACCCAGCACGCCACAGCCTCCCAGCTGGGGCACAGCAACAGGAGAGACACAGACAGGGTGAGGCCCCAATGCAAGCTCTGGACCCCAGGGCAGAGCCCGGCCCACAAGCCCAAAGCCATGCCGCCTGCCAGCCTGAGCCAGAACCACCCAGAGTCCTGCTAGATCCCACGGCAGCCCGGGGGGGTGTCCAGGGCAGGCCAGTCTTTCCCGACACCCTGGGCTGGCACCCCATCCCCAAACCCACACTCCATGGCCACAGTCGGGGAGGCTCCCTTGTGCCTCTGAACCACTCCCTCTAGGAGGGATCCGCCCAACCCCTGGCCTGGAGCCAAAGGGACGGGATCTTAGGCCCCAGGACGCAGTCTGCACACCCCTAACCCCGCTTCACCGTCTGGTCTGCGCAGGGCAGAAGGCTCACTCCCCACCTGACAGGCCACTCCAGCCTTTCCAGACTGTGCTGTCAGGGAGACCCAGCCCTGCCCTCACTCCGGGATGGGGCTTCCTGGCAGGTGGTCCCAGGATTCCGATTCCCAGCTCCCGACAAGATCTCTGTGATGTCCCCAGCTGTCCCCTGTCACTCGTGGCAGGAGAAACGCTGATTCCCTCACACTCTGCTCCTGGTTATGATTTCTTTCTTTTTTTCTTTTTTTGGAGATGGAGTCTCACCCTGTTGCTCAGGCTGGAGTGCAGTGGCACCATCTGGGCTCACTGCAACCTCCTCCGCCTCCCAGGTTCAAGTGATTCTCCTGCCTCAGCCTCCCAAGTAGCTGGGATTACAGGCATGCCCCCACCACACCCGGTTAATTTTTTGTATTTTTAGTAGAGATGGTTTAGCCACAATAGTCTTTTTTGTTTTTTTTTTGATACCGAGTCTCGCACTGTCACCCAGGCTGGAGTGCAGTGGCGCGATCTCGGCTCACTGCAACCTCCGCCTCCCGGGTTCACGCCATTCTCCTGCCTCAGCCTCCCGAGTAGCTGGGACTACAGGCGCCCGCCACCACGCCCAGCTAATTTTTTGTACTTTTAGTAGAGACAGGGTTTCACCGTGTTAGCCAGGATGGTCTTGATCTCCCAACCTCGTGATCCACCCACCTCGACCTCCCAAAGTGCTGGGATTCCAGGCGTGAGCCACCACGCCCAGCCGCCAGGATGGTCTTGATCTCAATCTCCTGACCTCATGATCAGCCCGTCTCGGCCTCCCAAAGTGCTGAGATTACAGGCATGAGCCACCGCGCCCGGCCAAGTTATGATTTCTTACAGCCACATGGGCACTGGTGGGAACAAAGCAGGCGGGTCCCACAGGAGCACCTGCCACCCGGAGGGCCACCTCCTGCAGTGTCTGTAACCGCCAGAGCTCTTACTGTGTTTCCTAAGTGCTTGTTCTTATAAAAATCAATTAAAACAGGAAGAGGCAGGGGGAGACGAGGGGGTGCTGCGCCCAGAGAGAGGGTGCTAGGCTGCTGGCCCAGCAAGGCCTCAAGGGAAGCAGGGGTCCGCCAGGACCCCACCTTCAGACAGAGGCCTCGGGCTTGGGCCGTTTCAGGATGAGACGGGAGATATGTTCCAGGCCTGGGCACGGGACAAGCAGTCCCCCGAAAATGCTGACCAGCTCCCGGTCTGCAGCGTGGGTGCCCAGGTGGGTGGTGGGTAGACGTCCTGGGGTGCCGACGGTTGACTGGTTCTGGGGAAGGGCCGCGCAGCCCTGGGGGATCCCTGCCCCACCCTGGACTGGACAGGACTTGGGAATGGGCTGGCAAAGCCACCCCTCAACCTGATGAAACCCCTTGGAGCACCCAGACCACATGCCTGAGGACAGGCTCAGACCCCAGGCTCTGGGGGTTCCCGGGGGACTACCAGAAGCCCCAAGTCACCCCATAAAAGCCTCCCAAGCCCCAGTGGCCAGACTCACACCCCACTTTCCAGACAGAAACCAAGGCTGGGATAGCTGCTGGCCACCAGCAGCCGCCCCACCCCCACCTGCAACACCAGCCCAGCTCAAGACAGGCCTGGGGCCTCCACCCTGGCAGGGCCCACGGAGGGCCCATGAGCCCCAACACTCTTGCCTCAGGGGGCCTGGGGGTGGGAGATGCCCCCTCCTCGTGTGCACGCTCACCTGCCCCTCCCTGAGCAGTGCATCAGCCAGCGCCAGGCTGGAGGTTGGAGGCCGCCACCCTTTTACTGGCTGGCTGGCAGGCAGGAGGCTGTGCTGGGGAGATGGGACACAGCTCCCTGCCCAAGGGCCAGCATGGCTGCTGGTGCCCCAAGATTCAGGCCAGGCCTGTCACTGGTGTCTTCGGTCCCTCTGGGCTCCACAGGGTAAAATCCCCTCAGAGCAGATTCCCCCCACTGCTGGGGCCCCACAAGTCCCACACACGCTCAGGCCATCCTGGGGAGAAGGCAGGCTCTGTCCTTCCCCGGCCTTCCAGAGGTAGCATCTCCGCTTAAAGTTCAAAACAGAACGCTGTCCGGAGGCTGCCAGCGCAGGACCTATCTTGGGAAGCTCTGCTGAGCCATTGGCTCCTGGTGCCTGCTGAGCTCTGACACCCACGCCCAGAGCCCCTCCCCAGCAGGCCAGGCACAGCGCACAGGGGAGCTGGACAGACTGGGTGCAGGAAGAGGGGTCACCCCTGTGCTCTGGGCCCCAGGATTGGGAGTACCGAGGCAGGGGCTGACTTGCTGGCTCTGACCACACAGCCCCTCGTGGCTGCAGGGAGCCAATAGGAGACCTGGGCACAGTGCCCAGCCTGGGTGTGGCTTCTGAGCAAAGCCAGCCCCAGAAGCAGCTTAGGGTGATAGGGGAGGCTTCCCAGGAGACCAGGAAGAGGCTTGGGGGTGGCAGCCAGCACAGCCCGGTGGAGGGCGGCCCGGAGACGCACCAGGGGACGGATGCATGAACCTGAGACGTGTGAGTCAAGTTGTGTGTGAGCCCGGGATGCATGGGAGCTGGGGTGCATGTGAGCAGGGGTACATGGGAGCTGGGGTGCGTGTGGGCCCGGGGTGCATGAGTGAGGGTGTGTGTGAGCCGGAGTGCATGTGGGCCCGGGGTGCGTGTAAGAGGGGGTGCGTGTGAGCCCGGGGTGCGTGTGAGCCCGGGGTGCGTGTGAGCCCGGGGTGCGTGTGAGGGGGGTGCGTGTGAGCCGGGGTGCGTGTGAGAGGGGGTGCGTGTGAGCCGGGGTGCATGTGAGCCCGGGGTGCGTGTGAAAGGGGGGGTGCGTGTGAGCCCGGGGTGCGTGTGAGCCCGGGGTGCGTGTGAAAGGGGGGGTGCGTGTGAGCCGGGGTGCACGTGAGCCAAGGTGCGTGTGGGCCAGGGTGTGTGTGAGTGGGGGTGTGTGTGAGCGGGGATGAGTGTGGGCTGGGGGTGGGTGTGTGAGCCTGGGTGCATGTGAGGGGATGCGTGTGACCTGGGGTGCGTGTGAGCCGGGGTGCATGTGAGCCCAGGGGTGCGTGTGAGCCAGGGCACGTGTGAGCCCGGGGGTGCGTGTGAGCCGGGGTGCATGTGTGCCGGGGGTGCAAGCTGTTGGTGTGAGCCCGGGGGTGCGTGAGAGCTGGGGTGCATGTGAGCGGGGATGCGTGTGACCCAGGGGTGCGTGTGAGCCGGGGTGCATGTGTGCCGGGGGTGCAAGCTGTTGGGGGTGTGAGCCCGGGGGTGCGTGAGAGCTGGGGTGCGTGTGAGCGGGGATGCGTGTGACCCAGGGGTGCATGGGAGCCGGGGGTGCATGGGAGCCCAGGATGCGAGCCGGGGGTGCGTGTGAGCGGGGGTGGGAGGCGAGGTGCATGCAAGCGGGGGTGCATGTGAGCCGGGGTGCGTGTGAGCGGGCGTGAATGTGAGCCAGGTGCATGGGAGCCTGGGGTGTGTGGGAACCGGGGTGCATGTGAGCGGAGGTCCGTGGGAGCCTGGGGTGCGTGGGAACTGGGTGAGCAGGGTGTGTGAGCGGGGTGCGTGTGGGCCGGAGTGCGTGTGAGCCGAAGTGCGTGTGAGCAGGGGTGCGTGTGAGCCGGGAGTGCATGTGAGCCTGGGGTGCATGGGAACCGGGGTGAGTGTCAGCGGGGGTGGGATCCGGGGTGCATGTGAGCCAGGGTGTGTGTGAGCCAGGGTGGATGTGTCTGGAGTGTGCAGGACCAGAGGCCAGCTCCGTGGCAGAAGTGCCAGGGGACATCCCTAATTAAGAGAATCTGTCCTCACTGGGAGCACTGGGCTTGGGGCACAGCCCCAGGGTGGGCAGGGGTCTGCCAGCTCTACAAAGATGCCCCCACTTCCCGGGGGACCTGGCCCTGCTATGGGATGCACCAGCAGCTGGGGGATGGGCTGTCCAGGGTGCTGACTGTGAACGCGGCGCCCCCACCCACCCCTTTGGAGAGGTGTCCCTCGTAACATTCTGGAGCACAGGAGAGGCCTGGACAGGCAATGGCCCACTCAATGGTCCCTCCAGACCGTCGGGCACAAGGTCACACACACCATGTACAGACAAGGCCATGCGGAACTGAGGGGCATTCCCGAGCACACAGGAACCCCAGCCTGCCCCTGGGCTGTCCCCATATCCTCCCGCAGTTCCCAGGTCTTGTGGAGGGGCAGACAGGGCACCAGGGGGACCCACAAACGGCCTGACACCATCACTGCCCCAAGAACTGGGCAGAGAAGGGATATGGCCCTGGGTCCAGATCACCAGGTGATGAGGGCAGGAGGTCAGAGGGAAACGAGGCCCCAGGAGAGGAGATGGCCATCAGCAGCTCAGAGTACATCCTGGCCTCAAGCGCCAAGCAACCCCACAAGTCTCATTCCAGACGAAATGCCCAGGCTGGGGGTGAAGGTCCCTGAACTGAGGGGAGGTGCTAGCACAACAGAGAAAACTGTCATTTAAAACCCAAACTGGGGCCGGGCGTGGTGGCTCACACCTGTAATCCCAGCACTTTGGAAGGCCGAGGCGGGCAGATCACGAGGTCAGGAGATGGAGACCATCCTGGCTAACACGGGGAAACCCCGTCTCTACTAAAAAATACAAAAAATTAGCTGGGCGTGGTGGCAGGCACCTGTAGTCGCAGCTACTCAGGAGGCTGAGGCAGGAGAATGGCGTGAACCCAGGAGGCGGAGCTTGCAGTGAGCAGACATCATGCCACTGCACTCCAGCCTGGGCGACAGAGTGAGACTCCGTCTCAAAAAAAAAAAAAAAAAAAACCCAAACTGCCTGCTCCATCTGCCTCTGCCTTCCAAGGACGCAGACCTCTCCTGTCATCAGGAAAATGAGCTGTTCCAAGCTCCCCTCGCCCCATGGGGATGTGTCGAAGGACACAGGGAGGACATGTGCAGAGTGACTGGTGCCATGCCAGGTGTGGGAAACCCCGTTCCATGGGGGCTGGGCAGGAAGGAACCCTACACCTCCAGCCCTGGGCCCCTCCCACAACTGCCCCAGCCCTGGTGGGAACTGATTTCCCTAATTAACACTCCACGAAACATCCTCACCTCCACCGGAGACGGCAGGAAAGAGACACCCACTGTCACCAGACGGGCTCGGTCACACACACTGTGACAGACAACAGCCCACGTTGCCACAGACGCCTCACACCATCACACGTGGCCACACGCGCGCGTTACCGCCCTGCAACCTGGCGTCCCCCGGGCCCCGAGGCCCCAGCGTGCTGGCAGACCCACACAGATAAAATGCGTGCACGTGGTTAATAAAATTACCTGCAATTTTGAAAGTGTTTCTGCATATGCAGCTTTTAAAACATTTTGGCAGGAAAATTATAGCCTCAAAGCGCAAGAGAAAATGGGCCCCATTAGCTTGGAGACAGAAAATCAAAAGCAGGATGAGCAGGGCTGAGGCCAGGAGGGCCAGGTCCCTCTGGTCAAATGCAGCCAGATGGGGAGCAGCTAGGGGTGTGGCTGGCAGCCTGCGCACCCTCCCAGGGTCCCACCCAGCATCTGGGCCTGGACCCGGAAACCAGAGGAGCTCCCTCCCCACACGCTCAATACAAATAGGAATAGGCTGAAAGCCTCCCTCCCTCACTGCTGCCCCGCCGCAGGCCAGACACAAGCTCAGGTGGGAGGTTGACCCCGCCCCATGACAGCTGGGGAGAGGAACCCTAGGAATGATGGCAGCTGGGGGAACAGCCCAGGAGAGGGGCTCCGTCCCAGACCTCTTCACCTCCAGTCAGCGGTGCCTGGGGCCTGTCCTTCTCCCAGACATCAGCTCACACTGTCCACTGCCCAGAACCTGTCCCCAGGACCTGCGTGAGACCATCTCTGGCCAATGTCCGTCCAGCATACCAGGCCCCAGGCTCAGTCCATCAGACACTCGCTCACCCTGATCTTCAGCAGCAACTGATGGCTCTGCCCAAGATTAGGAGCCCAAAAGGCTTGGAGGGCCGTCCCTCAGCACCCACCCAAGAGGCTCGGGGGGCCGTCCCCCAGCGCTGGGCGTGTGCAGGTGCTGCTGAGGCCCATGCATTCTCTGCTCTGCCCTTCTTTTCCAGTCTGGACAGCCCACCTGAGCCTCTTGGGCAGGTGCTGCGGGACGGCCCCCTTGAGCCTCCTGTAGGCCTTGGGCAGGGGTGCAGTCACTGGAGTCCATCGAGTATGCTCCCTCCGGGCCCACGGGGGCCACGCTGGCCAGCTCTCAGCCCTCAGCCCACTGCCCCTCTGGCCATGCGGCTTTGTGGCAGATGGCTGGGCTGCCAGCCACGTCCTTGGAATAGGATGGGGGGCTGGGTCCCTGCAGGGGCCAGGGCTCTGTCCAGACACAGGGATGCTAGCAGCCAGCACAGCCTCAGGACCCTCTGGGCTGGCGGGAACGTCCCCGTCATGGCTGGGATGCTGGTTTCCAGGGATGACAAGTCTGTCCACTTACAATCTGTGTGGCTCGCTGTGATTTGTTTCCTTAAAGCTGTGGGCCCTGAGCGACGTCCTGTTTCCACATCCCCATCTGTCCTCCGTTCCCTCACCCCTGACCCTAGGAGCTCTCCAAGGGACCCCAGGGCCCAGAGATGAGGAGACCAGCCCCACCCAGTGACCAAGGCCCACCCTGAGGCCAGTGTCCAAAGCAGGGAGAGCAGAACAGCCCTCGTCAGTGGGCACCTGCCCAGGGTGCCAATGCTGGCTCCTGCAGGGTGGGTAGGAGTTTGCTGGAGGCACAGGAATCCAGGAGGAGACTGTGACCCAGCGGGGCTGTGGGTGCAGCAGGGCTGCGTGGGAACAGCAAGGAGGTGGCCTGCCGTCATCAGGCCAGGACCACGGCTCACATCGCACAAGCGCGGCTGGAAGCCCAGGTCCCCCACGCTCACTCCCGTCCCCCTGCGTGGGCCTCCTGACTTCTCTGCCTGCCCCCTGCAGCCCTGGGCTGCCAATGCCACATCTCTGCCCCCAGAGACAGCCCTCTCCACACAGAGGCCCGGCCTGCCTGCCCTGCCGCCAGCTGGGACCTGGAACCTGCAGAGGCCCCGTGGAGCCAGGCCTGTGTCACTGGGTGGACAAGTCTGACCTACCCCCAACAGCACCAGAGCTGCCTGGAGCCCACAGCTGGGTAGGCAGTGTCCCCCGACCGACCGCTGCTGCTCCCCACCCACAGGGAGCCACACACTCCCCAAGGCTCAGACACGCTGTGGTTGCCAGCGTCAGGGCCTTTGTTCAGAAACGGATTGTTTCCGAACAATTGATCCAAAGGCTGGCCTGGGATGTTAAACTCCTCAAAGAGAGGCCTGGGAGCTGAAGGCAGAGCCCTCTGCCACCCTTGGGGACACTGTGCTGCCCAGAGGCCAGCGCCAGGCAGGCCGGCCATGCCATCTGCCAGACATCGTCTCAGCTCATCCCAGGGGAGGGGAAGCCAAGGCTGGCCCCCACTGCACCCCCTCCACCAGGCTCACTGCTGATCTTAGAGCAGAGGCCTCAAGCGCAGCCAGGACTTTCCTTTGGAACAACAGAGAGTGGGCAGTGAGGCTGAGGGGCCCCCACACCTCCAGGGTTGACAGCCCAGGCAGCGCAGAGCCAGGACAGCCCCCGTGCCCCTCCAGGCTGGGGCCCTGGACCACCTGGCTCCGAGACTCACACTGCCCACCTGGGGGGTCTCCCCGGGGATCAGCGCAGGTGGTGGGGAACTGAGAGGCCTCCCACATTTCCATTCAACCCCCGAGCCAGGCCAGTATATGGGGACCTCACCCTCTACCGCCCCACATGGTGCAGATGGGAAAATGAGGCCTCAAGGAGGGCAGAACCTGCCCGGCGTCCCGCACTGGCAGGTGGGACTCCAACCCCCACCCGGTCCCCCAGCCAGGCCCTAACCATACAGTGCGGAGACGGCCGGAGCTTCCACCAAGCTCCTGGTGCTGCGGGTGAAGAGAAAGGGGAGCAGCACCCACCCTGGGGAGCAGCGTCTGGAAGGAGCCGAGGCCAGGAGGGCGGGAGGACAGCCCTTCGTGGTGGCACCTTGCTAAATAGCTCGGCTGCCTCCATCCCTGACAGGCGGGAAGAGCAGGCCCCGTCCTCTCCCCTCCGCCCCGGGACCTCCACTTCCATTAGGGGAAGAGTGTCGCTGGCAGCAGCTGAGCTGACCAGGCAGCACAGAGGCCTGAAGGTGGGGGTCCCAGGGCAGCAGAGCCCCCCACGCCCTCACCATTGCTAACCTGTGTCTGTGTCGGCACCTGCCTTGGACCAGGACACCTCGCTCAGGCTCACGGGCCCTGCACCCAGCCTCCCCCGGAATGAGGCTCCCAGGAGACACCCCGGCCCCACCACAGGCAGCCTGCTTCCCACTCCCCAACCTCTGCAGGGAGGGCTCAAAGGAAGGCTCAGTGGCTGTGCCCCAGCGGAGCTGCCATCACCGGGTGAGGGCCTCTATTTGCTGAAGGCAGGTAGCATGTCCCCAGATGTCCATGGGGTTAGGAGTTGGCACCAGTGCTCTGAACTCTGAAGGCCCCACCGGGTCCCCCACCACCAGGCCAGGACACATCCTACCTCCCCACCCTGGCTGCCCCAGGAACCCTCCCCACTCCACCCAAAGCTGGAGGCTCTGAGCACAGACTCTTGCCAGCAGCCCCACCCTCCCAGACCCCAGCAAAGATGCCTGCCTGGGAAATCCGAACCAACGCTGTAAAGAAATACGTCAATCAGCCTTCTGGAGCGAGCCCCTCCCTTCCCCTCCCAGGTAGGCCCCCAGGCTGCCCCAGGCCGTCAGTGACCAGGGGCCCTAGCCTGACCATGGGTGTGGAGGGGGGCTCAGGCCTGGACCCAAAGAGACCTTGGAAGCCAGGAGTACTGTGAGGGCCTTGGAGGGTCTGCATTTGGAAGAAGGGGGGCTTTGAGGAGAACATGGAGGCAAAGGTGGGAGAGAGGGGTGCCAGGCTGGGGTTAAGGGCACAGGAGAGCAAAGCTAAGGGGCAGCCAGGCAAGCTGGGGGCAGAGGGAAGCTGCACCCTGACCACCGCACACGAGCCAGGCATGGGACCCCACTCCCAGCCCCCCAACCCCTCCCAGTGCCCTGGCCGCACCTGTACCACTTACAGGGCTCAGCCCCTGCCCCCACACCCACAGCCACACCCAGGACGGGCACAGCCCCCCAGTCACACACAACTTTCCTCACCCCACCCCGGCTCCCACCACTGCCCACGGCTCTGGTCACTGGCTGCCCACTGGGGCTCCCCCATGCCCTCCCCACAGGCCCAGCAGGACTCCGGCAGCGGGGGGTCAGGACAGACACACGCGGGGATCTTGAGGTCCCGCCGGGGGGACGTCCCTCCCACCACCTTAACCCCTGAACTTCGCCCCTGAGAAGACGGAGGAGGAGGAGGAGGAGGCCAGGTTGTATCCCCTGGTCTCCCAACGAGTAGGAAATGGAGTGGGCGGCAAAAGCCCCGACAACAGGGGGCTGGCACCCCCAAAAGGAAAGGAGCCCTGGGGAAGGGGAGCGCTAGGCCTGACTCCTGAAATAGCCTCACGCCAGGAGGAGAGGGCTTAGCTCACAGTGACTCAGGGCACAGCAGGCGTGGACATCAGCCCGGGACAGACTCTCCTGGCAAAACCCCCACTCATTCTTATTTCCCCTGCCCCGCCCCCACCCTTAGACCCCCACTGGGCACCAGCCCAGGGTTGGGGGGGGCCAAGGCTGGTGTATGAAGCCAGCGGGGCTCCAGTTTGCTGGACTGGCGGGAAGGTGGTGATTGATTAATAAAAAATAATTGGGGCCGCCTGTAATCCCAGCACTTTGGGAGGTCGAGGCAGGCGGATCACGAGGTCAGGAGTTCGAGACCAACCTGACCAACATGGTGAAACCCTGTCTCTACTAAAAATACAAAAATTAGACAGGCGTGGTGATGCGCGCCTGTAATCCCAGCAATTCGGGAAGCTGAGGCATGAGAATCGCTTGAACCCCAGAGATGGAAGGTTGCAGTGAGCCAAGATCACGCCACTGCACTCCAGGCGACAGAGCAAGACTCTATCTCAAAAAACAAAGATAAAAAAGAGAGAATTGCATTTTCCAGCCCAGAATAGGGTCCCAAGGGGGTTCCTTGTGTGTTCTTTCCCAGGTTGAGGATGGGGGAGTGTGTCTGCCATGCGGTAGGAATGGAGGCTTCTCTGGGGTTCACAGAGCAAAGAGAGGTCCACCTGGGGGTCCTCCATGAGGGCGGGCTGCTCTCAGAGCAGAGAGACCCCCCCTGGGAAAGGACCCTCTTCTTTCTCCCTGAAGGCAGGTGTCCAGGCCACGGAGGACAGGAGGAGGGTGGAGAGGAGAGAGGGCTTCCCCTCCCAGGACCTGCCTGCCTGCCTGCCGGGCCCCCACACCCACTGCCCTTCAGTCATTCTGCCCCGTCCCCCCGTCACAGAAACACTCTGGTCACTCAGCCACCTGCAGCCCACCCCCCACACCCACCAGCTCCAGACCACACCCACACCTCCCACCACCCCTACCTCCAAGGCGCCCCTCAGGCCTGGGCCTCACCCCTCCAGAGCCTCTTGCAGAAAACAAACCCTTGGGTGACCCCTTCTGGAGGTGGATGTCTGGGCCAAGAGCCTCCTTGGGTCACACTCAGCAGGCAACCCAGGCTGGCTGTCCCTCCCAGGGACCCCCCTGCCTCCACCCCAAGCTGGCTAGAGAAGGAGCCTGGGCTCAGGAGGGGAGAGGTGGGAAGGCAGACCCAGGCTTCTGGGCACTTGGCCCAGCTGGACCTTATGCAGATGGACAGCCTCCTTCTGAAGCCCAGAGCCTAGGCAGGAGCTGAGGCCACACCCCCGACTCCCAGCTGCAGGAGCTGGTTCAGGAATTAAGAATAGGGCACAGAATGACCTTGGTATCACTTCACCTCCCCCAGCCCAGCCAGCAAAGCCCCAGGCCCGGTCCAGGTCATCCTCGGCCACCCCCAACTGCAGCTGCCCTCCACAGGAGCCAGGGACAGGACAGGGTCGCGGCTCCATGAGGCTTGCTCCAACCTGGCCAGGTGGGAATCCTGCCCCACCTCTTGCTGACATGGGGCTGGGGTGGGGTGGAACCCTGTCCGCCCTCTACCTCAGCTCTGCTCCATCCAGCACACAGGGCCCCCCCGGACACCACTGCAGGTCTGAGCACACCTGACCCCACCTCCGCAAAAGTTAGGGAAGCCTCTGCTGCCGGAGGCGCGGGAAAGCCAGTGTCTCCCGCGAACACTGATGGCCCACGGCCCTGCTCAGTGTCCAGGATTCCCTTCCGCAGCGCCTCCCGGCGACTGGGGGACCTTGGCGGCAGCCGGCTCAAACCCTCGGAAGTGAGTCCCTGGGCCCGACAGGTCGCCTGCCTGGAGGGGCGGGGCCGAGGCAAGGATAACGGCTGCACCGAGGAGGGAGCGGGCGCAGAGGAGGCACCGGGGCCCCGCGCAAAACTGGCCACGACCCGGACTCGAACCCCGACCCTAGGAGAGGCGCAGTGCCCGGGTGGCCCTGTCCGGCGCGCACGTGTGCAACGTGTCCCGTCTCATCAAGTGAGGAGAGGAGAGGAGAGGAGAGGGGACCAGGGCGTGGGGCAGCCGCTCTGAGTGCAGGGGGCGGACCCCGCGATGGTGCAAACCTTCCCCACCCGCCCAGTCCAGGCTCCTAGCCGGAGCAGCGGTCTTGGGTCCTCCCGGGACCATCCCCACAACCGCACCCAACGCCTGGCCGGGGCAGCGACTCCGACTCCCCAGACCCCGCGACCCGCCGCGGGAGGGACCCCGGGTCTTTCCCGGGCCCCCACCCCGGCCCCCGGACTCACCCAGAAGAGCAGGTTGAAGGCGAACATGAGGTACTTGACGGCCTGGAGGCAGGCGCGCGCCATGCCGCAGCGCTTCAGTTCTAGGAGGAAGATGAAGGAGAGGTCCAGGTAGAAAACCACGTACTTGTTGCCCTTGGGCGACGTGTAGCGCGCCTGGGCCGCCTTGGGGCCGGGGTTCGCGTGCAGGCCGAAGAAGGAGCCCCCGGCGTCCCCGCCGCCCGCGCGCCCGTATAGGCTGCTGTAGCGCCGGAAGGGGCCGCCGCGCGCGAAGTCCGGCTCCTTGCCCTCCGGAGAGGGGCTGCGCCGGTACGTGGACTCGTCCGTGCTGGAGCGGCGCATCGCGCCCGGGTGTGCCGGGGCCGCCGCTCAGCGCCCCGCACCCGCCGCCCCGGAACGCCCCATCCCGCCGGCCGGCGCCTGCTCCGGCCCCGCTCCTGCTCCCGCTCTGGCCCCCGCGGTGGCAGCGGGTCGCGCGGATCCGCTCGGACCCCGGCGGCGGAACCCAAACATCTGCCCGGCCCGCGCGCTGCGGCCCCCGCGCCCCCGACCCCGCGCGCCCCGCCCCGCGCCCTCCCGGCCAATCCCCGGCGGCTCCGCCCCCGCGCGGACCCCTCCCCTCCTCGCCGCACCGCCCGGCAAACCCCAGCGCTCCGCCTGGGCGGACCAATCGCAGCCCCCGGCAACGCACCAGCCGCGACCCCGGCCCCTTCGCCCGCGCCGGCGCCCCAGCCCCCCCACCTTCGCGCGCGGGAGGAAGATGCTCGCGAAGGGCGCCTGAGGGGACTGGAGGCCGGGGCCGGGGCCTGGGGATGAAACCTGGGCAGCTCTTAGCCCGCGACCGACACCCCCAGCCCTTCCCCCCACGGTACCTCGCCCGGACTCTGGCCCCGGGCCGGGCTTGGAGACCTCCAACCACGAGAACGATACTCAAAGCACTACGCAAATGGAGGGTGACCCCGTTGCTGTCTGGTGGCAACTTGAAGCGGCTCCGCCCCGGGCGCCCTTGGGGAAGCCCTGAGTGCCGGCGGCGGGTGGGGGGCTGGGTCAGCCTGCACTGCATGGAGCAGGTGTCGTTGAGTCTTTGACTATATGGGAGGTTCCAGAACACAGAAAAGCGCAGGTGTGATTCCTGAGATACCCACCCCCCCTCCACCAGGCAGCCCCGCAGGAGGCTGGCAGCCCCAGGACAGACCCAGAGCGCTCCAGGTGGGCCCGGCTCGGCCTCCGCCCCGTGCTGTCCCCAATGCGGGAGCGGGGCCGGCTTCAAGGGCAGTCGCGCGCACCCACCCCAGCTGGCTTGATGCTCTGCTGTTCCCGTCTTGAAATTCTTGGTAATTTTTAAACAAGGGGCCCAGAATTTCATTTTGCTCCAGCCCAGGCTGGAAGTCAGCCTGTAAAAGACCCCACCCCACCCCTTGACAGGTACAGACATACCGGCCCCGTGCGCAGATGTGCCTGCACTCCTGGGTGTCATCACGCCGGATGCGCACACACCTCCCACAGCCGGAGATGGGGACAGAGGCCCCCAGCTGTGCCCTGCAGCCTACCCCACGCCTCTGAAGCCCCAGCCCCACCACAGGGCACAAGGGCCCTGCGGTGTTGGGAAGATATCAGCACGTGGCCCAGATTCCTGGCAGATGACCTGAAGCCCAGAGGTGGGGAATGAGGAAGGGCAGGAGGAAGAGGAGGGAGAGGAAGCTAAGGGAGGGGAAGGGGGTGCTCCATGGCAGGGCTGACCAGCTCTGGAGGCCTGGGTCCTCCTGGAGTGACTGATGTGGGAGGTGGCAGGTCTGGGGAGGGCTGCCGTGGAAGCCCCGGGTGCCCAGGGAGGTCCCGCAGCTCTGCCCACCCCTGACGACCTGGGCTGGGTGCCCCAAGCCTCTGCTGCCCCCCAAGGGCTCTGTAGAGAACTGCAGCCCAAGCCCCAGGGCAGCACCCCATGCCCAGGTCCTCGCTGGGGGAAGGGGACAGGGGGCCCCCAGAGAACAGGAGGCTGGCCTGGAGGTCCCCTGAAGGCCCACAAGGCCATCCTGGGGCTTCCCATGGCCCCTACCCTGTCCTTCCCCTGGGGGTTCTTTGGTGGGTCTGGGCCCCAGGAATGGGTCAGAACGGCGGCCACGCATCGGGGCCCAGCAGAGACCCCAGGAGCCCTGGGACCCCAACCCTGACAGAAACCCTCACCCGCAGCTCTGCCCAGAGAGCAGATGGCGCCCGGCCCCCTTCCCCTGGCCACGCAGGTGCAACCTGAGGGCAGACACTCAGCCGTGTGCAGCGCCTCCAGGGAGCTCACATGTGACCTGGGCAGCGCTCAGAGCACCTACTCGTGGGCCAGGCAAGGGCAGGTGCCACGGGGACCCGGGAGGACCCCAGGCTGACTGGGAGAAGCCAGACCCCACCTGCAGTCAAAAACACCACCCGAGCCACCCCAAGGAGAGCATCCGCCGCCAGGCTAGCCAGTGGCACCCCTGCCCCATCTCCCCTGCGTCCCTCTGTGGCTGGGGGTGGAAGGGGAAGTGGCAGGCAAGGCTCGAGGGTCCCAGGCGGGTGGGAGGGCGAAGGGAGAGCTGGTCTGGGTGCCTGCACTGAGCCCAGCGCCCAGGATGCAGTCCCAGTGTCCCCTAAGACCCCTCCCACCCCCTTTCCCATCTACAAAGCTCTGCACACATCGCCCAGGTGAGCAGATGAAGCCTATTCAAGAAGAAATCAAAAACCTCACAAGGCCACCGAGGGTCAGGAGGAGCGGGGTTGGGGGGGGGTGGGGGCGGGGAGCTGGGCTTGCTTCTGTTGCCAAGTTCAAGATTCACACTGGGTTGCCCAGACGCAGTCAGGGGCCCGGGCAAGGCACAGTGTCAGAGCTCAGTCGGGGAGGGTCCTTCAACACCCCAGTCGGGGTGTTCTGGGACCCTGTCTCCAAAGTCCAGCCCCTCCCCACGGGAGCTCCAATTAGATACTCAGGTGTGGTGTCAAAGTGTCCGCTGGCAAGGCCCCTGGGCTGGCAAAGTGAGACCCAGAGGCAAGCCCACTGCTGCCCACCACAACCATCCAGCCCAGCCGGGCCCTGACATACCTGGGCTGGCCACAGGAAAGAGACCAGGCGGTGCTCAGGGTCCCTGAAGGCTGACCAGTGGGCAGGCAGGTGGTGGGTGCGACCAAGGAAGCCCCAAGCTCTGCAAAAGGAAAGATGGGCAGAGTGGAGCCCTGGCTTCCACCCTCAGCTGTACAGCCAGAGATGCTCCCAGAGAAGGGCAGGGAACCCCCACCTGGGGCCAGGTCCCTACAGGGCAGAGGGGCAGTCGGGGTGGGCAGGGGATACACCACCAGACTCGGAGAAGAAGACCACTGAGGAGTAGCCCCAACCAGGAAAGCTCTGAATCAATGACTGAGTCACCAAATTCTGCTCCTTCAGGGCTCTGAGACAGCCAGGCAGGGACACAGACTCACACTCACAGAGACACGGTGTGCAGAGAACACATGTTCAAAGACGTACTCACAGCACGGACATGCAGAGACACAGGCCAAGACACATGCTTGCACCCACACAGACACGCAGCAGTGCCTCCTCCCTGGGGTCCTGGACCCCTGGACCAGCCTGCTGTCTGCTTCCTACCAGGCACAAGCACCCCTACCCCACCCTGCCTTGGGCTCTGAGCAGACACCCAGGCTCAGGAAGGGGCCTCACGCCCTCCCTATGGAGCTGCCAGCAATGACCCGCAAGGCCCTCCTCCACCATGGGTGCCAGGCTGGGGAGTCTGTCCTCCTCCTGGCACTCAGGGATTTCTGGCCAGGGAGAGGCCCCAAACCCACCTGGGCAGCCAAACGCAGTGCCCACTACTCCCTGCCCTGCTGGCTCAACCCCGCAACACCTCGCCCCTCAGAACTAGCTCTCTGGAGTGAGGTAACTGTCCTTCCAGTAGCCCAAGGGCAGGAGGGAACCATAGAGCCTCCACCCCAACCCTGGCTGAGCGAGAGCCCCAAAAGAGACATCCAGAGCTCTGCAGGTTGGAAAAGCCCTGGGGACTGAGCTGCAAGGAGATCTCAGACACCCACAAGGCCAGACGGAGGTCCAACCCAAAGAGGGGCCTGCCCACATGATAAAGCAGCCTGTCTGCAGCAGCCTGGGTGCCATGCCCGTGGAGCAGCCTCTCTGAGCCCCAGCAGCAGGGCAGCAGCTCAGTCCTGGCCCAGCCCAGACCTCGGGGTCTCCACACAGCTCAGCAGGGGCAGCTCAGGACAGACAGCAGAGCCAAGCCCACACACCCTGGCCCCCCAGGCCCACGGGCTCTGAGGCAGCTTTGAGGAGGTAGGGAGGCCCGCCAACACAAACAGCCTATGCTGTGGGCTTCCTGGCTGCCTCAGCCCCTGCGGGGCCCCAGTGCCCGTCCCAAGCCCTCACCCTGGGGGGTCCCAAGCAAGCTGGCACTCCCTCATGCACACAGAGGAGCAGGGACTGGGGGCTACATACAGAGTCTGGGTGGGACCAGGCCCCTCCCACCCAAACCTGAGCCCTGGAGGCTGGAGACACCACTCTGATACCCCCAGCAGCCCCAGGGGAGGGACAGATAGTCCAGAGGTCCCCCAGTCTTTCCTCCTGGGACCACCGAGGCTAACCCCACACTCCAGGCCTTCCCTGTAATCCTTTCCTGCACTGTTGGGTATTTATCTGCTGGGAGTCGGGGGTGAAGGCAACAGACTTAGGACCCTGGGTGGGGGGCACCTTCCCACACCCCCCAGGCTCCAGGAGCAGCCGCACCTCAGGTGCCATCCCACCACAGCCCTGGCCCTGGCCCCTGCAACCTAGACCCCTATAGAACAGTCTGGGGGGGCACATCAGGCCTGGGCAGCTGCATGGCAGGCAGTGACATTCCCAAATATCACCAGCCCCGACATATGAGTGGTGAGGCTAGGGTCAGTTCAGTCTCGGCCCCATCTACAGGCCCCACCGCTCACAGCGCCGGTCTCCCAGGACCGTAGAGAGGACCCGGCCCCATCTACAGGCCCCACTGCTCACAACGCCAGTCTCCCAGGACCGTAGAGAGGACACGGACGGCGTGGGTACGGTGGGCAGTGGCCTTGGCTGTGTGCACCGCTGAGGTGTCGGGCACGTGTGCTCGTGGCGCCGTGTGCACCCACCCCATCCCACAGCACCCTGGGGGTGAGCACACATCTGTCCCAGGCATGGACAGGGCCAGAGAGCACAGGTGTGGGGGCGAGGCTGGGGACAGACACCTTCAACACCCTCTCCCAGTCAAGGTCATGCCCAGCCTCAGCGGCAGGAGGGATGCAGCCCTCCGGGCGGGCAGTTTCTGATCCCACCTGAGCTTTACAGACAGGGAAACGTGGGCTGGGATCCCAGACCAGAGTGCAAGTTCAGCTGAATCCCAGCCAGGGCTCAGCCCGTGCTCCCCCTCCCAGCCCTCCTGGTCCCGTGGCTGGCCTGTTTCCAGGGCAACACCCAGGGTGGGAGGGGTCAGCAGCTAAAACTTCAATCATGGGTTTCCCCTGGTCCTTTGCCCTGAAGTGATCCCTCCTCTAGCAGGAAGCAGCCGGGGGAGCCCACCCTCTGCTCCCTGTGCCCTGCCCTGACCACAGGAGGCTCCACAACGCCCCCTTCTATAAAACCAGCGCCTCACCCTCCTGGCCCCATCCCAGACCCCCCCCCCCAGAAGCCAGGCCGAGTCTGCGCCAACACTCCACACCCAGGAGAGAGGGGCCCCCACCCGCCCCTGCTGGCGGGCACAGTGCCCTGCCCCGCCACCAGGCTCCCTCCCACCCCCGCTTGCCTGAGGAGGGCCAGGCCCAGGCTCCCCAGGGTCCTCAGGTAGAGCCCAGTCGGGACTGAGGACAGGCCTGGGCCCCCAGGGGCCTCCGCACATATGTGGTGGGGGCTCGGGGGAGATGCACAGAGCCTGAGGCTGGGGCAGTCTCCAGATCTCAGGGGCTCTGCTGGGAAATGGAGGGATAGGAAGCGCACACACTCGGAATTCCAAGAATGTCAGCTTGGCCCAAGCCAGGATTTGGAGAGCAGCTCACTCCCCACCACCCCTTGCTCTGAGTAAACAACTCCTGCAGGCAGGAACAGGGGCGGGACAGGCCCTGGACCCTCCTCCAAGAAGCCTCCAGGCCCCCACCCACTCCCCAGGGCCCACCCTGCTAACATCCGGGACCCCCCTGCCCCCCTCACCTCCACAGCCACCAGCAGCCTCGCAGCTGAACCTGGCTCTGACCCCAGGCCACCGTTACTCAGGGCCCCTGTCCTGCCCTTCTGCCCAGAGCAGGATGTGCGTCCACTCATCCTGGGGGGAGGGGGTCAGGGAAGGGAAGTGGCCTCGGCTCGTGGCTCCGCACGTGGCTGGGTGGGGTATGGCAAATGCCACTGGGGAAGCTGCCCAGGGCCCTGGCCAGGGTGGGAGCGGAAACCCCAAGCGTGCAGTGGATCTGGCTAGCACCACTCCGGACCCAGAAAACCCTTCGTCCTCCTCCTCTGCAACTAAGGCAGACGCAGCATTGCCCTGAGAAAGCGGCAGCTGATGCCTGGAACCCAACACAGGTCCCACCCCAGCCAGAAGCCCCAGGCCGGCAAACCAGCCCAGAGCCCCCCATGGGTGCCGCTTTGCGGCCCACCCACCCCCACAGCCCACCTCGCACCTCCAAGGAGCCTTCTTTGCCTCTCACTGCACACCGACCCCCCATTTCCTCACCCCCACCCCAGGGGCACAGCAAGAAGGGTGCTGGTGCCAGCCCCCCCGCACTCCATCCGAGAGACACGGGCTCCTCGTCCCTCGTCGTCCGTAGGCCCTGAGCTCCAGGGCAAGCCAGAGCTGAGGCCTTCAGGGGGTCCTGCCAGTGCAGCCTCCGGGAGTCTGCCCAGGGATCCCCTGTGCCGGGGTCTTCCAGGTTCAGCTCAAAAAGCACCTCTTCCACGACTCCCTCCCCGACCTCCCTCCCGGGTCCCCTCTCCCCGTGCTCAGAGGCGCGTCTGAGCGTCGGGAGCTCGGGACGGCGAGCAGCCAGCAGAGCCGGGACCCGGGAGGGCGCACCCCGACCCCATTCCCGGGAAAGAGCGGAAAGAACGCGGACAGGAGCCCGGGGCGGGGAGCTGCCGGCGGGGGCTGTAATTGCGCAGCTGAGGCCAGGGCGGCGCCCCTAGGGGCTGGGCCGCGTCCAGAATGGGACCCCCGAACTCAGCGCCGAGAGCCCCGGACACCCCGCGGGCAGAGGCCGAGGCGGAGGAACCCACTACTCGGCGCGGCCAGGAGGGGCGGCAGGAAGACCCGCCCCGGCCCCCGCCCGCCCTCTCCCCGAGCCCCCGCGCCGGACCCCACTTGTTGCTGCGTGTCGGCTCTGGGCTCGAACTCGCGCGCCCCGCTCGCGTCCGGCTCCAGCCGCTCCCGGTCGGACACCTCCGGCCACGGGACCCTGGCCGCACGCCCCCACAACCCCCAGGCGCAGTACCTGCGCCGCCGCCTCCCGCTCGCGCCGCCCGCTCCCGCCGCGCAGCTGTCAGTCAAGCGGACACGAGAAACGCGAACCGCCGCCGCAGCTTTACGGCCCTGCTCAGACGCCGTAGCGCCGGGATGCACCAAGACGGTGGGCGGGGGTGTGCGGTCTGCTGCTGCCGCGGCCGCGCGGGCCCGGGAGCCCCGGGACGCACAGGCCCAGGAGCCCCGGGACGCACGGGAAGCCCCTATCGCGGCGGAAACTGCGGCCAGCGGTGGCGGGGCCGGTGGAGGGACGGCCGGAACAGCGGAGAACGAGCGGAGCCGATTCTCCCGCAACAGTGGACGCGCCCGGGGCGGGGCCTGGGGGGGTTCTTCGCGTGCGGCCGGGCCGGGCCGGGCAGTCTGGGACGCGCCGCCGCCATGATCATCCCTGTACGCTGCTTCACTTGTGGCAAGATCGTCGGCAACAAGTGGGAGGCTTACCTGGGGCTGCTGCAGGCCGAGTACACCGAGGGGTGAGGCGCGGGCCGGGGCTAGGGGCTGAGTCCGCCGTGGGGCGCGGGCCGGGGCTGGGGGCTGAGTCCGCCCTGGGGTGCGCGCCGGGGCGGGAGGCGCAGCGCTGCCTGAGGCCAGCGCCCCATGAGCAGCTTCAGGCCCGGCTTCTCCAGCCCCGCTCTGTGATCTGCTTTCGGGAGAACCTTATCCCCTGAAGTCTGGGGAAGAGAACGGAGTTGGGCTTCAAACCAGTGGTGTCCTGGGGATTCTAGGTGGCCTGGCGGGTCGCAGGCGTCTTGTCACCCGCAGTAAAGCCCTTGGCCTCCGCCCTATTCCCATCTCTGCCCCCAGGCCCACCCCATGTCCTGCAAACCTCGCTGCAGGACGGGCGGGCGCGGCGGCTGACATCTGTAATCCCAGCAGTTTGGGAGGCCGAGGCGAGAGGCTTGCTTGAGCCCAGGAGGTCGAGACCAGCCTGGACAACCTGGGGAGACCCTGATCTCCAGAAATTTATTTTATTTTATTTTTCTTTTTTGAGACGGAGTCTCGCTCCGTCGCCCAGGTTGGAGTGCAGTGGCGCGATCTCGGCTCACTGCAACCCCCGCCTCCTGGGCTCCAGCAATTCTCCTGTCTCAGCCTCCCGAGTAGCTGGGACTACAGGCGTGTGCCACCACGCCCGGCTAATTTTTGTATTTTCAGTAGAGATGGGATTTCGCCATGTTGGCCAGGCTGGTCTGGAACTCCTGACCTCAGGTGATCCACCCGCCTCGACCTCCCAAAGTGCTGAGGTTACAGGCGTGAGCCACCGCGCCTGGCTCTATCTTTTTAATTCGCCGGACATGGCGGTGCACACCTGTGGTCCCAGCTACTTGGGAGGCTGAGACGAGAAAATCGCTTGAGTCTGGGAGGCAGGTGGAGGTTGCAGTGAGCCAAGATCACGCCACTGCACTCCAGCCTGGAAGAGAGAGTGAAACTCCGTCTCACGCACACACACACACAGAAAAAGAAATGCAGGGTAGACTTGCTGACCACCCTCATCAGGCTTTGTAGGGGAGGCGTCTTTCTCCTGTGCTTGTCCCTTGGTGCTGCTGTCACCACGGTGCCTGAGTCTTGGTGCCCCCGCTGGAGTCTGACCCTCGCCCACTGAGTCTTCGTCACATGTGAAGCCCTGGGCTTGTGTGCGCCAGCCTGCCATCGGCACTTGGTGCAGCTTGCTGGACAAACGAGGAAAGCGAGTGGGCTGCTAGACTGAGTGGCTGGCGGCCTGTCCAGACCCTTTCCCCGGATAGGAACGGCAGGGGCCTCCCATGTGGCCTCCCCTTTCCCAAGCTTCTGTGTCTCTGCACATTGGAGCCATCGGTGTGGGAGTTTTCTGGAGGTCTTGAGGGTGACTGGAGCTAGGTCCCAGGGAAATGAAAGCTTCTAATTGGCTTGGGAAGTGGGAGAGGTGGCTCCGTGGAGAAGCAGTCTCTCTCTGATGGAAGGAAGCAGAGGTGAGGAAAGACCCCACAGCGGCAGAGCAGGGCTTGCTCTGGCTGGGGTGGGGGTGAACCAGCTAAGGGCAGGCCCCTGGAGAGCTACCCTGCCGTGGCCAGTGCTGGATGAGGTGGCTGCACATCAGCACCTTGGTGGTCTTGGTTTTCTAAGCTCCCCGCAATTACTTCGTTTTCATTTCATTTACATTTCTTACATACGTTATACACACACACGTACAGCCAGAGTAGGTGGGAGAGGAGGCTCCTCACGCTCCACCCAGGGTTCTGGGCATTTCCAGGTTACTCCAGCCAGGATCATACTGCTAGATCTCAGCTTCTGAGCCGGGTGAATCTGTTCGCCTTGCCGGTGGCGGGGGGGGTGAGGCCAGCAGGCAGTGAGAGGCAGGTTGGATGTGGGCTCCAGGCCTTTGCAGACCGTAGAGAACTCAGTTGGCCTCTGCTCCTCCCCTCGACACAGGGATGCGCTGGATGCCCTGGGCCTGAAGCGCTACTGCTGCCGCCGGATGCTGCTGGCCCACGTGGACCTGATCGAGAAGCTGCTCAATTATGCACCCCTGGAGAAGTGACCACGCTGGAACCCACCCACCCGCTGTGCTGACCATGGGCCCTGAGCGTCCTGCCCCGAATTCACGAGGCTGAGGCATCCGGGAGCTGGCGTAATGCCTGGCCGCAGTGTGTGTGTATCCGATACCCCACTCTGGAAGGAACCATCCAGTAAAGGTCTTTCAGAACCACTAAGGTCCCAGCCCTCACTAGGATGTCAGGAGCCAGGTCTAGGCCCAGCTTTCACACTGTGGCAGCCCAGTGAAGCAGACTGGGCCATGAACTCTCCTAGCCCTGGGGCCAGCCTGTTCCACAGGCACCCCTGCAGGAGGCGCTGCCAGGAGAGCCTTCCATCTCGGGGCTCTTTGAGGTTCCCTCCTTCTGGGTGTTCTTCAGGCTGAGCAGAGAGGCTCCTGTACCCTCTCTCTCGGAATCTGAAGAGCCAGATTTAGGCCGGGCAAAGGGGCTCACCCCTATAATCCCAGGACTTTGGGAGGCCAAGGCAGGAGGATCACTTGAGTCCAGAAATTCAAGACCCGCCTGGGCATCATAATGAGACCCCATCTCTACAACAAAATTTAATAAATTAGCTGGGCACAGTGTTCACACCTGTAGTCCCGGCCACTCGGGGCTGAGGCAGGAGGATCACTGGAACCTGGGAGGTTGCCACTGCAGTGAACTGTGTTTGCACCACTGCACTCCAGCCTGGGCAACAGAGTAAGACTCTGTCTCAACACAACTATGAAAAAGAAGAGAGAAACAGATTTTCTGGGGCCCAGTCTCTGCTGTGGTCAGGGCTGCCAGTACCTGCTGGCCTCTGCCCACTGCTGCCTGTCCCTGAGCGTCCCACCCAAGCCCAGCAGGGAGGGCAGGCCTTAAGACGCTCCTAGCTGGGTTGGGAGGTGGCCCTAAGGAGGCCCTGCTGTCCAGGCAGTGCTGCCAGCAAGCACCCCAGGTCAGATGTCCCTGCTGCCCAGATATCTGGCGTGGTGTCCTCTGGTAGGGGAGAACGGGTCTGCCTGAGGGTCTACAGTTCTGAGCCTTAAGGACAGGAACCTGGGCAGTGGGGGGCACAATCAGTGACCGAGCCCTGGCTCCCATCTCCAGGGTACCTCTGCCAGACACCAGGCTCTGGTACCTCCTACCCTCTGGCCCCCAGCAGGGCCTATAGGCTCCTCCATGTAAACCCCCTCACCCTACTGCCCCCACCCCACCTGCCTGACACCTCTTACCTGGGCACGGCCCCCAGTCTGCACCCTTCCCACGTCTGCTCCCCACCATGGCCAGAAGGGTTTTGGAAACCATTTTTCCTCTCCCCCAGGGGCTCTGAACACACCATCTCACCATTTAGGAACATGTTCAGTTCTTTCTGCTGAGGCCTGTGCTCAGCTGTCCCTGGCATCAGACCTCCCTTCCCTGGAGCCCCATGGGGGGTGTGTCCTCCTGGCTCTGCCCTTCTTTGTCCTGACACTGGGCGGGGCGGGGGTGGGTCTGTCTGCCCTGCTGGATGCGAGGGCCCTGAGAACAGACCACCATCTGTTACCAGCACAGCGAGCTCGTCCATCTGCTCTACAAGTGTTTATTGAGCACCTGTATGTGGCAGGGATGGTTGTAGGCATCTGGGTACAGCAGTGAACAAAACCAGGAAGGCCCTGCCCCGCAGAGGCACATGAACAGGGCAGTGCACAGTGACCACGTGGCATTTCGGGTGGTGGTGACTGCGGTGGGGAAGACAGCAGGGGCGCTGTCGAGGGAGACGAGGGCTGGGTTGGGAGGGGCAGAGGCCCAGGCCCAAGGGTCAGAGCTCACCTGGCTTCCCCAACTGGGATGGGGCCATGTGGCTGCAAGGCAAGGCCCCAGTTCCTGAAGGGCCTGGGGTGTGAAGGGTTTCTCCCCCTGCTGGGAACGCTCGGCCTTGCGCCACTCAGCAAGGCCCCTTCCAACCTGCATCTGACCACCAGGCAGAGAGTGTGTCTGGGGAGCCCCACAAAACACCCCCCAAACTTCGCCCCGCCAGCCCCCCTCACCTCCCCTGCTGGGCATTGGTGCGCAGCAAAAGGCACTTGAAGCTGCCTCTGAGGTTGGGGTCCCCAGAGGTTATGGTGATGGCACAGGGTGGGTGTCATCAGGGAGCCCAGCCCCTGGTACTCAGTGGTCTCAGCTCAGTAGTTGGGTGCAGCAGCAGCAAGGCCCAAGGCAGGGTCAGTAGTGCTCCAGCTTGAGACTCCTGTACAGGCAGCACGTGAAGATCATGCCAAAGACCTGTGTGCAGAGCCGGGTGGGCGTAAGCAGACGTCATGGGGCCACCAGCCACCGCCCTGCCCCGTGTCCCCAACAAGATGACCGCCACCCCCATGTGCCCTCACCTGCACACAGGCAATGCCGATCCCCACAGCCCCAATGACCCTCAGGTGCTCCTGGATGAAGGTCTCCAACTTGGTGATGCAGCCGCCCTGCGGGGCGCGGATGGGTGTTGAAGGCGGGCCCAGGGGGCACCTCCCACTGGCCCCTACTGCCTCCAGCCTCCAGGGTGTGGCCAAACCCACCCCTAGCACCTAGGCAGCCAGGCCACCAACAGCTCAGCCAGCCACTGGGCTGCCCACCCACTTCCTCGTAGATATTGGAGGTGTGGTCTCACTGCCCACATCCGGCCACTGGGGTGACCCCCCACCTCCTGGTAGATATTGGAGGCGTGTCCCACTGCCCACAGCCAGTCACTGGGGTGCCCCCCCACCACCTCGTAGACACTGGAGGCATGATCCCGCTGCACACCCACCTCCACCTTGTAGATGTTGGAGGCATGGTCTCGCTGCCCACAAAGAGCCACCACCGTCTTGCAGCAGCTGTCTGGGACCACACGGCCACCGGCCTCCTGTGAGCGGATCCACTCACTGTCTCGCCAGTCCTGTGAGTTGTTGCTGCCACAGCAGTGGAACTGCATCAAGAACAAGGCTGGGGTTGAGACCTGGGGCCAGAGGCTCCTGCAGAGGTCCAGGGAGGCCCTGGGGATGCACGCGCCCTCCCAGCACCACCCACCCACCTCCTGCTGCAGCTGGTCCACAGCGCTGGTCACAGCCTCATGGCCCGGCTGGTGGTAGCGCTTGGTCATGGTGTCCTTCAGGTTCTCCTTGAGCTCCGTGTTCAGCTGGGGTTGGGGTGCAGGAAACTTCAGCCTCAGTCTAAGACCTTCCAAGGTGGGGCTGGCAGAGCCCCAGGATGGCCGGTGGGGAGGCCCGGGGCCCAGCTCAGAGCCACAGGGAAGGGCTGAGGTCACACCTCGGCATGAGGGGAGGTTGGGTGGTGCCAGGACCGTCACCAGGGTGACAATGAAGTGCGGCAGAGGCAGAGAGAGCTTCTGGATCCCCTGGACACCTGCCTGACCCCATGTGCCCCTGCAGAGACCTAGACCCCATCTCCAGGGCCCAGTGGCACATTGGTTAGCTCTGGGACCATGGGGGTGGGGGTTGGGGCTAGCCACGCGTGTGCATGTGTGTGTGTCCGCCCCGCCTGTGCATGTCTGTGTCTCTGAATGGCCTGCCCAGGCCCCTCACCTGCTGGTAGTAGGCGTAGGCGAGGATACCAGCGATGATCTCCAGCAGAAAGATGATGAGGAGCAGGATGAAGTACTGGGGGGGGCAGCACAAGGGCACCCTTGTTCTGAGGCCTAGTGCCTAGACCTAGTGCACCTCAGAGCAGAGTCCCCACCCCGGCTCCCCAGGCTCCAGGTGGGGGCTGAGGGGCGGCCACCCTCCCTGAAGCTTTCTTGCGGAGCTGGTGTCTTCCCTCAGCTGGTCCAGCAGGAACGTGGGGACCCACAGGACTAGGCAGGTGTGGAAGGACCGTGACCCCCCCCCCAGGTGAGCACAGCAAGGCACAGGTTCAAAGCCTGCAGCGACAACCTCCTTGGGCCCATCTGCACCACCCCCACCCCGTGGCCCTGCGCCCTCCTGACCAGGCGCAGCAGGTTCCGACGCTCCTTGAAGGTGGCGCAGCAGCCCAAGACCCCAGTCACCATGACGACAGTGCCCGCCACCACCAGGATGTAGGCTGTGGCCAGGTAGGTGCCTGAGGCCAGCAGGCTGATGTAGTCACTCTTGAGGGCCAGCGTCCAGATGCCCACTGCCATGACAGCCAGGCCAGCCAGCTACAAGCAGTACACAAAGGTCATCGCATCTGCCCAGGTCTGATGGTGGCCCGGGAGGGGTGGGGGTGGGGGTGGGGGCAAGGCGACCCCTCCTCACCCAGAAGCAGCAATTGTAGGTAAACAGCAGGTACTTGAGGCAAACGGTGCCACATGTTGTCTTCTTCTCGTTGAACTCACCCATCCTGGGGCTGAGGAGGCAGGGGAGGGGTCAGCGGGGCCACAGCACCGGGCCCCTGACTGGGAGACGGATAGGAGGGGACACAGGGCCAGGCGCGGTGGCTCACGCCTGTAATCCCAGCACTTTGGGGGGCCAAGGCAGGCAGATCACAAGGTCAGGAGATCAAGACCATCCTGGCTAACACGGTGAAACCCCGTCTGTACTAGAAATACAAAAAATTAGCCGGGCGTGGTGGCGGGCGCCTGTAGTCCCAGCTACTTGGGAGGCTGAGGCAGGAGAATGGCGTGAACCCGGGAGGCGAAGCTTGCAGTGAGCCGAGATGGTGCCACTGCACTCCAGCCTGGGCGACAGAGTGAGACTCCATCTCAAAATAAATAAATAAATAATAAAAAGAGACTAGCAAATTAACCCAAAGAAAGTAGAGGAAAGGAGTCCAGGTGCGGTGTCTCATGCCTATAATGCCAGCACTTTGGGAGGCCAAGGCAGGTGCAATCACTTGAGGTCGGGAGTTCACAACCAGCCTGGCCATTGTGGTGAAACCCCATCTCCATCAAAAATATACAAAAATTAACTGGGCGTGATGGTGGGCGCCTGTGGTCCCAGCTACTTGGGAGGCTGAGGCAGGAGAATGGCATGAACCCGGGAGGCGGAGCTTGCAGTGAGCCGAGATGGTGCCACTGCACTCCAGGCTGGGCGACAGTGAGACTCCATCTCAATAAAAAAGAAAAAAAAGAGGGGACACAGATACCCAAGCCAGCCCAGAAGTCGGGGCAGAGCCAGCCACTGTCCTGGGAGGCCTGTGAATGAGCCCCTGTGGGAACAGGACGTGTCACTTCCTAGCGACTCAGGAGCCCTGACAGCCAGGACAGACCCCTGGTGCCCACAGACAGGACAGGGGTCATGGAGGACCTCCCGCCATCACTGCTGACTCACCCCTGCTAGCGGCCGGGGGAGGAAGCCCTAGCGGGTACCTCCGGTGAGCTCATGCCAGCCTGCCCGCTCCCCACGGCATTCCCGGGGCCGCACGTCACAGGCTGGCAGGAGCCTATGGGCCTGCAGTAAGGGCGGAGGAGGCCACTCAGACAGCAGAGGGGTAGGGGCTCAGACAGGCCCCAGCTCAGCCCCTTCCTAAGCTCTCCAGGCCTGTTTACGGTCTGTTAAAGGGCAGCCCTTCCTTCATCCTGGCCGGGGTGGGGAGAATGGAGCGTGGAGGCAGGTGGAGCCTGGCAGACTGGGAGGGTTTTTCCTGGACAGGCGACCCACACCAACCTGAGGGGGCAGCACAGACAGGCTATGCCCCTCCCCAGATGCCCCGTGCCCGCCCGACCTGCAGCAGTGGGCAAGCTGTGAGCATGGGGAAGCCAGGGAGGGCGTGGGGTGCAGACAGCAGCTGAGCGCCCTGGGCCACGTTTCCAGACAGCACAGCCAGGTCTGGACTTTCGCCGCCCCGCCTGCTCTGCCCCACCCTGGCCAGCACTCACCAGCCGGGCTGGAAACGACTCCTCTGCAGGACAGGTGGACAGAAGCTCCCCAGGACTCTAGGCTAGAGGGGCAAGGACATGTCAGGTCACAGGTTACAGGTCTGGCCCAAGGGCCAGAGTGGGCCGGGTTCATTCTGGAGGCAGAGAGAGGAGTGGCCAAGCCCGGTATTTTAGTCTGGGCTAGGGTGGGGCAAGGCACAAGACATTTTGTTTTTTTCTTTTTTTCTTTTTTTGAGATGGAGTTTCGCTCTGTCACCCAGGCTGGAGTGCAATGGCACGATCTCAGCTCACTGCAACCTCCGCCTCCTGAGTTCAAGCAATTCTCCTGCCTCAGCCTCCTGAGTCACTGGGATTACAGGCACCCACCACCACGCCCAGCTAATGTTTGTATTTTTAGTACAGACAGAGTTTCACCATGTGGACCAGGCTGGTCTCGAACTCCTGACCTTAGATGTTCCACCCGCCTTGGCCTCCCAAGGCAGACGACATTTCGGGACAGTCTGATCCTGGGAGGGACCTCATACCTTCCCCCAGGTGCCCCACTCTTGGCCTTCGCTCCAGACCCATCACTGGCCCTTCCCCCACAAACAGCGGCAGCTACAGCCTGGGAAAGAGGCATCATGGAATGGAGCTGGAGGGGGACAGACCTTACCACTGAGCTGAGAGGGGATATTCACCCTCCATGAAGGAGCCAGGGCCTAAATACACGCAGGAAGGGTGGCACAGGCAGACCCTGCCACCAGCGGGGGGATGTGTCTGCCACCGGGGGGCGGGGTGTGCGTCTGCCACCGATGGGGGGATGTGTGAGCCCCTCAAGGACCTGCCCCTGGCCTGGCTGTAAGGTCCCAGGCTTTCTGGAGAAGTTGGTTCTGGGCACAGATGCGTCCTCCACCGCGAGGACACAGGCGACCCGCTGAGGAGTGGCCCCTCTTCCCAGGAATGCCTGGTCCCTCTGGACCCCCTGGGAAAGGGCCTTCCAGAAATAGTTGTCTGTTCCTCCCCAAGTCCCCGGGACCTGCACCAGGCCCCTGGGCGGCCCGCGCCCTATCAGGGGGAGCCCCAGTCAGGGGGACCTGGGACTCCGCGCCTGCCAAGCGTCCCCGGGGCACTGCAATGAGGTCACCGCCGCCGCCGACCCCGCCCGGCGCGGCCAATGGCGCGCCCACTTGCACGCGGGCGGGGGCTGCTGCGGGCGGAGGGAAGACTGCCGTGTCCAGGGACAATGAGCAGGGTGTCCAGGCTGCGCGTCCCGGGACCCCTGGGCTGAAGGGGGCCGTCAGGCCGGTCCAAGGGCCCGGGAGGCGCCTCTCCTTCCCGCTGCGCCTCCCCAACCCGCCCGGAGTCCGCCTCCCGCGGAAGGGCAGGCGAGGGAGCTGGGGCAGGCGAGGGAGCTGGGCCAGGCGGTGGGTGCGGCCTCCCGGAACCTCCCGGCGCCTGCGGCTGGGCCTCCGGGGCTGGGGCGCGCAGGGCCTTCGGCCCCCTCGCGCCCCTCGCCCCCCTCGCGCCCCTCGCCCCCCTCGCCCCGCTCGCCCCGCTCGGCCGAGCTGTCGTGGCCGCGCACTCACCTACCACGCGTCCGAGTCCGGGCCCTGGCGGCGGCGGCAGCAGCTGCGGGGGCGGCGGCTCCCAGCGCTGAGAATGCGCGGCCCGGAGCCTACGAGGGGGACGCCCCGCCCCGCCCCGCCCCGGCCCCGCCCCGGCCTCAAGCCCCTCCCGCGGCGGCGGGCGCTCGGCAGGTCTGAACCCGCGTGGGTGTAGGCGCTGGGGGTCGACCTGGCACTGCGGAGGCCGGGCGAGCTGCAGCCCTGGGGGCGCCAATAGCCCAGCAAGGGCCCATCCCGTCCAAGGACGGAGGAGCTGGGCGGGAGGCGGGCCCGGAGGTAAGACGGCGACCAGCCTAGCCAGAGGCCCTGGGCTGTGGCGACCCGGCCCTCCTCCATGCCCAACCCCCATCTCTTTCTCCTCACCCAGGAACCGCCCAGAGGCTGCAGGGGTCGGCAGAACCGATGCCGGCCTGGGGCGTGGGAGGGCCTAGCGCTGTGGGCAAATGCGGGAGAAGGGCTACTGTACGTGCAGTGTGGACAGCCTGGAGACCCGGGCAGGCCTGGGGTCCCAGCGAGACATACCCATGGGGTCCTGGGGGGCCCATGCCCTCCAGACTGGAAGGGACCACTGGGAGCGGTGCGAGGAGGTGAGGGACGAAGGGCAGGGCCGGCCTAGGGCTGCACCAAGACGCCAAGAGTGGGAGTGAGGAAGGAGGGGGCTGCCCACCCACCAAGCTCATTCATCACAGCCACAGGGGAGGACCAGCATGGGAGGGGGTGGCCGACTGAGGCCGGGAACCTGCCCGGCCTCCCTGGCGAGACAGTGGGGAGCCCTGATCCACACACTGGCGAGGGCCCCGAGGGGCTCCAGCCTTGATGGGTAGTGTGAGTTTGGGGCATGACCAGGGACACAAGAGGACACGCAGGACCTCAGCCCCATCGCCACAGGCCCGCGCTCCCTGTATTCACCCACACAGCACGCGTGCACAGGTGCCCACCTCATCCATGTGGCACACACAGGCTGTGGCTCCCAGACACACGGAAGGCCCAGGAGGACGCAGTGCAGTCAGTGGGTTTTATTTGACGAGGGGGTTTTCTGCTGAACTGAGATGGGGTTGATTGAACGGGGACAGAGCGAAGACTGGCAGAGGGCACACACGGGACCCTGGCCACTCCCGGGACCCTGACCACTCCTAGGCTAGGTCCTTCATGTCTTCAGTCAGGCGAGCCTGGGGCCCACTGGGGAGAGCCTGCATCCTGAGTGGGCACCCCCGACCCATGACAAGCCTCCTGCAAGGGCAGCTTCTAGCTCATGGTCCGTGAGTCACTCGGGGCTGGTCACCGGGCACTGGGAAGGTGGCCAGAGCCGCGTCTGGGGGGCCGAGCCCAGCAACAGCAGCAGCAGCAGGTGGGCCCAGGCAGGCGGGCTGTTGTCAGAGCCTTCCTGCAGCTGCTGCCCGCCCGCCTGGCCTCGCAGGCGTCCCTGTCATCCCGCAGCCGTGTATTCAGCTCCCTAGGGAAGGAGGAGTCCGACACTGAGAGGGTCTGAGGGAGCTCAAGGTGGGGGGAGGTGAGCTCCGACTCCCCTCAGAGCGAAGAGAGGTGTCTGGCTGAGGCTGCAGCGTGAGGGGTGAAAGGCAGGCATAAGGAAGGACTTCCAATGGAGTAGAGCGGCAGCCAAGAATGTTGGGGAGCTGGGAGCCCCCAAGCTCCGCTGAGCCCATTCCCTCTCGGGCCTGAGCCTGACCGTACCTGAGCAGCTCCAGTTGCCGTAGCAGGCTGACTTTCTCTTTCTGCATGTTCCTGGAGACGGCGACCACGTCTCTGTGGATGGGAGGTGGTGACCCGGCTGCAGGAAGGCTCCTTGGGGAGCCCCCGGACCCCCTAGAAGATCCTCCTTCCCACGGGGCGGGCCTGGGACTTGAGATGGGGATGAAAGTGGCCCAGACCTGAGCGCCCGTCGGCCCCGCCCCCGGGACACGCACCGGGGCCCGCCCAGCCCCGTCCCACGGCACCGTTGGGTTTGCTCCTGGCGGCCTCGTGCTTCGCTCTCCAGCCTGCGGATCTGCTCCTGCGCCCCCTCCAGCTGCGTTCGCAGCGCCTCGTGCGCCCGCCACAGCTGGGAGTTCTGGGCCTGTGCCTCCAGGTGCTCCGCAGCCTGGGCGTGCAGCTGCTGCTCTAACTGGAGGGTGGAAGGATGGAGACCGGCGAGGAACGCCCCCTCTTCCCCGGGGTGCTGCGCGTGCCCCAGGCTCCCGACAACCCGGGGACGCTAAGGCACAGGGGGAGAGTGCACGGGTGACCGTGGGGACAGGGCAGGGGCCGGGTGCTCACCTCCCGCTGCCGCAGGCCCGCGCGTTCCAGGTCCTGCTCGCGGCTCTGCAGCTCCAGCTCCAGACGGCTTCTCCGCTCCCCGCGGGCGAAGTTCTGGGACGCACGGAGGACCACTGAGCCTCCGCCGGCCGCTCGGCCATGCAAAAGAGGTACACGGAGGGCCAGGGGCTGGGAGTGGGCCCGGGCGGAGCGGGGTCGGGTGGAGAAGACCGGACGGGGGTGATACGTGAGGCCCAGTGGGATCTCCTCGGGCTGAGGGCAGCCTGGACCCGCGGAGGTGGGGCCGTCGGGGAGGGATTAATTCAGAGAAGGCGGAGCCAGGGAGGCCAGCGAGGTGGGATTGGGCCTGGCGGGAGGGGCGGGGCCCGAGGCCCACCTGACTCGGCGGGCGCCGGCTCTGCTCCCGAAGCTGCTCCGTCTCCTCGTACAGAGCGCGCACCTCCCTCTCGTGCTCGCTCTCGCGCCTTCGGGGGACCGGGCGACCCCGGATGAGAACTTGCCAGCGCTACAGCCCCCTGGCACCGCCTCTGCTGCTGCCCTGAGGCCCTCCATTGGCCCCCATACCCCACCCCGGCCCTCACCTCCGCAGCGCCTGCTCCAGGCCGTCGCGCTCCCGGGCCGCCTCCTCCAGGCAGGCCGACGCGCGTATCAGAACATCCTCGAAAGAGCCCAGCAGCTCGGGGCGCTCGCGCTGCAGCCTGGCCCAGAGCGTCCTCACAGCCCGCTGCCTGGAGGGCGGGCGGGAACTGAGGCTGGAGCTGGCAGAAGCGGGAAGCAGGCTTCCCTCCGCCAGCAGCAAACCCTTAGGAGACTTCTTCGCCCCTGGGCAGGACAGGAGCACTTGCTGCGTGCAGGGCATCCCTCCCGTGAGCGCTTTCGCCCCTGCCCGGCGTGCGTGGTCGGTGAGGTGTGTGTACCCTGGGCAGTGCCGGTATGTGGCCCCGCGCCCGGCGCTGCCCCTCCTCCCTGCAGCCCTGGCTGCTGCCTCATGAAATGCAAATTCTGCGGGAAATCATGCCGGGTCCCTCCCAGGGAATCGCAGCTGACGCTAGGCTGGGCCTGACCCGGCCTAGAGACCCTGTGCAGAACCAGCACTCGGGTGACAAGGGCAGACAGCATGCAGGCAGAGAAACAGCAGAGCGGGCAGTGGGAGCGGGGCCAGCGCCGACTCACTTGCCCAGGACCGGGGCCACCCCCAGCTGCTCCAGCACAGTGTGGAATCGCTCCTCCTCTTCCTCCTCCTCATCCAGAGAGCCCGCCGTGCCCTGCACGTCGAGCCCGCCCGACTCAAAGGTCTCCTCGGGAGTCCTGCAGGGGTTCGCTCCCTGGGCTGACGCCACCCCCACAAACATCCCTGCGGGCATGGAGCGAGCGATTACCAGGGCTGTGGGTCGCCACCGTGGCTGTGTCCCCGTTCACCCTCCCAACGAGTATCCTGCCCTCTCTCAGGGCCCAGTTTCCTGTTTTCCTTCCTTATTCTGGTCCTATTGGCCTGGAAACAAGAGGTGACAGGCCAGCTCCCAGCCCTACCGGAGCTTAGCACAGGAGAGGAGCTGGGGGCCAGGAAGGTCAGCTCCACACACTCCACCGCAGCTAGGAGCCCCCAGGCGCGAGTGCGTGCAGACAAAGCACGGGCCCTGGAGGGAGGAGGACGAGAGGCACCGGCAGCCCTCAGGGCGCCACAAGTGCCAGGCCTCCTGATCAGGCCTCCAGCTCTGGGCAGTGGGGGATAGGCAGGCCACAGGCTCACCCAGGCCCAGGCAGAACTCCCTGGCGGTGAGGAAGCCAGTGTGAGCCCGGTCCAGACTTTCAAACACAGCCTCCAGCTGCTCTGGCGTGAGGGGCAGGTCGCTCTGGAGACCCTGGTCGGGGAAGGAGAGCAGAGATGAGCCGCTGCGGTCAACCCAGGGCCGAAGCAGTCTCTTGGGGTGGGGGACTCACCTGCAGGTCGTGCTTGGTGATGAAGCCCTTAGCCTCCTTGTCACACAGCAGAAACAGCTCCTCAGCCTGCTCCAGTATTGCAGCCCGCGGCCCTGCAGAGCCCCCCTCGAGTTCCCCCTCCTCCTCCTGGGCCTCATCAGCCCCAGGCTTTCCAGGGCTGGCCATGAGAGCAGGGGGCCTCAGCCTGGCCTTCAGGTGCTGTGAAGCCAAGGGAGGGTCAGAAGAAATTCAGGAGGGGAGCGGATGGGGTGCAAGTGTGTCTGAAGGCTCAGCCGAGGGCCCTCCCTGCAGCAGGTGGGAAGGTGGGCGGAAGGCAAGGTGGGACCAGGGGGCTGGGGGTGGAAAATGCTGCAGGCTTGGGGTGTCACTGGGGTGGTTGATGTAGGCTCAGGGCCTGTGGGTACTGCCCCAGTGGGTCTGGCATCTCAGGAGGCTGGAACCCAGGAGGGGCTGCCAACTTCAGGAGAGGAGGAGCTGGAGGTGATGGCAATCTCAGGGGCCAGTGGAGAAGACCTGGTGATAAGGAAGGTGGGGTCCTGAAAGCTGAGAGGAGCAGGCTTGGGGTCAGTGAGGGAGGAGCCCCTCACACTCTGCAACTGGAGATCTGATCCCAAGTGAGGGCTCAGCCAGTCCTGACCAAGTCCTTAGCCCCTGGCCTGGGCCTGTGTGGCCCAGCCTCATGACAGCTGGCAGGCAGGGCAGACTTCTCCCTCCTGCCCACCGGCCCCTCCCTCCCCACAACTGAGCCCACAGAGTGCAGGGGCAAGGTCCCAGCCTGCAGAGCCCTTCGCCTCTGACGCCCCACTCAGGAACACTTCCAGATTCGAGACCTAACACCCTTGCCCCACAACACTGAGGCCCTTCCCCGTTTCAGAACTCCCTGGGGCCTCCCTTCCCACCTCCTTGCAGGGACGCCCCGCCCCCTAACCAGAGCCACCTGTCCTTCACACAATGTCCTGATCCCGGATTTCCCAAAGCTGCTCCCCACCAACACCCGCCTTCCCCCACCGGGGAGCTGGGATCCTCTCCCCTCACTCTCCACCCAGCGTCCTTCCATGTTCCTTAGCCCGGGCGACCTCCAAAGAGGGCAAGTCTGGGCGGGTGAGAGAAGGGGACACGAGAGGCCAGGGCCATTGCCTCCAGGCCACGTTGTTGTCTCGCCCGCCCTCCGGCTTGCCGGCTAGACCTGAGGTCCACCCCAGCCGGAAGCCGCGCGGCAGCAGGGCCCCAGGGAGGTGGGAGGATGGGCTGGTGGGGTGGGGCGGCCAGCCTCCTGTGCTCCCCGAAACTCTGGGGGACAACCCCGCCCTTACCCCTGCCGCCTTGCGCCCCGAGGGGGTAACCGGAGTTCCCGACCGAGACGCTCAGGTTTGGCGCGGGCCACGGCGGCCCGGAGGGGGTGCCGGGCGGGCGGCAGTGGAGGGGCCTCAGCGGCGGGACCAGCGGTCGCCTACCCGCGAGTTGCGCCGCCGCACCTGCCGCGCGCCCGGGCCGCTCCTCCCGGAAACACTGGGCGCGCCCCGCCCCAGCTGGGACCCGGACGGGACGTAGAGGGCACTGGGCCCCGAGCGACCCCTGCCGCTTCGCAGGCACCGAGACCCCCGCTTGGGCCGGCCCCGGGAGGAGCCACTCTGCGCCGCTGTCGCCTGTCCCCGCCTCTCTGCGCTGCCCCGGCGGCCCGATCCCTGGAGGCTCGAGCGAGCAGTGAAGCAACGATATGCCCCAGAGACCCAGGGACCCCCCGGAGCAGGGACAAGGCTGCGGGGGGCGGGCGCAGACACCAGCGCCTGGGAGGGGCCCCTCCTGTCCGGGGGGAGCCCGACTTAAGGCGCCAAAAAGTGTGTGTAGGAAAAAGCCGGGCAGGAAACAGACCAAATACTTTCAGCGGTTATCTCTAGGGGTGGGGAGCCTTTACTTTCTTCTCTATACTTTCCCGGTTTTTAAACAATAAACATGTAGGCCGGGCGCCTGTAATCCCAGCACTTTGGGGGGCTGAGACAGGGGCAGATCACCTGAGGTCAGGAGTTCGAGACCAGCCTGCCCAACATGGCGAAACCCCGTCTCTACTAAAAATACAAAAAATTAGCCAGGTGTGGTGGTGGGCGCCTGTAATCCCAGCACTTTGGGAGGCTGAGCCAGGAGAATCACTTGAACTCGGGAGGCAGAGTTTGCAGTGAGCCGAGATTGTGCCATTGCACTGGGCAACAAGAACGAAACTCCATCTCAAAACAAAACAATGAACGTGTAATGCTAGAAAATGTTTAACTTAGCAGTATTCAGTGTATATGTATGGGTGAACGAGCTGGGGACTCAGGCAGGTCCCACCTCAGTAGCCCCTCCTGGCTCTCCTTCTGGGGCCCAGCCCTGACTGGGGCTCCCCTTGGGGGAGGATTGGAAGGAGGAGCTGCTTGAGGCCCGAGTGAAACCCTCCTGTGGGGGGAGAAAATTCCACCCCAGACCGAGGAGCCCTCCCCAGCCCCAGCCCCAGCCTGGCCCCTGCACCCACCTGAAGGGCTGGAATCACTGTCCCGCCCGGCAACCCTGGGGGGTACAAGGCCTCTGCTTTTCAAGGAAGGGGCCTGGGATCCAGCGTGCGACCCAGCTGAACCACAAAAGGCTGGGCTTATAGGACAGGACCTTGAGACCAAGGGGGGTGGCCTCTGGCACAGGCACATCAGGGACCTGCCTGGCCGGCTCGCCCAGTCCCAGATCCCAGAACCAACCGTTATTGTTGGCAGGGGGCTGCCACCACAGCCACCCCACGCCTTCTGGGAGGAGCAGGTGGGGGCTGGCTCCAGCACCCTCAGGCCATGGGGCCTTTTTGGTTGCCAAGGAGGGCTGGCCTTCTCCCCTCATGGCCTCCCTGCCATGAAGAGGATGCCCTCAGGAAACCACTTCCCCAGCACAGGGCTGAGTCCCCTTCAGCTAGGACCTCACCTGCCTCCATATCCCAGCCCTGCCCTGTGTACTGGCAGGAGGCTGGGCAGGGGAACAAGAAGGTATGTGCACCAGGCCAGAGAGGCTTGTGAGGGTGGGGGGACAGAGAACTTTGGGCCAAACGCCCAAGTGGAGCAGGGGCCCAGCTTTCCCAGGTCCCCTGTGCTTGGTTTCAGGAACCTCAGCCCCCACAGCTGGCCAAGCCCCAAAACAGTCACACACCCCACTGTGTCACCGTGTGAGGGGAGGGGCAGGCGACACCTTTTGCAAACATTTTCGTTTTTATTTACCAAGAATCTTGGTCCCAAATATTTCCATTGGCCCTCAGAAGGCTGTGGCCAAGGGTCAGCCAGGAGGCTGCTGGGCAAAATTGGGGGGGGTGTGGATGCATCCTAGACAGGGGGGTCGGCAGGAATGCAGTACGTTCATATGTGCCTGTAGGGGGGTGTTCCCAGGCCAGCCTGGCAGGTTCCAAATGCCAGGCCCAGGAGTGCGACGCTGGGAGACCTGGCCTGCAGCTGTGGAGAGGCTGGTCAGCCAAGGTAGGGCCAGACCCTGGCCACCAGGCTCTCACTGCAAGTAAGCAGGCGGTCACATACACACAAAGTGGGCAGAGGCTGGGCTGCAGCATTTATTACATGTGCTTTGGCGAAAATAAATAATTCTTCACACACATATTTCAGCAGGCCATGAAAAACGGGGAGGGAAGGGCAGCTGCAAAGTTCTCAGGAGTAAAGGGGCGGGGGAGGTGCTCGGGCAGCACAGGGGAGGGAAGATTAAGGCACAGGTGCGCGGGGCCTCAGCGGCCCAGGGGAGGGGTGTGGAAACCTCCCCTCTCAGTGCATGCAGCTGGTGAGTGGCTGGCGAGGGGGCCCACGGCAAAGACCCCTCTTGGCAACTGTGAGTCCCCTCATCTCACTGCGCAGTGGTAATGGAGGCGTCTCAGGCAGGGTTCCTCGAGAGGGTCGGGGTCTCACAGCCCCAGGGCCCCGATCACGGGCCGGGCCTCGGGAGCAGGGGTGCTCAGCAAGGGGGCAGGCCCGGCCAGCTGGTGCTGCGGGGATGCTGGGTCCGCGGGGGCGGGAGCCGGGTCGGCGGGTGCGCGCATGCGCAGAGCTTCGGGCGGGAAGGCCACGTTGGTGCAGAAGAGGCCGAGCAGCAGCTGGCGCTGGCACTCCTCCCACTTGGCCAGCGCGTCCCCCAGCGAGAGGTTGTTGCGCATCCAGCCGGGCAGTGCCTCTCTGTAGGCGGCGCAGGACAGCGGCACGGACGGCAGCGACTGGACGCGGCGCAGCTCCACCTGCTCCGGCAGCCTGCGGGGCAGGGATGCGGCAGGGAGGGCTTCAGCTCCCGGCGCTAGCACCGCGGGCCCCGGGTGGACGCGCGGTCGGCGGCTCACCTGGAGGGCAGGTGCCTGCCCAGCTTCCTCTTGGCGCGCATCACCAGGTACTGGCAGATGCTGCCCGTCTGCTCCTTCATCCACCGGATGTCCTCGGGAACGTCGGGCAGCCACTCCAGCAAGCTGGGGACAGGGCGAGCGGCGCGTTCAGGGACTTGGCCAGACCCACATGCCCACCCGCCGGGCCCTGTCTGTGCCCTGACTTGGCACTGCTCACCCCACCCCACCTTCCCTGGTAACCATCACTCGCGGATGATCCCAAAGTCCGTCCCCTGGGCCCCTCTCCCGACCCCCCAGCCCTCACACCGGATGGTGAAGGACAGAGCGCTCTCCAGCGGCAGCGTGTAGGGCACCATCATGGCCGTGGCCAGACGCACAGGCAGCATGTTGGAGAGGGTGGTCAGCAGGTCCGTGGGCTCCACGCAGGCCTCCAGCAGGGCTGCGGGTGGGCGGGAGGTCGGCGGCCAGTGGAGGCAGCGGGGCCCAGGACCCGCTCGGCTTCCCTCCCCTGCTCACCGTCCTCTCCTCTCTCTCTTTCCCTCCTGCCTCCCCTCCTCCCCTCCCGTCCCCCAGGTGCGCACCCTCATTGAGCCGGGCGGGCAGGTGCTCCAGGATGTGATCTTCTCCGGGCAGCTGCGAGTAATCCTCCGCTTGGGCGCTCTCCACTGCCTGGTCCTTGTCCTCTGGGCCGTGGGGGCGGGCGGGGGGCAACGCCAGCAAGGGGTTGGGCCGGTTCAGGAGGCCTGGGGTTGGGGAGAGAAGGGATTCTCAGTTCATCAGCGCGGCCGCGGCCCGCAGGGGGTAGCAGAGCCGAGCCCACCCCGCCCTCTCCCGCCCGGGTCCGCGCACCGTTCCGCTGCAGAAAGCGCAGGCCATCCCGGTATCCCTGCTTGCACATCTCTCGCAGCACCTGCAGTGAGGAGGGTTAAATGGAGCGGAGGGAGCCAGGGATGCCCGTTCTGCCCCTGGAATCCCTGGCACCCCCAACAGCCACCTCCCTTCACTACCCGCAGCTCCCAACCCCAAAACCTATCCTAGATCCAGAACAAGATCAAAGCTGTACAGGGAGGTTGGACAGAAAGCCGGGCGCAGTGGCTTACACCTGTAACCCCAGCACTTTGGGAGGCTGAGGCAGGCGGATGACGAGGTCAGGAGATCAAGACCATCCTGGCTAACACGGTGAAACCCCGTCTCTACTAAAAATACAAAAAATTAGCCAGGCGTGGTGGTGGGCACCTGTAGTCCCAGCTACTGGGGAGGCTGAGGCAGGAGAATGGCAGGAACCCGGGAGGTGGAGCTTGCAGTGAGAGGAGATCCAGCCACTGCACTCCAGCCTGGGTGACAGTGTGAGACTTCATCTCAAAAAAAAAATAAAAAAATAAAATAGTTTGAGGCCAGCCTGGCCAACATGGTGAAACCCTATTTCTTTACTAAAAATACAAAAAGTAGCCAGGCATGGTGGCAGGCGCCTGTAATCCCAGCTAATGGGGAGGCTGAGGCAGGAGAATAGCTTGAACCTTGGAGGCAGAGGTTGCAGTGAGCTGAGATCCTGCCACTGCACTCCAGCCTTGGCAACAGAGCGAGACTCCGTCTCAAACAAAAAAAAAAAAAAAAAAGAGAGAGAGACTGGACAGGGAGCCTGGACAGAGCAGCTAGACAGAGAGGTTGGATGGGCCATCTGCCCCTAGAAAGGTTGTGCGCTTTCCCCAGCCCTCAGAAGAGGCTCCCACCACCCTACCCTGGGCACTCAGAAGTCAAAGGATCAGTGTTCTCCCTTGGTGCCCAGTGAGGAGTGGCTGGGAAGGCCACAGTCCTCGGAGCAGAGCTCACCAGGGGCTCCGGCGGGAAGAGGGCCTTGGAGAGGCGGTAGAGGTTGCGCAGGTTGAACTGGATGCTGGTGTTGGTGACCCGCAGCTCGTGGATGTTGGTGGAGCTGTCCTGCGGACAGATGTCACTCTCGCCCGAGAAGGGGGACACTGTGATGGTGTTCTTAAGCTCATAGAGTGGCAGGTTGTCTGAAATGCCACCATCCACGTAGCGCTTCCACGGGACACACAGACAGGACCGTATGTGAGGGCCTGTGGCTGCACTGGCCACCCACCCCAGCCACCCCACCCGGCCACCAAGGGCCCCATTCAGTGGCTACCTCATTTGAGCGTTTTACCCACTGGGCACTGGCTGTGGGCCAGCCTGGGCACTGAGCAGATGGTAGACGGGGGAGGGCAGGGACGGAGGAAGGGATGGGGGGCCAGGAAGCGTGCGTTGCCACAGCTGTTTCTTGAGTAACACAGGGGAAGTGGGTAACAGGCGGTGGCAGAGCAAGGGCCTGAAGGATGGCTCTAGGCGGCCTCCTCCTCTGTCCCTCATCCCACGGCCCACCCCATAGAAGGTGTCCAGGGCTAGGAATACTCACCACCCCCTGGAGGGAGGGAGGGATGAGCCCACAGTACACGGGGATGAAACCGCTGCAGACATTGGCCTTCAGGGCAGGGACAGAGTGGGAGAGAATGAGCAGAGGCCTTGAGGTTCCCACTGCCCCCCCCACCGCCACCCAGCATGGCTCCACCAGGCCCCACCTGGATGAGCTCGTCCTTGGAGTTGAAGTGGGATATAATGACATTCTCGCCGTCTGACACGCGGGTCAGGGAGATGCCCAGGCGCCCACTGGCATGCTCATGGCTATCAGCAGGCAGGACCTTCAGCAGGAAACTGCGGATGATCTTTACCAGGTTGAAGGAGGGGTGCAGGGGGCCCAGGAACCGCTTCCGGGCCTCTTTAGATACCTCAATGAACTTGGCACCAGCCTCACCTGGGGCACAGGGCCAAGGTTAGGGGCCCATGCTCCTGGGCTTAGCAACACCCACCTTCCTTCATAGCCCCATGTCCAGGGTTCCATGGCATACAGACCCTGGAGGAGGCCCAGTGAATGTGGGGCCTGGCTCACAGTTGGGACTTTGGCCACCTCCCCTGGGATGGCAGACAGCAGAGGCTGGCCAGCTGAGACCAGGACCTGCCCTCTGCCTGGTATTTCCCAACTGCCTGCCCTATGAGTCACTGGGCCTGGTGTGGCATCTAGCCCAGGAGAGGGGACAAGGCAGAAACTCAACTCTGACCGGCCTTAGCCTTCACCCACTTGGCCAGATCCAGCAGTGCGGGGATGGGGCAGACCCACAAAACCCATCCCGGCACACAGGTCACAGTTCACAGGCCCGGGAGTGTTGGGCTGGAAGTAGTCAGGGCCCAGTTCCTAGGAAGGCACACCTGTGTCCCACTGCAGCCAAGAGGAAGCACCCCAAACACTCCTCTTGGGGCGCAGGAGTGCTGGCCAGCTTGGGGATAGTCCCTGGAAGTGGTCGGGAGCACTGAGGGAGGAGCTGAGGTCCAAGCCCTCCTCCAGTGCATCACCCTGGTCAGGAGTGGGGCAGTGTGGAGCCAGGGGCTCTTCAGCCAGCACCTGCTGCACTATGGGCTCCAGCTGTGCAAGACCACCCGTGAGAAGGAGTCTTGTTGGGAGCAGGGTGGGGAAGCACTGTGGGAGAGGTGTCCTTGGCTCGGGTAGCAGGGACCTTGATGTATCTTGAAGCCAGGGGGCCGACTGAGGCGCTTGTCTGAAGGCCTCCATGAGAGGGAGGGGGCTGGAGGGGGCTGTTCCCAATAATAGCTCTAGTTATTGGGACCTGAGAGGTTCACTTCTGTGGTCCAGCCCCCTCCCTCCCAGGACAAAGTTCAGAGGAAGAGGGCAGGGGTGAGCCCCGGACAGGCTCCTGCTGAGCAGAGTGCCCCTGTCATCTTGGGTGTCCTCACAGGCTCCTGAAGTCGTGTGCTGTAAACATCACTCCCTCATGGCAGCCGATGGTGCGAGCCGAGGCCAGCCCAGCACACAGAGACCCATCCACTCCTGACCCAGGCACCAGAGCCCAGAAGCACCCTCACCCATGAAGTGTGCAAACGCGGTGGGCCGCAGCGGGGAGCCAGGCCACAGGGCACCGTGTGCAAGGAGAGGGCAGGAGAGCCCCTTCGCGCCCAGCCCTGACCTCAGCGGGGCTCCTCCTCCGGGCCCTTGGGAAGGACCAGGTCACGGTTCCCAGACGCCTCTCAAGAGGCTACCCCCATGCCAGGCCCCCTGATAGCAGCCTGCAACTGCGGAAGCCCAGGACACTGTGACCGATCGCTGGCACCGGTTGTAATATCCAGGGCCACGGGGTGACTTAGGTCCCTCCTCGGATTCTCACGGTCCCGCCCACGAGTTACTTTTTCTGTCCAATTAAGCAGCTTTTGCTGCACCTGCCCGCCCCCAAACCTTTGCGCCAGACAGGCGGGCCCCGGGCACCCTCGGAGCAAAACAAACCAGGCCCCGCCCCCAGGCCAGCGACCCGGATTGGATCCTCGCCGGGTTCCCCAGGCGCGGACCGGAACCCTCCCCACGGTACCCACCGACTCGCCGCGGGGCCCCTCCGCTCACGGAGACCATCCCCCGGCCCCGCACGGCCTTCCCGCCAGCCCCCCGCCTGCCGCCCCCGGCCCCGCTCACCCAGGCAGACCCCGGTGACCAGCGCCGTGGCCGTGAGCGCCCCGGCCGAGGCGCCGTAGATGTGCGTGGCGTTGGCCACCAGGAAGGGCGCGTGCTCGCGGAGGCAGGAGGCCACGCCGACGTAGTAGACGCCGAGGAAGCCGCAGCCCGCGAACGAGATGTTCCACGTCTTCTCGCGGGGAAACATCGCGGCGGCGGCCGCCGGGCCCCGGGTTCCGTGGGCGGCCAGGCCTCTGTGAGCCGCCTGCTCGCCGCTCGCTCGCTGGAGCCGGGGGCCGGGCAGGTCCCGCTGCGGCTCTAGCTCGGGGTCCCCGCTGGCGGAGGCGAAGAAGCTACGCGGGCGGCGCGGAGGCGGCGCTTTTAAGTGTGGGACTCACGGCGGGGGCGGGGCCGGCACACGAAGACCAATCGGGGCGCGCAGGGAACGGCCGTGCCCTCGGGACCCGCCCCCGTCCTTGACCCGGCCCCCCGCGCTGGAGCCCCGCCCTCCGCTGCCGCCCGGAGAAAGCTTCTGCCCTCCCTCCGCCCCTGCTGGGCACGGCTGGGGGCACACGCCTAGGGGTGTAGGGTGGGCTGGGCGCAGGCCCGAGCCTGGGGGCCGGAAGCCTCACACAGACCTGGGTACCGGCGAGAGGGAGCTCTGGTTTCAGGGCAGCCACCGCCCCTCCCCACCGGGTCCGCCTCCCACACCCACCCGGGACAGAGGAGCTGGTCCCTGGACAGAGGCGCACCGGCAGCACCCCCAGACCTGAAAGCCGCACAGGCCTCGGGAGCCCCGGGACCCACAGGCTCACCCACAGACAGACCCATAAACATCCAAGGCCAAGGCCGGATGCGAGTCCCGCAAACCCTTCGTGGGGGACCCCAGCTCCGCAGACCCACGCGACCTGACGTGGGGCCTCAGCCCTGCCCCGCGCCCGCGACCCTTCCGGACCTTGGCTTCTTACCTGGGTCTGGCCCTGCCTGTTCAGGCTTTGGGGCTGCCTGCGTCTGACTGGGGCCGCCCTGCTCCCGATAATTGCCCCAGAGGTGGAGCAATCCTGGGTGATGTCACCCTTTCACCCCTTTTCCGCATTTTTCTCCTGGTCAGTGGAGCAAACAGGGCTTGGAGTAGATCCAGGATCCCTCCCTGAACCTCACCCCACCCCCAAACGAGAGGCTTTCTCAGGTTGGGGTGGGAGGCAATGAGATTCTGTCTCCCCAGGAACACTGGCTCCCCAGGCTGAGGTCATCTCTGGACCTAGCTGTTGCCAGAGCTGCAGAGGGTCTGGGATGGGGCTTGGGGCTGCCCCCAACCCAAGCTGAGTTAGGGAAGCCAGAACAGGGCCAGAACAGGATGGGGCCATCTAGGGGGATGCTGCCCAGTCCTCAGCCTCTTTGCTCCCAGCCATCCCAGACAGCACTGGAAAGTCAACCCTGCCCCAGCCCTACTGGGGGCCGGTAGGCATTTACATAAGCTCAAAATGAGAGGAGGCCGGGTGTGGAAGCTCACACCTGTAATCCCAGCACTTGGGGAGGCCAAGACGGGCGGATCACAGAAAGTCGGGAGTTTGAGACCGCCTGGCTGGTGAAACGCTGTCTCTACCAAAAATACAAAAATTAGCCGGTCAGGGTGGCACACGCCTGTAATCCCAGCTACTCGGGAGGCTGAGGCAGGAGAATCACTTGAACCTGGGAGGCGGAGGTTGCAGTGAGCTGAGATCGCACCACTGCACTCCAGCCTGGGGGGCAGAGCGAGGCTCCGTCCTAAAAAGAGGCCGGGCACAGTGGCCCATGCCTGTAATCCCAGCACTTTGGGAGGCCGAGGAGGGCAGATCACCTGAGGTCAGGAGTTTGAGACCAGCCAGGCCAACATGGCAAAACCCTGTCTCTACTGAAAATACAAAAATTTGCCAGGTGTGGTAGTGCACGCATGTAGTCCTAGCTACTCGGGAGGCTGAGGCAAGAGAGTCACTTGAACCCGGGAGGCAGAGGTTGCAGTGAACTGAGATTGTGCCACTGCACTCCAGCCTGGCCAGGTGACAGAGCATGACTTCTTCTCAAAAAAAAAAAAAAAAAGAAAAAAGAAAAATGAGTGAGAGGAGGTAGGTAACCACGTGTGGGGCACCTAAGGGGTTCTGGAGGGCTTCCCTGTGGGAAGTGATGCTGAGTTGAATTTTGAAGGGTAAATGAGCAGACCCAGGCAGCCGACCAGGACAGGCGAAGATTGTCGGGGAGTGAGGGGAGAGAGTAGCTGAAGCCCAGCCATGGGAGAGGGTCAAGCAGGGAGGACGTGACCATACCTGACTTAAAGCGACTCCTTCTAGGCTGGGCACAGTGGTTCACACCTATAATCCCAGCACTCTGGGAGGCCAAGGTGGGGGGATTGCTTGAGTCCAGAAGTTTGAGACCAGCCTAGGCAACATAGCTTGATTCCATCCCTACAAAAAATTTAAAAATAGGCCAGGCACAGTGGCTCACACCTGTAATCCCAGCACTTTGGGAGGTTGAGGTGAGTGGATCACGAGGTCAGGAGATCGAGACCATCCTGGCTACCATGGTGAAACCCTGTCTCTACTAAAAATACAAAAAAAAAAAATAGCCAGGTGTGGTGGTGGGCGCCTGTAATCCCAGCTACTCCGGAGGCTGAGACAGGAGAATGGTGTGAACTCGGGAGGCGGAGCTTGCAGTGAGCCCAGATCGCCGCACTGCACTCCAGCCTGGGCGACAGAGTGAAACTCTGTCTCAAAAATAATAATAAATAAATAATAAAAATGCCGGGTACAGTGGCTCACTCCTGTAATCCCAGCACTTTGGGAGGCCAAGGCGGGCAGATCACAAGATCAGGAGATTGAGACCATCCTGGCTAATACGGTGAAACCCCATCTCTACTAAAAATACAAAAAAATTAGCTGGGTGCGTGGTGGCAGGCACCTGTAGTCCCAGCTACTTGCGAGGCTGAGGCAGGAGAATGGTGTGAACCTGGGAGGCGGAGCTTGCAGTGAGCCGATATCACACCACTGTGCTCCAGCCTGGGTGACAGAGCAAGACTCCGTCTCAAAAACAATAAATAAATAAAATAAAATAATAAAAATATTTTTAAAATAAAAAGTAAAATAAACAAATAAATAAAAACTAAGCCAGCTGTGGTGCGCGCACCTATAGTCTCAGCGACTCAGGAGGCTGCGGTTGGAGGATGGACTGAGTCTGGGCTGGGTGGGGGTGAGCCATGATTGCGCCTCTGCACGTCAGCCTGGGTGACAGAGTGAGACCCTGTCTCAAAAACAAAACAAGACTCTTCTATTCTGCGCATGTGGGGCCTCTTCTCCCACGTGTTTGGATGGAGGTACCCTGCAGCAAATGCACCATGGGATTGGGGAGGGAGGGCCAGGGTATGGAGGGCGGGGCCAGGTCCATTCCTGAGGTGTCAGGAGCTCTCTGTGACTGGATTCCAGCGATGCTGTTGGAGACAGCATGGTTCAGGGTACGGCAAAGTAGGGATGGAAGTCCAGGGGCTCGTCAGGGCAACCACTGATGGGGAAGCCAGGGACTTAGGGTCCTTCCCTCAACCTGCTCCAAGGGAAAGGCCAGGGTTCGGGCCTTAGCCCCATCTGAGGGACTGTCGCCTTGATGGATGGTGCTGCCCCAGTGAAGGGAGACCTCTGCTCCCATTTCCACAGCTGGGTCAGGCTGTTTTGGGTACATGTTCCTCCCTCCAGGCCCCTGGGAGGCTCAGGAGCCAGGAACTGGGCGGTCCTTCCCAGAATCCTGGCAAGGGCTGGGAGCACCCCACCATCAGGACAAGCTCCAAGGGGCAGCTCAATGAGAAACCCAGGTGGTGTGACGTCCCCCTATCATGGTGAACTCCAGGCGACACAGGCCCCCTCCCTTCAGGGTCCAAGGCTGGAATTGTGAGGTCTGCACCCTGAAGCCTAGGTCCACTCCTGCTGTGGGCCCCTTCCCTGAGCCTGGGCCATCCCCAGCACCAACCTTACCCCTGCCTCCTTGTAGGGAGCACTGCTCCCTGAGCCTGGGCGATCCCCAGCCCCCGCCTCACCCCTGCCCCGTTGTAGTGAGCACTGCTCCCTGCACTCCTTAGCTGTACCCTGCTGGGGTCATTTCTCTTTGCTTCCTCCTCCATCTGCTGCCCCACCCCTACTACCCAGGTTCCGGCCTCCTCCACTCCTCACCTGGCTTTACTCCCACCCTAATCTCTGCTTTTACGGGCATCCAAAAAGGTTTTTTTAAAAATATTATTAAGGCCGGGCACGGTGGCTCACACCTGTAATCCCAGCACTTTGGGAGGCCAAAGCAGGTGGGTTGCCTGAGCCAAGAGTTTGAGACCAGCCTGGCCAACGTGGTGAAACCCCATCTCTACAAAAAGATACAAAAATTAGCTGTGTTGGTGGCACACATCAGTAGTCCCAGTTACTCTGGAGGCTGAGGTGGGAAGATCACTTGAGCCTGGGAGGTCAAGGCTGCCATGAGCCAAGATCCTGCCACTGCACTCCAACCTGGGCAACACAGTGAGCCTCCGACTCAAAATATAAGATAAAATACAAAATAAAACAAAATATAAATGTAGGCCAGGCACAGTGGCTCACGCCTGTAATCCCAGCAGTTTCAGAGGCCGAGGCAGGAGGATCATTTGAGGCCAGGAGTTTGAGACCAACCTAGGCAACATGATGAAACCCCATCTCTACTAAAAATACAGAAATTAGCCAGGTGTGGAGGCGCGTGCCTGTAATTCCAGCTGCTCAAGAAGCTGAGGCATGAGAATTGCTTGAACCTGGAATGCAGAGGTTGCAGTGAGCCGAGATCGTGCCACTGCACTCCAGCCTGGACGACTAGAGCGAAACTCTGTCTCAAAAAATAAATAATGCCTGAAATCCCAGCACTTTGGGAGGCCGAGGTGGGCAGATCACGAAATCAGGAGATCGAGACCATCCTGGCTAACACGGTGAAACCCCGTCTCTACTAAAAAAAAAAATACAAAAATTAGCCGGGCGTGGTGGTGGGCACCTGTAGTCCCAGCTACTCTGGAGGTTGAGGTGAAGAATTACTTGAACCTGGGAGGTGGAGGTTGCAGTGAGCCGAGATCATGCCACTGCACGCCAGCCTGGGCGACAGAGTGAGATCACGTCTGGAAAAAATAAATAAATAAGGTAGCCGGGCGCGGTGGCTCACGCCTGTAATCCCAGCAGTTTGGGAGGCCGAGGCGGGCAGATCACGAAGTCAGGAGATCGAGACCATCCTGGCTAACACAGTGAAACCCCATCTCTACTAAAAAAAAAAAAAATACAAAAAATTAGGTGGGCGTGGTAGCGGGCGCCTGTAGTCCCAGCTACTCTGGAGGCTGAGGCAGGAGAGTGGCGTGAACCCGGGAGGCGGAGCTTGCAGTGAGATGGCGCCACTGCACTCCAGCCTGGGCGACAGAGCGAGACTCTGTCTCAAAAAAAAAAAAAAAAGAAAGAAAGAAGAAAGGCTAGGCGCAGTGGCTCATGCCTGTAATCCCAGCATTTTGGGAGGCCAAGGCGGGCGGATCACCTGAGGTCAGGAGTTCCAGACCAGCCTGGCCAACATGGTGAAACCCCATCTTTTCTAAAAATACAAAAAATTAGCTGGGACTGGTGGCAGGCACCTGTAGTCCCAGCTACTCAGGAGGCTGAGGCAGGAGAATCACTTGAACCAGAGAGGCGCAGGTTGCAGTGAGTGGAGAGTGTGCCACTTGCACTCCAGCCTGGGTAACAAGAGCAAAAGTCCATCTCAAAAAGAAAAAAAACAAAATAAATAAAAAGCATCTTGGGTCCCCCTCCATCTCAGTACTTTCTGTGGCTCCCTGGCTCCAACAATCCACATTCCTTCCCCTCCAGGGACTCTGCCTTCCTCCAGGTCTTGCCTTCCCATCTGAGGGAGGCCTCCCCCAGCCACCCCAACTGTCTTCTGTGCTATAGCCTATTTATCCTCCCAGAACTAAGGTGGTCACACAGCAGGTGCTCCCCACACCAAAGCCAGCGGGTGGGTTGCTGACCCCAAGCCTAGGGTGGGAGTGGCAGACCATCTTCTGGGTGCCTACGTTGGCGGGCAAAGACCCTGAGGCCTGGGAGACTGCGTACGGAGTAAGGCCAGGAGGGCAGAGAGGCTGGGAGGGGAGGGTGATGGCCTCTGTCCTTAGCCCTGTATTCCAGGACAGAGCCTGTCGGGGGAGGGCAGGCCCATCCCCAAAGGACCTAGTTCAGTGAGCACATGGCCCTGTGGTCACTTCCCACAAGCCCTGAGCACATCTGCCCAGTAAGGCAGGGGTGGGCTGTGATCGGCAAAAAAACAAGCCTGAGGAGTGATTGCCCAAGTTGCTCAGGGCATTATGGCGGAGCCATGACCCCTGCAGGGAAACCCAGGGGCGTCTGCCACCCCCAAGCTGGGCTCACTTCCTGCATCCATTTGTAGAGCCCAGGGGCTACCAATCCTGTCCTTGCAAGTCCAGGCACCAAGCCACCCCAAAGACAGAGCCCTGATTACCCAAACTCCATTGAAATCAGCTTCTCTGCTGTCCTTTTTTTTCAAGACAGGGTTTCTGCTGCTCAGGATGGAGTGCAGTGGCACTATCACGGCCCACTGTTAACTTCAACCTCCTGGGCAAGTGATCCTTCCATCTCAACTTCCCATAGTTGGGACTACAGGTGCACACCACGCCTTGTTAGGTTGTTTTTTAGAGATGGGGTCTTGCTATTTGCCCAGGCTGGTCTCAAACTGCTGGCCTCAAGTGATCTTCCCTCCTCGGCCTCCCAAAGTGCTGGGATAATGGGCACGAGCTACTGTGCCCAGCCCGTTCGCATTCTTCTGGGGTGTACTCAGGAGCTAGGATACTGCTCAAGGCCACAGGAAGGGACCCCAGGCAGCTGTGATGCCCAGACTCCCCTCCTCATGCTCATTTTGCACCAGAAACGCTTCCCCAATACCATGTTGCCCACACTTCAGCTCCACACCTGCCCTCTTGGATAAGAACCTGGGCAGAGGCCACCCTTGACAAAGTGCTCATGGAATACTTGAGAGATGTGTAAAAAGGCTTTATTTGCAGGGGAGCAGGAATTTAATCAAAAAGGCCAAATCCCATGTCATCATCTGACTCTTCAGACTCCTCCTTCTTCTCATCTTTCTTCTCCTCTGCTGTGGAACAGAGGAGAGGCATGGTGAGCACTGCCCAAGTGCCAGGCCAGTCCCCCCATGAAGACCCCACTGCAGCAACACCGTCTGAGCCCCAGCCCCTTGCCCACTCACCAGGCCACCACTTACCTGCAGCAGGGGCAGAACCAGCAGCAGGGGCTGCAGAGCCTGGGGCAGCAGAGACGGCTACAGCCCCACCAGCAGGTACACTGGCAAGCTTGCCAATACCTACAGAAAGCAGAGAGGTGAGACCAGAGCAGCTGCCCAGCCTGGGAGGCTGTTCCACAGGGAAGTTAGATGGCACCAGAGATGGCACATGGCACCCAACATATCTGGACCCACCATATGCCAGTGTCTCCCGTTCTTCCTGAACACTCCCTCCCTGAGCCACTCCTCAACGGGGACTTCTCTTCCCCACCTTTCCTATCCAGGGACTTGCCTTCTAGGAATTAGGCCCACACTGCCTGCCTGCCCAATTTCCCCACCTCCACCCTCAGAGGTCCACTGGACAGACATGTTCATAACTAGGTAGGGAATGAGTGTGCTGCCCCAGTATCCACATCTCTGGCCACAACGCTGTGTTCATGGCTTGGCCCGTTTGCTGAGCTGGCCCTGTCGTGGTCACATGCATGGAAGACAAGAACAGCTGCCCCAACAGCTCAACTTCCAAACAAGTTCCACCAGCTCAGCTGAAGCCAACAAAAAACCATCTGCCCAACAAAGAGGCAAGGAGCCTATGGACATCCCTGGCACCCTCAGTCCCTGCCCCCAACCCCCTCACAGAAAGCATGTGGTAAGGACTGCTGACGTGAACTCAGTTCTCCAGACACCAAGCTTCAGACAAATCCTGGGGAATGGCCTCAGGGCTAGGAGCAGTCAGGCTTAAGAGGCAGGGCCACCTAAACGTCTGCTGAGAACACAGGGTGCCCCCTGCTGCCCTGCTCCTGAGAGTGTCTAGAAGTGCCCATGACGTGAGCCCACTGGAGCCCTGCTCACTCCTCGGGTGAGGCTTCTAGGGTGCTCTGGTCCACAAGCGAAACCTGGCAGGCCACAGATGGACCGGCAGGGATTAGGATGGACCATGAAAACAAACGAAAGCCCGTCCACATCAACTCACCCTGGGCAATGACGTCTTCAATGTTTTTTCCATTCAGCTCACTGATAACCTGAAGCAGACAATCACAGGGCTGTTACCAGGAATGTACGATTGTATCCCCGGCCCTCTCCCTCCCAGAGTCACAGCAGGACTGGGTTCCCCACATGGGAATAGGCCCTGAAGTTTCCAGAACTGCACTGCCCAAAGGGAGCCACCAGCCTCACTTGGGAAGTGATATAAAAATAAATGGACACTAGCTTTCTTAGACTTAGGACTGACAAAAGGACACAGGGCATCTCACTACTTATGTTGACTACTCATAGGTATCTTCAACACTGGCAAAATAAACTGGCAATGAAATTGACTTTGACTTCAGGCTGGAGTGCAGTGGTAGGATCTCACTGCAGCCTTGACCTCCCGGGCTCAAGTGACTATCCCACCTCAGTCTGGGACTACAGGCATGAGCAACCAAGCCTGGCTAATTTTTTATTGTATTTTAGAGACGAGGCCTGGTTCTGTTAGACTGCAGTGGCACAATCACTACTCAGTGCAGCCTTGACCTCTAAGGCTCAAATGATTCTCCCGCATCAGCCTCATGAGTAGCTGAGACTACAGATGTGCACCACTGCCTCCAACCATTTTTTTTTTTTTTTTTTTTTGTGGAGACCGGGTCTTGCAATGTTTTCCAGACCAGTCTCGAACTTCAAGGCTCCAATAATCCACTCGCCATGGCCTCCCAAAGCCGGGTGAGCCATGCGCCAGGACTGCTTTTTTTTTTTTTTAACGCAATCTTACGCAGCTCACTGGTATTAAACTTCCAAAGCTTGTTAATCACGATTTTGCCTCGTACCCACCCTGCTTTTTTTTTTTTTTTTCCTTTTGAGACAGGGTCTCCTTCTGCCACCCAGACTGGAGTACAGTGGCACGATCCGTGCAACCTCCATCTCCCGGGTTCGAGCGATTTTCCTGCCTCAGCCTCCCAAGTAGGGGGACTACAGGCACCCACCACCACGCCCGGCTAATTTTTGTATTTTTAGTAGGGATGGGGTTTCGACATGTTTACCAGGCTGGTCTCGAACCCCTGACCTCAGGTGATCCGCCTGCCTCGTCCTCCCAAAGTACTGGGACTACAGGCGTGAGCCACCGCGCCCGACCTCCGCCCGGCTTACTTCTCTATCCAAGAAATCGCCAACTAGACTGAAACGAGCCTCTCCCCGAACCCTCCAGCATGTGGCCGGATCAGGCAGAAGAATCGCCTGTATGGGACACTGGGGCCCCACGGCGGCTGCGGGGCAAGGGCGGCCGCTACCTTGTTGAGCCGGTCGTCGTCCGCCTCGATACCCACGCTGTCCAAGATCTTCTTGATGTCCTTGGCGCTGGGGGAGGAGTTGCCCCCTAGGGCAGCCAGCAGGTAGGAGGCGACGTAGCGCATCCTGAGGCGGGCGGAGAGGACGCGACGGCGGAGTTACCCCGGCGGCCTCCTGCCGGCCCATCCCGGGGCCGCCGGGCGAGGCCGCGCGTGGCTCGGCCCGTAGGCCTCCGTCCCAAAAATACCCCGCCGCCCACCCCGCATCCCCACGGACTCCGCGTCCCCAGCCGGCACCCCGGGCCCGGTCACCACACTCACGCGGCGGCGTCTGCGGCGGAGGCGGCGGAGAAGTCTCACGCGTGCGACCTCGGTGGCGACAGGGAGGAAAAGGAAGGCGCCGACGCAAGAGGCGGGGTTAAACCGCTACCCAGAAGGCTCTGGGACCCGTGCGCGGCGCCGCATGAGGCGCCTCAGAGTGACGTCACGAGGCGCTCAGCCAATGACGACGGGGAGGGAGTCGTTGACTCCTTCCCCCTCCCCCTTCCCAGCCCCCGTCAGGCACTTTTCGCGGCAAAGGCGAAGGGCAGCAGTTCCGGAAGTGACTGCTCTTATAGCGTGGGGCGAAGGGCCACCGAAACTCGTGGGGGCGTTGGACGAAGCGAGTCCAAAGGGACGGCATCTGCCTTCGGTACCTAGCACCCCCAGCATGCCACGCGGCGCCTACAGCTCCCAACATGGAGCGCGGCCGCCACGCCCGGGACTCAACCTTTGCCAGCGAACTGCAAGTCCCATGGTGCACCGCTGCCGGAAGTGGCCTGCGCCGCGGGCCTACCCGGAACGGCGCGTGGGCCCGGGCAGAAGCTGCTGGCGGTAGGCTCGCCTTGACTCCTTGGTGGTTCCCTGGCCGCGGCGACCGGTGGTCCCACGTCCAGCCGGGCTCAGTGAGGTGAGCCAGCCGCCTCGGACTTAGCGACTGCGGCCCTATCTGGGAGGCCGCCCCCGCACTGCGGTGTCAGGGCATCCTGTCAGAGGACGAGCGCGGGCCTTGGAGGGCAGGACAATGACGTGAGGCAGCGTCGCCCGCTCACCCCTGCGAGGAGTGAGGTCTGAGTGGTCAGCCCCTGCGCTGGCCGCTTTGGCCCGGAACTGACCTCGGTGTCCATGTGGACATCAGCACCTCAGGGACCCCGCTACATTCTCGGGTCCTGGGAGGGAACAGGGTTGGCCCTGCCTCCTAAGGACTTGAGTTCTTGTGCGAGGACGCAGGAGGTGAATAGGGAGGCGATCCGAAGGACAGGGACAGAGGGAGACTTGGTCCTCTGGGCAGCCTGAGAAAGCTTGAGCTGAGAGATGAGAAGGAGCCATCCCTGCCAATATCCCGGGCGAGCACCAGGAACAGGGTCAGATGCAGGTATCTACCGTGTTAGCAGGCAGCGCCAGCTCCCGTTGGGCTCTAACAGCAGTGCAAACCCTGGGGTGTGTATACGTCAAGCACTGGAACTCGACTTCACAGTCGCCTTCTGTGGCCTCGTTATCATTACCCCCATTTTATAGATGAGGCAGTTGGGTACAGAAAGGTTTTTTTGCTCAGGGTCACACATCTGGGGTAAAGGCGGGAAACCATCTTGGGAACAATGGGACTTTTCTTATTTTGTAATTTTTGAGACTGGGCCCCATTCTGTCGCCCAGCCTGGAGTGCAGTGGCTCGATCACAGCTCGCTGCAGCCTCAACTTCCTGGGCTCAGGTGATCCTCCCACCTCAGCCTCCTAGCGGAGACCACAGGCGTGTGCCACCACACCCGGCTAAAATTTTTTGGTAGAGACAGCGTTGTCCAACATGGGCTCAAGCGATCCTCCCACCTGGGCCTCCCAAAGTGCTGGGATTACAGGCGTGAGCTACCGCGCCCGGCCCCAACTTTTTTTTTTCTTTTTTTCTGAGGAGTCCCACTGTTCCCCAGGTTGGAGTGCACTGGTGAGATCTTGGCTCACTGCAACCTCTGCCTCCTGGGTTCAAGCGATTCTCCTGCCTCAGTCTCCTGAGTAGCTGGGATTACAGGCACCCACTACCATGCCCGGCTAATTTTTGTATTTTTAGTACAGACGGGGTTTCACCATGTTGGCCAGGCTGGTCTCAAACTCCTGACTTCAAGTGATCTTCCCACTTCCGCCTCCCAAAGTGCTGGGATTACAGGCACGAGCCACTGTGCCCAGCCCCATCTCACTTTTTTTTTATTATCCCAAACAAACTCTGTACCTATTAAAGTCCCTATTCCCTGCTCCCCCACCCTTGATAAACACATTCTACTTTCTCTTCCTATGATTTTGACAACTGTAGCACCCCGTAAGACTGAAATAATACAGTATTTTGCCTTTTGTGTCTGGCTTTTTTCATTCAGTGTATTTTCAGATTTCAAGTACCTACCTAAAAGGTAGATGCTAAGACAAATTTAATATAAATACAGAGTAGTTTATGTGGGCCAGGCTTGAGGATTGCGTCCTGGGAACATAGATTCAAGTTGCCCTGAATTTACACTTTGAGGAGCAGCAGTTATAAGTGGATTCTATTTATTTATTTATTTTTGAGACTGAGTCTTGCTCTGCCGCCCAGGCTGGAGTGCAGTCGCGTGATCTTGGCTCACTGCAACCTCTGCCTCCCAGGTTCATGCCACTCTCCTGCTTCAGCCTCCCAAGTAGCTGGGACTACAGGCGCCTGCTACCGCGCCCGGCTAAGTTTTTGTGTTTTTAGTGGAGACGGGGTTTCACCGTGTTAGCCAAGATGGTCTCGATCTCCTGACCTCGTGATCTACCCTCCTCGGCCTCCCAAAGTGCTGGGATTAGAGGCGTGAGCCACCACGCCCGGCCTATTTTTTTATTTTTTTGAGACGGAGTATTGCTCTGTAGCCCAGGCTGGAGTGCAGTGGCGCAATCTCAGCTCACTGCAAGCTCCGCCTCCCGGGTTCACACCATTCTCCTGCCTCAGCCTCCCGAGTAGCTGGGACTACAGGCGCCCGCCACCACGCCCAGCTAATTTTTTAGTAGAGACAGGGTTTCACCTTGTTAGCCAGGATGGTCTCGATCTCCTGACCTGATCCACCCGCCTCGGCCTCCCAAAGTGCTGGAATTACAGATGCGAGCCACAGCGCCCAGCCTGTTTTTTTTTTTTTTTTTGAGAGGGAGTCTCACTCTCACCCAAGCTGGAGTGCAGTGCCGAGATCTCAGCTCACCGCAACCTCCGCCTCCCGCGTTCAAGCCATTCTCGTGCCTCAGCCTCCCCAGTAGCTGGGATTACAGGCGCCTGCCACCACACCTGGGTAATTTTTGTATTTTTAATAGACACACGGTTTCACCATATTGGCCAGACTGGGCTTGAACTCCTGACCTCAAGTGATGCGCCCACCTCAGCCTCACAAAATGTTGGGATTACTGGCGTAAGCCACAGCATCAGGCCTGTGGTTGGTTTTTAAAAAGATCTCTTGGCCGGGTGCGGTGGCTCAAACCTGTAATCCCAGCACTTTGGGAGGCCGAGGCGGGTGGATCACGAGGTCAGGAGTTCGAGAACATCCTAGGTAACACGGTGAAACCCCGTCTCTACTAAAAATACAAAAAAATTAGCCGGGCGTGGTGGTGGGCGCCTGTAGTCCCAGCTACTCAGGAGGCTGAGGCAGGAGAACGGTGTGAACCCTGGAGGTGGAGCTTGCAGTGAGCCGAGATCACGCCACTGCACTCCAGCCTCTGGGACACAGCCAGACTCCATCTCAAAGAAAAAAAAAAAAAAGATCCCTCCAGGCCCTACATGGAAGGGGCTGGGGTGAATGGAAGCAGGGAGGCCTGGAAGAGACCTGCCTGTCCCAGAGGGAGGGATGGTGGTAGCTGGGAAATGGAAGGAAGAAGGAGCCGCCGATATGACCTCAGGAAAGAAGCAGGCATAGCTGGTGGTGTCTGTTCCCTCCCTAAACACCTGCTCTCCTGGGCGAGGAAGCTGGTGAATAAAGCACAGGCCCGCTCGGGGGTATCATGTTGGTGGGGAAGGAGGAGCCGCTGATATGACCTCAGGAAAGAAGCAGGCATAGCTGGTGGTGTCTGTTCCCTCCCTAAGTACCTGTTCTCCTGGGCGAGGAAGCTGGTGAATAAAGCACAGGCCCGCTCGGGGGTATCATGTTGGTGGGGAAGGCGGACAGGGCAGATTTCAGGTTCTTGGCTTTGACCCTCACCAGCTACAGGGCCTCGGGCAATATCTGATTTTTTTTTTTTTTTTTTTTCAGACGGAGTCTTGCTCTGTCTCCCAGGCTGGAGTGCAGTGGCACCATCTCGGCTCACTACAACCTCCGCCTCCCGGGTTCACGCCATTCTTCTGCCTCAGCCTCCTGAGTAGCTGGGACTACAGGCGCGCATCACCACGCCCGGCTAATTTTTGTATTTTTAGTAGAGACGGGGTTTCACCATGTTGGCCAGGCTGGTCTCAAACTCCTGACCTCGTGATCCACCCGCCTCGGCCTCCCAAAGTGCTGGGATTACAGGCGTCAGCCACCGCGCCCGCTCAATATTTTATCTCTTAACGCCTCCTTCTCCCCTGCGCGATTGAAGGAGACAGTGCCAGGAGGCTCACTGCTTCTGGCCCAGAGTGATGGCTCGAAAGGAAGGGTCTTTGCAGGCCCAGAGAGGAGGTCCTGGCAGGCTTCCCGGAGGAGGCCGTTTGGGCTGGTTTGGAAAGGACACTGCAATTGTTCCGGCTTGTAGCAGGGGTGGGTGCGGGGCAGCGGCAAGAGTACCCCCGTCACCCCGGCCTGGGAACGCACCTGGGGCCGGGTCTGCCTCGGAGCGGCCCGGGGCCCCGAGAACCTCGGAAAGGGCGGGTTTCGTGGCCTTCCGGGCGGGGGAGGCTGTACGGCTCCGACCCCGCGGACTAACAGGAAGCCGAGCGCTGCTGCGCGGGCGGCTCGGCAGATGGACGGGTCGCGTCCGCGTCTCCGGGGCTGCGACAGGCGGAGGGAAGGCGGGTCGGGGAGGAGCCGGGAGACCTCCCCCGTGGACCCCAGCCCGGCGGAGGGGGCGCGTCCCGAGGGGGCGGGGCCCAAGGGGCGGGGTCTGCAGTCCCCGCCCACCCAGAAACGCGCCGGCGGGATCCCAGGCGCCGAGCGCCCGCTGAGCAGCCACCCTTTGCGCGCCGCCTGCAGCGCAGGTACGCGCCGGCCTGGGCGGGCGGAGGGGGCGGCGGGGACACGTTTGCTTTTGGGAGGCTGGGGGCCGTTCCCATCCCCGACGCCCGGGGGATCCCGAGCCTGCCTCGGGGCTGGGGCCCGCCCCCCACGCCGTCTGAGCGGTGCGCGGTGCACCACCCTCCCCAGTGGACCGAACTGGAAAGGCCGGGAGAGGTTTCCTCCGGGGCTCACGAATTGGGGTCCCGGCCCCAGGACCCCGAAGCTGCCCAATGGCTCACGCCCCAGGCCCTCACCCTTACACGGCCTTCCCTGACTTTCGGGGCGCAGTCACCCCCGCGGTAGGGGAGGGTCACGGCCTTCCTGGTAAAACGGATGTAAATAGAAGGGGGACTCATCTCCAGGACTGGGGAACAGCCCCTATGACCTCGCAGCTCCACGGCTCCATTGGCCAGATTTCCAGGACCAGGACTGAAGCCTCACTACCCCGGCTTTGCTGCTCATAGCGAGGTCTCCCTGCCCGGTGCTCCTGCGAGCCATGGCGGTCCCATTCCCCAACCCTCTTTCCAGTGGTGACCCAGGCCTCCGGGGTTCAGGGTGACCACAAGGTCTCCCCCACTCTGCAGCCCAGGCCCAGATGGCCTGGCTCTAGAGCTCCCCACTCCATCCAGAGTCCCTGTTTCCCCAAAGAGAAGGGCCCACCCCGGCTCCCGCTCACTCCTCCTCCTGCCTCTGCAGCTTCCCCGGGCGCTGCCTGGACAGGCCTGCCTGCGTGCTGGGACATGTCTGGCCTCCAAGGACCGTCGGTGGGCGATGGCTGCAACGGTGGAGGGGCCAGAGCTGGAGGCAGCTGCTGCCGCAGGAGATGCTTCAGAGGATTCGGACGCAGGGTCCAGGGCGCTGCCTTTCCTGGGCGGCAACCGGCTGAGCTTGGACCTGTACCCCGGGGGCTGCCAGCAGCTGCTGCACCTGTGTGTCCAGCAGCCTCTGCAGCTGCTGCAGGTGGAATTCTTGCGTCTGAGCACTCACGAGGACCCTCAGCTGCTGGAGGCCACCCTGGCCCAGCTGCCTCAGAGCCTGTCCTGCCTCCGCTCCCTGGTCCTCAAAGGTGAGTTCCACCTGTTCTGGGCCCTGTCTCCATCTCTCGCTCTGCCCTGCCTCTGCTGCATGTTCTCAAAGGCAAACCCCAGTCCCAGCCCCAGCTCCAGGCCGCCCCTCCCGGCTCCCCAGGTGTGAACTGTTCTGCTCTTGGTCCTGTCCAGCCCCATCGCCATCCTCGGTGATCACCACCCCCAGTGTGGGGCTGGCTGGGCCCTGGCTCCTGGACCCTGACGCTGCCCAGTGGGGGTCTCTCCAGACCACAGTGCAGATGTTGTTCCTGGGGAAGGTTGTGGGTGATGGTTGTCAGCTGAGATGAGCCGGTGGTCTCCACCCCTGCCTCCTTCCATTTGCGGGCACCTCTCCAGTGTTTCTGTCTGTCTGTCCCTGTCTGGCTGGGGTGGGGGTGGGGTGGGAGGTCTGTGCCTCTCGAGCAGCTGTTTCTCTGGCTGGCAGGGTCGATCTGGGACCTCGGACCCTGGCTCTGAGGGCCACATCCGCCTCCCCCCTTCCCAGGAGGGCAACGCCGGGACACACTGGGTGCCTGTCTCCGGGGTGCCCTGACCAACCTGCCCGCTGGTCTGAGTGGCCTGGCCCATCTGGCCCACCTGGACCTGAGCTTCAACAGCCTGGAGACACTGCCGGCCTGTGTCCTGCAGATGCGAGGTCTGGGTGCGCTCTTGCTGTCTCACAACTGCCTCTCTGAGCTGCCTGAGGCTCTGGGGGCCCTCCCCGCCCTCACCTTCCTCACAGTGACACACAACCGCCTGCAGACGCTGCCCCCAGCACTGGGGGCCCTATCCACCCTGCAGCGCCTCGATCTCTCTCAGAATCTGCTGGACACGCTACCTCCTGAGATTGGAGGCCTGGGCAGCCTCCTGGAGCTCAACCTGGCCTCCAACCGGCTGCAGAGCCTCCCAGCCTCTCTGGGTGAGTAGCCCCTGCGCCCCGACACACTGGCCCCACGGGAGGGTCCCTGAAGCCTGCCTGTCTTCTGCAGGGGCCTCTGCACCCACAGGCTTGGTCCACAGCTGCCTCTTGGTTGTCCCTCCACCTCCCTGGCCTTTGAGACTCCCTCAGTGGCTTTGTCAGAGTTCTCTGAGCCCAGCTGTGGAGGAGAGTCTGAAACAGCTGCTCTGGGAGGCGGCAGCAGGAGTGTCCCAGCGCCGTGGGCTGGGCTGGTGCCAAGCCTAAGCCAGCAACTGCCCGCAGCGGGACTTCGGTCCTTGCGGCTCCTTGTCCTGCACAGCAACCTCCTGGCCTCTGTGCCAGCTGACTTGGCCCGCCTTCCACTCCTCACCCGGCTCGACCTGAGGGACAACCAGCTCCGGGACCTGCCCCCTGAGCTGCTAGACGCCCCCTTTGTGCGCCTGCAGGGGAACCCCCTGGGTGAGGCCTCGCCAGACGCCCCGAGTTCACCAGGTAGGCTTGGTGCTAGAAGGGGCAGACCTGGGATAGGACATGAGTCTCCTCACTGTCCTGAGCACATGTCTGTCCCCTGCACAGTGGCAGCCCTCATTCCAGAAATGCCCAGACTGTTCCTGACCTCAGATTTGGACAGGTATGGGGTGGGTTGAGGGGGCTGGAGGGGAGTCTGTCTGCCTGTCACTCTGGCCCCTCCGACACCTTCTCCAGAGTTCCTGGGTCCAGGCTCCAACACGTAGGCCCTTCTGGGTCTAACCTGTTGCTCGCTCCTTCCTCACTCAGCTTTCCTGTGACCCCTCAAGGCTGCTCAGTGACCCTGGCCTGTGGCGTCCGCCTGCAGTTCCCAGCGGGAGCCACCGCCACCCCCATCACCATCCGCTATCGGCTGCTGCTGCCGGAGCCAGGCCTCGTCCCCCTGGGTCCTCATGACGCCCTGCTCAGCCATGTGCTGGAGCTGCAGCCCCATGGGGTGGCCTTCCAGCAGGCATGGACAGGGCGTGGCGGGGGCAGTGTGTGGGCCAGGGCATGGCAGGGGCAGTGTGCGGGCCCGGGCATGGCTCCAGTGCTCACACCATCCTTGTCTGGCAGGATGTGGGGCTGTGGCTGCTCTTCACCCCACCGCAGGCCCGGCGCTGCCGTGAAGTGGTGGTCAGGACCCGGAATGACAACAGCTGGGGTGACCTGGAGACCTACCTGGAGGAAGAGGCACCCCAGGTGAGGGCCACCCAGGCCTGCCGGTGGCGAGTGGAGAGCTGCTGCCCTGAGCCGTGCACCTCTGCCCAGAGCCTCACCCTGGCACCTTCCACCCTGCCCCGTCCCTCCTGGATCCTGCTTCCCTATGTCCCTGGCACCTTCCACCCCACCCCGTCCCTCCTGGATCCTGCTTCCCTGTGTCCCTGGCAACTTCCACCCCACCCCGTCCCTCCTGGATCCTGCTCCCTGTGTCCCTGGCACCTTCCACCCCGCCCCGTCTCTCCTGGATCCTGCTCCCTGTGTCCCTGACTGGCTGTGCCCTGACCCAGGCTCCTGTGACCTCCTCTCTCCCCCATCCCAGCGGCTCTGGGCTCACTGCCAGGTGCCCCACTTCTCCTGGTTCCTTGTGGTTTCCCGCCCTGTGTCCAATGCCTGCCTGGTGCCACCGGAGGGGACACTGCTGTGCTCCTCGGGTCATCCTGGGGTCAAAGTCATCTTCCCCCCTGGGGCCACTGAGGAGCCTCGTCGAGTCTCCATGCAGGTATGGCCAGGACAGCACTGAGGGTGGCAGGCCGCGCCTCAGCCCACAGGCAGGTGCTCAGGGGGCCTGTCTGCCCCAGGTGGTGCGCATGGCTGGCCGAGAGCTGCAGGCCCTCCTGGGAGAACCAGAGGCTGCAGTGAGCCCCCTGCTGTGCCTGTCACAGAGCGGTCCCCCCAGCTTCCTCCAACCGGTCACCGTGCAGCTGCCTCTGCCCTCTGGCATCACAGGTGAGAGGCAGCCATGGGGCATACCTGGACCTGTGGCCATAGGGTGGAGGGGGTCTCCGGCCAGGAGGCCTCAGCTCGCTGCCCCTCCCATCCCCAGGCCTCAGTCTGGACCGCTCCCGCCTGCACCTGTTGTACTGGGCCCCTCCTGCAGCCACCTGGGATGACATCACAGCTCAGGTGGTCCTGGAGCTCACCCACCTGTACGCACGCTTCCAGGTCACACACTTCTCCTGGTCAGTGCCCCCCAGCTTTCTCAGCCCCCCTCCCCCAGTCTGTACAGCCCTCCTCACCCCCAGCTCTCCCAGGTACTGGCTCTGGTACACCACCAAGAACTGTGTGGGAGGCCTGGCTCGGAAGGCCTGGGAGCGGCTGCGGCTGCACCGTGTGAACCTCATCGCTCTGCAGCGGCGCCGGGACCCTGAGCAGGTCCTGCTGCAGTGCCTGCCCCGAAACAAGGTGGGGGCACGGGCCGGAGGGCAGCAGGGTGGTGACCAGAGGGCTGGGGTGGGGTGCAGAGCTTTGGGTCCTGAGCTGCACGGGCTTCCCCGCAGGTGGACGCCACCCTTCGGCGGCTGCTGGAGCGGTACCGGGGCCCCGAGCCCTCTGACACGGTGGAGATGTTCGAGGGCGAAGAGTTCTTTGCGGCCTTCGAGCGCGGCATCGACGTGGATGCTGGTAGGGATGCTGGTGGATGCTCCCTGCCCTGGAGGGGGAGCCTTACCGTCCTCCCCGAGCCCTCCTTGCTCAGCCCACCCCTGTCCCCTAGACCGCCCTGACTGTGTGGAGGGCAGAATCTGCTTTGTCTTCTACTCGCACCTGAAGAATGTGAAGGAGGTATACGTGACCACCACTCTGGACCGGGAGGCTCAGGCTGTGCGGGGCCAGGTGGGCGAGGGGAGTGGGTGAGGGGAGAGGCCCCCCAGGCCGCTTGGGCAGAGGACCGAACTCCGAACCCCATTCGATGCCCCTTCAGGTGTCCTTCTACCGTGGCGCGGTGCCTGTGCGGGTGCCCGAGGAGGCTGAGGCTGCCCGGCAGAGGAAGGGCGCAGACGCCCTGTGGATGGCCACTCTGCCCATCAAGCTGCCGGTGGGACTGAGGGACAGCAGAGGGGCGGGGCAGGACCGAGGCCCAGGGGTGACCAGGGTGACATGGTGGAGTTGGGGGTGGAGCCCAGGGCTTAATGCACTTTTTCCTTCCAACAGAGACTTCGAGGGTCCGAGGGGCCACGGCGGGGGGCTGGCCTCTCCTTGGCACCCTTGAATCTGGGAGATGCCGAGACCGGCTTTCTGACGCAGAGCAACCTGCTGAGTGTGGCTGGGCGTCTGGGTCTGGACTGGCCAGCCGTGGCCCTGCACCTGGGGGTGTCCTACCGGGAGGTGCAGCGCATCCGGCACGAGTTCCGGTGAGGCTCCCACTGCCCGCTGGCTGCCAGCCCCAGGGCTGAGCCCTGGCTGCCTGGAGGGCCCACCTGATTCTGACAGAAGTTTCTTCCAGGGGAGGTGGGGGAAGGGCAAACACCAGGCTGGAAAGGAAAGGTCTGGCCGCACCTGGCCCCAGGAGCCGGGAACTCCCCCACACTCCGAGGCAGAGTGTGGTGGGGGGTCCTGGGCAGGTGGACAGGACCCCTCTGTCGCCCATCCTCTGCCTGCAGGGATGATCTGGATGAGCAGATCCGTCACATGCTCTTCTCCTGGGCTGAGCGCCAGGCTGGGCAGCCAGGGGCTGTGGGGCTCCTGGTGCAGGCCCTGGAGCAGAGTGACCGGCAGGACGTGGCTGAAGAGGTGCGCGCAGTCTTGGAGCTCGGCCGCCGCAAGTACCAGGACAGCATCCGACGCATGGGCTTGGCCCCCAAGGACCCCGCTCTGCCTGGCTCCTCGGCTCCACAGCCCCCAGAGCCTGCCCAGGCCTAGGCCCCACAGACTTTTAGGCTGGCCCAGATATTCCCCAGTGGATGGGCAGAGCCCCCACCTTCAAGTCTCTCCAGTGTGTGGGGACGGGTCCCTGTGAGCAACAAAACTGCACTGTTTCTTTCACCTCAGAGCTTGATTTATTTGTTGGATGGAGAAGCCGTTGGAGGGCGGAGGGTGGTGGGGTAGAGGCCTGGCCCCTGCGGGGAGGGAGGCCTGTGTGCACAGGTGCCCCACATCCTGGTCCTGTCCTCTCCCACTGTGCCTGGGGCCTCCTGTGGGTCCTCATCTTCCTGGGAGGGAGGAGCTGTGCTACAAAGTAACCCACATGGGCTACTTTTTTTTTTTTTTTAAATGGAGTTTCTGTCACCCAGGCTGGAGTGCAGTGGCATGATCTCAGCTCACTGCAACCTCTGCCTCCCAGGTTCAAGCGATTCTGCGTCACCCTCTCAAGTAGCTGGGACTAGGGCACTTGCCACCACGCTGGCTAATTTTTGTATTTTTAGTAGACGGGGTTTCACCATGTTGGCCAGGCTGGTCTCGAACTCCTGACCTTAAGTGATCCGCCTGCCTCGGCCTCCAAAAGTGCTGGGATTGCAGGTGTGAGCCACTGCGCCCAGCCCCAAGTGGGGTGCTTTGGATACAAAGTCGCTGTTCGGCGGGTGGGGTTGTGCCTCCACTTCTCCATTGCGCTGGCCCAGCAGTTCCACGGATCACCTGTGTCTGCCCTGGAGGCCACGCCTCCCCCAGGGCACCCTCATCCACCGGCGCTCTGCCACCTGCCCGCGCCCCGCGGGTCCTTGTGCCTGCAGGGGCCTGAGGCCCGGAAACCAAGAAAGGACCTTGGGGACGCGCGGCCCGGCCTCTGCGCGCAGAACTGCCACCCTGCCCGGGGGAACCCACGGCCAGGGGGCGGGTGGGCGCGTGGCTGTGGCCTGGCTGGGCGCAGTAGCCTCGACGGCCAGGAGGGGGAGCCGAAGCCCGGAGGAGGCCGAGGGCGGAGCGCGCGCGGCGCCGAGCGGACGCGCCTCCCCGCCTAGGTGCTGGCCGAGCGCGGGGCGGGCAGGCGAGCGCGGCGGCGGCGGCGAGCGTGGTGAGTGTCTGCCCGGCGGCTCCCTTCTGCTGCGCCCATCCGAACGCGGCCGGGCTGCGGGGGCGAGAGGTGCTGCGGCGGCCGAGGGAGGTGACAGCTGCCCGAACAACGTGGCCTGGCGGGCGGGAGGGGGGGTCCTGGACCAGCGGATGCTCCGATCCGCGGCTGCTCTGGCGTGAGACGCCGTGCTCGGCCCCGACGGTTCCGGGCGCGCTCCCCGCACATACGTGTCCCCGAGGGTGGGTGTCCGGGGCCCGAGCCCAAGGAAGAAAGGCCGACCCGTGTGGGACGCACACGTGGGAGTTCACCGGACATCTGTGGACACGTGCGTGGCCGGAGTCGCGGTGGCCAGGCGGAGGACGGAGCGGTCGGCTGAGCCCCAGCAGTAGGGCAGGGGCCTGAGCCGGCCTCCGAGCGCAGAGAGCGGCCCCCAACCCGCTTCTCCTTTGTCCTCTGGCCGAGGCATCGCGCAGTTGGAGTCCCCTTCCGGGACCCTCCAGCCAGCAGGATAGAAAGCACCGCCCCAAGAGGACGGGGACAGCGGGAGATTGAATGGGGAGCCGCCGGCCAGACTCGGAGCCTCACCCCCATTGCCTTTCTTGGGGGTAGGAGGAGCCTGGCGGCTTCTTGGGTGGAGGATTTTACCCCTGCAGATTCGGAAGCAGCGGTATCTTCCTGTGGGGTGGTCTCTGCTCTCCTGCTGTCTCCCTGGCTTGCCTGTGGCCTCAGTTCACCTGACTATGAAGGGGGGACAGTGACGGCTCACAGCCCGGGGCCCGGCTGGGGCTGCAGGGTTTCTATAGCAACATCAGTGCAGGGGGAGGGCCCTGGCCAGCTGTCTCATAAACCAGGGGTGGGAACTGCCGAGTGAGGGCAGAGAAAGGCGGGGTTGGCGTTCAGAGGGAACCCCTGCCGGTTCTTCCCCAGGCAGAGCCCCTCACTGTCATCATTCTCCACCCAGAAGCTCCTCTCCGCTGCACTGGGTGACGTGCGGGCCCAGGCCTGCCTCTCCGCCCTGGGATCTCTGGGCCTGCTTCTCTTCTTGGGACGAATGGCCGCTCCCCACCTCGGTCGGCCTGACTTCCAGGATTGCCCCTATCATGCAGGTGTCCTCATCCCAGACTGGAGATAGGCTCCCAGGAGGAAGGGGGTTGCTCAGTCCCTGGAGGGCCAGGGTACACCCCTGGGAGGGACTAGAGTGGAGATGAAGGGCCCAGCGCAGCCCGGAGAGCTGTGGCCAGTCTGCACCCGAAGAGTGGGGCGGCAGGGGTGGGGGGGGCTAGGAGGGATCAGGTAGAAGTTCAGAGGTCAGCTTGTCACCACCACTGGCTGAGGCAGGGAAAGGCAGGTCTGACGGTGAAGCCCTGAGTGGGACGGGTGGTGGGGCAGAGGGCTCTGGGCATGCCAGCTCGTGTGCCCTCTGGACCTGCCAGGTGAGCAGGGCCTGTGGGTGGCAACAGTGGCCTCTGGCACCCAGCTAGCTCTTCCCTGTGGACAGCAGGCCTTTTTTGTGGCCCAGCATGAGGCTTCCCTGACATGCATCTGCCCCTAGCAGACACACATCCCACAGACACGAGTGGGTGTTAGCCCATCTCTGCTCCACAGCACCGGATTCCCTGTCCAGGTACATACAGGGTACCCTGGCCCGGAGAAAGCCTCATTCTCAGAGTACCAGCCCTAGACAGATCCAGGCCAGGAAATGCTATAGGGTTCAACCCACAGGCAGCAGACAGGAACACATGTGTGCTGGGGGTGTGGTGGCCACGCGCTGAGGTCCCTGTCGGTGGGTGGCCTCGCTGTGCCAGGTCAGCCTGAGTCAGACCCACCCCTGCTCATCTCTCCTCTCAAGGCTGCCGGAAGCCTCTGCTTGCCCAAAGTGAAAGAGAAAGTGCCCCCCCACCCAAGCCCGCCCCACCCCGCCCCACGGCCAATCCCTGCGGCCCCTCGCCTCCTCCCCCGGCAGCTTCCCCTTCTGTGTGAGTGCTGGGCTGGAGTGTGGAAGAGCCATCCAGAGTGAGTGCCTGGGGCAGAGTGAGAGCAGGACCAGCGGGCAGGTGGCGGAGCGGGGGTCGGTGGTGGATGGCCCAGCCCTGGAAAGCCGAGGTGAAGGTTACGAGTCCCTGAGGATCTGTGGGTGTGAGCCAGCCGCGTGGCCCTGGGCAACGGCGCTGCCGGTGGGTGAAACAGCTGGCCTCTGGGGGGCCCAGGGAGGGGGGAAAGGCCCCCGAAGCTGGGATTTTATGGCCATGACCCTATGGGAGGCCCCTGAGGCTGGCTGTGGCTCCCCAGCCTTGCTGCTTAGTGGGAGAGGCCTGTCCTCTCCTCCTCTGTAGTGGATGGGGGTGCCAGCCACAGGGGGCCTCAGAAGGCCAGCCATCCCCCACCCCCAAGGCTTCCAGGGGTCCCATCACTGGCTTCTGTGTGTCCATGAGTGAAACTCCTGGGAGGGGTGGAGGGGAGGAAGGGGCGGGCAAGGGGCTGGCTGTGGGGGGTGTGGGCATCGTGGGGAGGAGCTCTGCAGGCCCTAGGTGGAGCTGCCATGGGAGGAGAGCTATACCTGGGATAGCTGAGCCCAGGTCGGGGGGTCTTAGGGCGCCCGGGACCCCAGCCCCTAGCTCGAAGGGGGCAGGTGCCGGCTGCTGCTCTCTCTGTGCTGAAGGATGTGGGGGATGGTCACCACAGCTGTCCAGGTCGAGGTGCTCCGGTAGGCACCCTGGCCCCGGCCCCTGGCACTGCCCCCAGAGGTGCCTGGCCCTTTAAAAGCCGGAGCTGGCTGGGGTGCACGTGAGCCCCGAGCGTGAGCGGCGTGTGAGGCTGGCTGGGAAGACGCTGGCGGTGGGGAGGGGGGGACTGAAAGGAAGCCAGGTGGTCCCAGGGGTGAGCATGGGACTGGGTGGCAGGTGCCTCCCGCTGCTGCACCCTCAGGACGCAGTGACGGCTTCAGTCTGGGGTGGTGGGTGAGGGGCTGCGTGAGAGAGGGAGGCTGGGGGAGGATTACTCTTCGGGTGGCCCCACCCTCACTCATTCCCATTCCCTCATCCTTCTAGGACAGAAGTGGCGGTTGCTGACGCCTGGAAATTCCCCTGAAGGTGGAGCACCACCCAACCCCCCTGGGTCCCACCCTCCCTCAAGGCCTCCTCCACCTCCACCTCCACCCCGCCTGGCCTGGCGTCCACCTCTGCGGCTCCTACCTGGGTGCAATCGAGTTAAATGGCTGATAAGCAGATCAGGTCAGACTCCAGTCCTGGCTGCGTGCCTCACCCCCACCCTGACCCATGGTCAAGGAAGCCGGTCCTGACACCCCTGTCCACACAGCCTGCCAGCCAAGCTCATCAATGGCGGCATCGCCGGGCTGATCGGTGTCACCTGCGTGTTTCCCATCGACCTGGCCAAGACCAGGCTGCAGAACCAGCAGAACGGCCAGCGCGTGTACACGAGCATGTGAGTGTGCCGGGCGGTCGCGGGGAGTGGGCCCAGCATGTGGCAGCAGGAGAGGTGGGGGCTCTGCTCCTGTGCCCCCCACCCTGTTTGACAGAAGGGAAACGGGAGGCAGGCGGGCCTAGGGGAGATCCCACGTGGGTCAGGACTGGGGTCGGGGCTGGGCTGAGGACTTGGCCTCTTCTATCAGCCCTAGACAGTCCAGGGACCCTGGCCTCCGGCTGGCCCCAGCTGGCCCTGGCTCACCCTGTCCCCTTGGCCACAGGTCCGACTGCCTCATCAAGACCGTCCGCTCCGAGGGCTACTTCGGCATGTACCGGGGTGAGGTTTGGCTCGGCTGGGCTCGATATGGGCAGGCCTGGGTAGCGCCCGCGAGTCGTGGCAGGGAGCGGTGGGGGAGGCAGGGCAGGGCGGCCAGCCTGGGCCTGGTGTGTGAGCGTGGACGTGTTTGTGGGGGCTGTGCCTGTGCAGGGGGGACTGGATCTCTGGTGAGTGGTAGTTCTCAGCCTCTCCCGTGGCAGCTCCCCACCCCCACTTAGTGCCTGGTGCGTGGGATGCCATGGTACATCTGTCTCTTCTCTGGTGGCCACAGCTGCCTCTGCCTTCTGGGCCAGGCTGGACCCCGTTTGTGGCTGGGGATGGGAGGGAGTAAGGGGCATTACCGCAAAGCAGCTTAGGACACAATCCAGAGCCTAGATTTGGCAGAAGCTCTCCAGCCCTGAGCCTTCGGCACTGAGATGGGGGCTCTCCACAGCCTCCCCCGAGCTCTGGCCCAGTCCAGACCACACACTCCTGTGACCTCTGGCCCCAGCCCCCTGCCAGCACAAGCACCATCTGTCCTCCAGGGAGGGAGAGGTATCCTAGGGAGGCCTCAGGGGCTCCGGGGCAGTCCTCATGCCCTGAGCAGCAAGATGCTGCCCAGAATCAGAGACAGATGGAGCTGCAGTGGGCATGGGAGAGCCTGAGCCTGAGGTGCTGCCCCATCCCTGCCTGGCCCCGCCCCACCTGGCACACACCAGGCCCAAATGTGGGTGAGAGAACAGATGGTGGCCAGGAGTGACTGGGACAGGGTTTTGCCAGCCAGGAGGCAAGTCCTGGCCAAGCGCCTCCCCACTCAGGCCACCGAGCATGTCCCCCCAGCTGACCCCCTGCCCCACAGGAGCTGCTGTGAACTTGACCCTCGTCACCCCCGAGAAGGCCATCAAGCTGGCAGCCAACGACTTCTTCCGACATCAGCTCTCTAAGGACGGGTGAGGGTTCTGCCTGGCAGACACTCGAGGGGTCTTTGGCTTCAGATAAAGGATGGGTCCACCCTGCCAGCTGGGTCCCACCTGGGGGCTCTGCCTGTCTTCAGCCCCTTGCTTGGGGCTTCTTTGACCTCGTGGGGCACCCTCCCTCCTTTCCCCTGACCAGGGGAGCAAAGCAGATGTCAAATCAGTGGGGCTCTGGCTTGGTAGCCCTTGGCCTGAGGGCACTGACCAGCTCCCCCATCACTGGAGGGGGACTGCAAGGGCAGCCCCTTTTTGGGGCACTTGACCCCCAATTTCCCATTTTCCTTTGTCGCAGACAGCCCCACTGCCCTCCCCAGGCCCCTGCCTGTGGGGCCGTCTGTCCATCGGTCTCCTCCCTGCCTGCTGCTGCAGTGGCGGAGGCTGGGGGCTGTACCCCCACAGGCCTGCATCTGCCTCCACGGCTCCCACCATCCTCTGCGCCCAGGCATGGTGGGCAGCCCCGAGGGTGGCAGGTAGACCTGTCTCTTCCCACTTACTGCGGCCCCGCCCCTACCACAGGCAGAAGCTGACCCTGCTTAAAGAGATGCTGGCGGGCTGTGGGGCTGGCACCTGCCAGGTGATCGTGACCACGCCCATGGAGATGCTGAAGATCCAGCTGCAGGATGCAGGGCGCATTGGTGAGGGCGGGGGGAGGGGGAGGAGAGGGCAGAGGTGCGGGAAGAGGTGAGGGCGAGGGGAGGGTGGGGACGCAGGGAGGGCCAGAGCGTGTCCCCTGCCCAGTTCGCACAGAAGAGGAGACAGCAGCCTCTTTGTCCCCAGCCGCCCAGAGGAAGATCCTGGCTGCCCAGGGCCAGCTCTCGGCCCAGGGGGGTGCCCAGCCCTCAGTGGAGGCTCCAGCTGCCCCTCGGCCCACGGCCACCCAGCTGACCCGCGACCTGCTGCGGAGCCGTGGCATTGCCGGTCTCTACAAGGGACTCGGGGCCACGCTGCTCAGGTAGGAGGCACAGGGCAGGTGGGGGGAGGGAAGGGGGAGGCCGGCCTGCCCACCCCACCACCTCCTGTCCCCACGGCCACCTCCCTCCCCACAGGGATGTCCCCTTCTCTGTGGTGTACTTCCCGCTCTTTGCCAACCTGAACCAGCTGGGCCGCCCGGCGTCCGAGGAGAAGTCGCCTTTCTACGTGTCCTTCCTGGCCGGCTGTGTGGCTGGGAGTGCCGCCGCTGTGGCCGTCAACCCCTGTGATGGTCAGTGCATGGGATGGCGCCCGGCTGGGGATGGGGCGGGACTGAGCCCTTGGCCAGGCTCACACTGACCCGAGCGCCCCTTGCAGTGGTGAAGACGCGGCTCCAGTCACTTCAGCGAGGCGTCAACGAGGACACCTACTCTGGGATCCTGGACTGTGCCAGGTGGGGAGGTCCCACGGCGGGTGGGGCCTGGGGGCCTGCGTACCGGGCTGACCCTTTCGTCCTTCCTCCACAGGAAGATCCTGCGGCACGAGGGCCCCTCGGCCTTCCTGAAGGGCGCCTACTGCCGCGCGCTGGTCATCGCGCCCCTTTTCGGCATCGCACAGGTGGTCTACTTCCTGGGCATCGCGGAGTCCCTGCTGGGGCTGCTGCAGGACCCCCAGGCCTGAGCCCAGCACCCGCTCCACCCCAGCCAGCTGGGCAGGGCCGGTGTGGGGCTGGAGCCAGGCAGCTAGCCCAGGACGGAGCAAGGGAAGACCCCTCCCCAGCCCTCCCGTCGGCAGGGGCAGCAGGGGGCAGGGTGCAGGGTCCACATAGGTGGTGCACACGCAAGCCCCCCGGGGTGCTGCCTGCACCGTTGGGATCAATGTCTCATTTATGTAGAAAATGCAGAAATCTTTACATTCCTCAAGCTAGCCCCTGCCCCAATCCTGCCCTGGCCTGAACACCCCCAGGGACAGAGCTGGTCTCTGGGCTGGGGGCCCCCGGGCCTGGGCCGGGCAGGCTGGACCATACCCCCAGTCCACCAGCTCCAGTCTCCACAGCCATCCTGGCCCACACAGGCACCCCACACAAACCTATTTATTGAATCTGCTGGACCCAAGCGGCTCTCCAGCCCTTCCGTCCTTCCCCAGCCGCTCTTGTCGCCTTGGCAGGACTTGACTCTGCCTCCCTGGCCAGCCTTGCAAGAGGACTGGGGTCTCCTGCCCTCTCTGTTGAGCCAGGAATCCCAAGTGAGGGGTTGCCCTGAGGTCTGACTCTTGGGGCAAGCCCGCCACCCACTGTGGGACTTTCTGGTGGGCTCCTCAGCTCCCACCCCAGGCTGGGGCCCAGATTGTGAGGTCTGTGTGCATGTGTGTGTGTATGTGTGTGTGCATGCGTGTGTGTGTTGTGGGGATCTGGCCTGGCCCTTGGGGATGGGGCTGCTGGGGACTGCCCCCCTTCCCGCCGTGGCCAGGCGCTCTGTGTGCTGTGTGTGCCCCAGGCTCTGTTGACCCCGTCCAGGAACTAACTTACCCAGCTTGGTCTCTCCTGAGTCCTCCACCCTGGCCTGGGATTGGCCAGGGAGCAGGGCGGGCATTGGGACCAGTGTGGAGCCTGAGGGTGCCTGCCCTGCTCTGGAGGGAGGGCCAGGAGCTGCCACACCCCCAAGTCCTCTCAGGGCCCACCCTCCTTTTTCAGCCTCTGCATAAGGCCCCTGGGTACACTGCAGAAGCCCCATCCTTCCCGCCTCCGGGCATAAGGCCCCTGACCACACTTCAGAAGCCCCATCCCCCCTGCCACCGGGCGATCCCTGCTGTGAGCCGAAGCTCTCCCTGCCCCGCCCTGGCCATGTGATCGTGTTGGTGACAGACCCTGATGTGCTGGTGCTGTGTCCCCAAAACCGGGGCCCTCCACAGAGGCCCCTTCCCAGCGACACTACCTGGGGCTCAGGCCTGGACCCCCCCAGTTCACGGTTGCTCCTGGGAGCTGCCCCTCCCGTCACATCAGAACCTTGGAAGCTGCTGCTGCTGCTTACAGAATTATATTTTTTTCTTTTGAAGAGTTTTAAGAAGTTGTAACTTTTTGTGTCTTGTCATGTCAGAGAATAAATAAATATTCTAAGTAGATGCTGCTGTCTGTCTGGGGGTCTGTTTGGGGGCGGGGGAGGGCAGTCCCCTCTTCCCATAACTGGCTCCCTTCAGACTGCAGGGCTAGGCCTGCGCACCCACCCACCGACCCCTCACCCACCGACCCGTCACCCACCGACCAAGGGGCACCCTGGCCTAGAGGGGATGCTGAGCGGGACCCGCCTCCTGCCTCTGGCAGTCCCAGATGGGACTTGGACCCCGCAGTTGCTCTCTCGGACCCTAAGTTTCTACCCCTGGATCTAAGGCGGAGCTGGGTTTGCGGATCCCACGGTTCCCGGCGGGGCGGGGCCCGGTCGCCCCTCCCCCTCCCCGCCCTCCTGCGCCGGGAGCAGTGCATTGTGGGAAACTCCCGAGCTCTCCTCCGCGTTCGCAGCCGCCGTCATCCCGCGGAGGAGCGCGCAGCCCCGGGGAGGCCGGAGGACGCGTAAGGCGGGGGGCTCCCGGCGGGCGGGGCGGGCGGGGCGGGCGCGGCGTCCTGCGGGGCGAGGAGGCGGCTCCGGGCCTTGAAGGTCACTGGGTTTGCGCGCGGGCCCCCCAGTTCTCCAGGGCTCAGTTGATCCCGGGAGAGGGAGGCGGCGGCCGGGATGTAAGTGCCACAAATAGCGAGGTTGGGGGGGCAGACCACCTGCTCTTTGCAAACTTGATGCCCAGCAGCTGAGCCCCCCGAGAACTGCAGGGGTGAAGGGACGGCTGGGCTTCCCTGGGAGGTGGCAGCAGCTGGGCCTCTTCTGGAGACGCCCTCATCATGCTGTGACCTTCGGGTGACCTTCAGTGTGGTCAATGCACCTGGCGGGGGGTGGGGAACGTGCCTCCCTTTCTCTGCAGGTCTGGAGGGCATTTCTCATCCTTCCCTGGGAGAGGCAGACAGGCGGCCTCTGGGGCTTTGGGGCAAGACCCACTCAGGTTCAGGGCGGCTGGGCCCCCAGGGCCCTTCCCACCTCTGCCTCGGTCATTGAGAATCTGGGCACCGCCTTTCCCACAGCCCAGAACCCTGTCCTCCGCCCTGACCCGCGGGCCAAGTGCAGCATGTGCCCACCCTGTTTAACGCCAGGAACCCTCTGCCCACAGAGACAGCACAGCCTTGGGCTGGGCGAGGACTCCCTGCTCCAGGGCTGGAGGCAGGCACGGCCCATGCTGAGGAGGGGGCCCCAGAGGCTGGGGAGGGGCAGACGGCCCTTGGAAGCACAGCCCCACGCTGACTTCCTGGAGAGACACCCCAGTTTTCTCAAGTCTGGGTTCTTGTGGGCCCACCCACCCTGATGGCTGCCTGAGATCCCAGCTCCTGCCCCTCCCCGCCCTCCTCCCCCTGGGACCCTGGCCAGGTCACAGCCTCCGTGCTTTAGTGTCCATCTCTGCAAAGCAGGAATGCTCTCCTGAGGAGGGGATGCAGTCAGCTCTCCCACTGGGGCTCCGATCACCTCCTTGGAGGGGAGAATGCTCTTCCTTCGAGTTCTCTGGGCCTGATCCTTACTTCCCCACCAAGAGCCTCCTGCCCCCGGCTGGTGGGAGGATGTGGCATTTGCATGGGCCATTTTATGGAGCACAGTGGGGTCCCCTACCTCCTCCCACCTGTGCGTGGCCCTTGCCTCTGCGGCTGGAGGGGCCCCTTGAGGAGTGGTCATGGACAGATGGAGTCCAGGCCGTGAAAGAGAAGTGTCAGAGGCCCACGGGAGGCCCCTGAGCTGGGGCTCCAGAGAGTCCAGAGAACTGGGCAGGGGCTGCCTGGGGACCAGGTGGTCGGGGCAGCACAGGGGGGACTGGACCCGCGCGCAGCCTCCCTTGTGTCTCCCTCCAGGCCCATAGAATGCCCAGGGGCGACAAACTGTCCTGAGCCCCTCTGGTGCAGCCACCTGCCTGTCCCATACGCCCCGCCCACCATGGAGTCCAGAGGGAAGTCAGCCAGCAGCCCCAAGCCCGACACCAAGGTGCCCCAGGTCACCACCGAGGCCAAGGTACCCCCGGCAGCCGATGGGAAAGCCCCCTTGACCAAGCCCTCGAAGAAGGAGGCCCCGGCCGAGAAGCAGCAGCCGCCAGCAGCCCCCACCACGGCACCTGCCAAGAAGACCTCGGCCAAGGCCGACCCTGCCCTTCTCAACAACCACAGCAACCTGAAGCCAGCCCCCACGGTCCCCAGCAGTCCCGATGCAACCCCGGAGCCCAAGGGTCCTGGGGACGGGGCGGAGGAAGATGAGGCTGCCAGTGGGGGGCCTGGGGGCCGAGGTCCCTGGTCCTGTGAGAACTTCAACCCCCTGCTGGTGGCTGGGGGTGTGGCCGTGGCAGCCATAGCCCTGATTCTCGGTGTGGCCTTCCTGGTCCGGAAAAAATAATACCTGGGGGCCAGGCGGGGGGCACGGAGCCACTTCCTGTACAGACCCGAGGAAGCCAGTGCATGCAGAGTTCACCCTTACCTATTCGTACACACGCACATTCATTACACACCTACATACGCCCCCAACACACGCGCACGGTGAAGAGGACGCCCGAGCCCACCCCTGCTGACCCAGGACTTCCCCAACCTCCAGGGCAGAAAGAGCCCAGGCTCCGGGGTCCACAGCACAGGATGTGGGGCGAGGGCACAGCTGGGGAACGGCAAGAAAGGAATGGACCCTGTGTGTGGCCCCCCCCACCCCTGGCGGCTGGGTGATCCTGGGCCCCCAGGGCTGGTCTGAGTGCAGGTGGGGGTGCCGGGATGGGTTGGGCCTGGGCCCGGCCCTCGTGGGGACATTAAAGGGCGCGGTGGCTCCACTCGCCCCATTTCTGCTCTTTGCGTACCCCCCGGGGGTCTGCCTGGGCGAATGCAGTGGGACGGACCTGGGGTGGGCACTCACCTCAGCAGAGCCTCAATGCCACCTCCCCACACCACCCAAGCCTAGCTGGGTGGGAAGACGGAGCCCTGAAGCCTGCGTGTGGAGGGGGTGCTGCCCAAGGGTCGCCTTCCCCAGCTTGTGCTCCAGGGGAGCCCCGACGCCGGCGGGGAGGCAGGGATGTCGAGGGCCCCTCACAGCTGTGCCCGCCCTGCCCCGCTAGACTGCCCCTCCAGCTTGCACCCAGCACCACCTGAGTCTAACCAGCGTATAATGCAATAACAGGTAGAGTAGAACTGCTTTTGGCGGCGACCGTCACACACTGTCCTCAGCCCACTGCACCTGGGGAAGCCCCTCGTGCAGCCCCTCCTTAGCACATCCAGTCCCAGCGTGGCCCTTGGCGCGCAGCAGCAGGCGAACTCCCAGAAGGTGGTGGTGGGCACTGTGAGAACGTGGCCTGCCCTCACTGGCCAGTGGCCACAGGAACCCCGGGCCTGAGTGGAGGCTGAGTCTGAAATAAACTCTGTCGTCTGAAGGCTGCTCTTGCATCCTCATCTGCATGTGGCTGGGAGACGCAGGGTCGCATGTGTCACGCCCACACCCCAGGCTTTCCAGGGAGGGATGCTGCATCCAGGACCCTCTGACGGGACCCCCTGTCACTCCTATGCCCTTATTCCAGGGGCCTCGGCCCGGATCGCCACCCAGGCCCTGCTCCATCCTCCTCCCTGGCCTTCCTGTGGGTCCTGACCCAAGATGGACACCCAGGGGCTACAGGACCAGGAAGCAGTGAGGACATGGGGTGCGGGGAGGGCAAGCCCTGCTTCTCAGGCTGAGCTCTCCAGCCAGGCAGGGGCCCTTCCGCAGCCCCCACTGCAGCGAGCCCCACATCCTGAGTGCAGAAGAGGCTCCCCTCAACACCTCTCATCCATGGACCCCAGCCCACTCTGACCAGGTGTCCAACCGGCGGGCCTGCTGGTGGGCCTGGCCACGGGTGGGGCTGCAGCATGCGGGCCAACAAGCAGCAAGGCCTGCGGTGCCTGGGAAGGGCTCCTTTGAGCTCTGTCTTCCTGGCTCTGGGTCTCACCCGACAGGTGGCTGAGGCCAGCAGACAAGAGCTCCCTGACCACCTCCTCCCCCAAGCCTTCTTCCAGCTGGTGTGGGGGGACAGCCATGTCTTCCTCCTGCCCTTCTGGCACCTGGCACACTCCCTCCCCAGAGCAGCAGTCCTCGTTCATGCACCCACACCCAGGCCCAGACAGATACGGAGGTCCCACGGGGTAGAACCAGCTAAAACCGACACTGTTGCTCCCACCCAGGCCGCCCTGCGACAGCCTCCCTCGACTCCCACTCATGCTGCTGCCTCCTAGAAGTCAAGGAGGCAGCCTATCCCTTGAGCCCGTTGATCTGAGCCCAGCGTACAGAGAAGGCTCTGTGCAGACACTGCTCACACCTCCAGCTCCCAGCTCACCTGCCCCACAGGTGCCAGGATACCTCTCTGACTGGCCAGCAGGGCCCCTCACCATCCTCAGCCTGCCTTCCAGTCGCCCATTCTCTCCATTCTGCGGCTCGTGCTTTAAAAGCAACCAGCCAACCCTTTCTGATATAGTAGGGGACTTGAAAGGGGCTAAGAAGACTGAAGATGGTCTGCCACCTTTAACCACAAGGCTTGGCGCTTTGGTGCTGATATTCCACCCACGATGCTGCCTCATTTTACTTAGCGATTCTCTATTAAACGATGCTTAGATTTTCCAAAACTTTTTCAACTTCAGACAAAGCAGGAATGAAAATCCTTGTAGGCTGGGCACGGTGGCTCACACCTGTAATCCCAGCACTTTGGAAGGCCGAGGTGATAGATGGCTTGAGCTCAGGAGTTTGAGACCAGCCTGGCCAACACAGTGAGACCTCTGTCTGTACAATAAAAATATAGCTAGGTGCAGTGGCTCATGCCTGTAATCCCAGCACTTTGGAAGGCCAAGGCGGGCGAATCACGAGGTCAGGAGTTCGAGACCAGCCTGACCAACATGGTGAAACCCTGTCTCTACTAAAAATACAAAAATTAGCTGGGCCTGGTGGCAGGCGCCTGTAATCCCAGCTACTCAGGAAGCTGAGGGACGAGAATCGCTTGAACCTGGGAGGCGGAGGTTGCAGTGAGCTGAGATCATGCCACTGCACTCTAGCCTGGGTGACAGACCGAGACTCCATCTCAATAAATAAATAAATAAAAATTAGCCAGGCATGGTGGTGTGCGCCTGTGGTCCCAGCTACTCAGGAGGCTGAGGCAGGAGGATTCCCTGAGCCAAGGAGGTTGAGGCTGCAGTGAGCTATGACTGTGCCACTGCCCTCCAGCCTGGGCAACACAGCCAGACCCTGTCTCAAACAACAACAAAAACACCAAGAAAATCTCCGTAAAACCTATTCTGGGTTTGTGGTGCAGCATACATCTTTTCTGGGTTTATTGTATAAACACAAAATCTACTGTCTTAACCATTTTGAAGTGCACAGTTCAGCAGCATCATGCGTATCCATTACCACCGTCCACCTCCAGAATGCGTCATCCCTCCAGAGACTCTGTCCCCATTACACATGGACTCCCCGTCCCCTCCCCTTAACCCCGGGCACCCACCACCTATCTTCTGCCTCAATGGCTCTCCCAAATCTAGCATTGCAGATAAATGGTATCGTGTAACATCTGTCCTTTCAATTGGCCTATTTCACTCAGGGTCCACCCATGCTGTAGTCTATTCAACTTCCCTTCCTTTTTATTTTATTTTTTGAGACGGAGTCTCGCTCTGTCGCCCAGGCTGGAGTGCCGTGGCGCAATCTTGGCTCACTGCAACCTCTGCCTCCTGGGTTCAAGGGATTCTCCTGTCTCAGCCTCCCAAAGTGCTGGGATTACAGGCGCACGCCACCACGTCCGGCTAGTTTTGTATTTTTTAGTAGAGATGGGGTTTCACCATGTTGGCCAGGTTGACTCGAACTCCTGACCTCTGGTGATCCACTCACCTTGGCCTCCCAAAGCGTTGGGATTACAGGCATGAGCCACTGTGCCCAGCCCAACCTTCCCTTCCTTTTTATGGCTGATAAAAGGATGGAAAAAAGGAAAGGAGAAAAAAAAAAAAAAAGAAAGAAAGCTCCTGGCTATTTGGGTCTCACCATTTGATTTTTCCTCTTTGTGCCATTTGTGCAATTTTTTTTTTCTTTTTTGACAGAGTCTCACTCTGTTGCCCAGGCTGGAGTGCAGTGACACGATCTTGGCTCACTGCAACCTCTGTCTCCCAGGTTCAAGCGATTCTCCTGCCTCAGCCTCCCGAGTAGCTGGGACCACAGGAACTCGCCACCACAGCCGGTTAATTTTTTTTTTTTTTTTGTATTTTTAGTAGAGATGGGGTTTCACCATGTTGGCCAGCCTAGTCTCGAACTCCTGTCCTCAAGCGATGCACCTGCCTCGGCCTCCCAAACTGCTGGGATTACAGGCGTGAGCCACTGCTCTCGGCCTGTGCGTTTTTTCTTTGCGGGAATGCTCCTCACTTGTTGCATTTCTTGCGGTGTTTTGCATCCCGAGCCCTTTGCCGCTTGCAGCATCCAATTATCTCCTCCAGTCAGCAGCCACTTGCCTTCCAGTGTTTCTGGAGCACAGACGTTCCAAAAACCCGAGTTTATCAAATTGGAACCATTCTCCCATTACCGAGTAAGCTTTTAGATTCGTGGGCAGAAGGATATCCTGCCACGTTCGAGTCTCATGTTCCTGGCATTTACTCACGCGTAGGCGTCTCATCCATCTGGCACTTAGGTTGTGTGTGGAGCGAGCCAGGGGTCTCACGTTTCTTGCCCATGAGATGGGACGGCCCCAGCGCCAGGGAGTGGATGGTCCTCTGCCAGCCCGCAAGGCGGCGCCAGCTCCTGCTCCCGCTTCCCAGCACAGCCTGTTCTGAGCCAGGCCCCACCGCCTGCGACTGTGGCTCTTTGTCATGTACTCACCTCCTTATTCCTCTCTTTAATCTCCCGCAGGTGCTCAGCTACTGGCTTCCCTCCCGGGACGAGGTCGGAGTCTCCGCCTGGGATTCTGAGGCGTGGCTTTTGCTTCACAGTGCCCCTAAACCTCAGTAGTGTAGGAAACTTTCTGAAAGGAAAACAAATTCTCAGGGATGCCCAGAACTTATCAGTTCACTTTTATTACAGAACACTTTTTTTTTTTTTTTTTGAGACGGACTCTTGCTCTGTTGCCCAGGCTGGAGTGCAGTGGCGCGATCTCGACTCCCGGGTTCACGCCATTCTCCTGCCTCAGCCTCCAGAGTAGCTGGGACTACAGGCGCCCACCCCCACGCCCGGCTAATTTTGTTATTTTTAGTAGGGACGGGGTTTCACCACGTTAGCCAGGATGGTCTCAAACTCCTGACCTCAGGTGATCCGTCCACCTCAGCCACCCAAAGTGCTGGGATCACAGGCATGAGCCACACGCCCGGCCTCAGAACACTTCTAAGGTCTAAACAAATACCAGATATAAAATGTATATAAAAAGGTCACGCTGTGAAGTCAAATCGCTTATAAGGAAATCTGGAAAACGGGAAAAAAGCAGGAAAGCTCCAACGCGCAGCATCATCTCTGGGGACAGAGGTGTCCACGGGTCTGGGGTCCGGGGACTGTCTGAGGCAGGCTGTGCCCCCCAGGCTCTGCGGGAACTCCCTGGAGACCCGCAGCTCTGAGCCTTGCTGGGAACCTGCACCAGCATCTCAAGTCCCCCATCCTCGTGTTAGCAGCCAGTGACACACGTGGCTTCCTAGGGTGCACGTAGTATTTATCACCCAGTGCAGAACGGGGTGAGCTAGGGGGAGGTTTCTCTGTTTTCCTCTCCAGCATCCCCTCCCCACTGCTGAGAGGGTGCGACTCCTCTCCCGGGACTCCCACCCTAGTGCATTCTTGGTGAGGCTGCTGATCACCTCCGGGCCCTCCCCTGGACACGGGCAGGGTCCCAGGCGGAATCCTCCAGAAGCAGGGCACAGTGAGCAAGGCCCATGGGGGCACTTTCTGCTGCAGACTCCCACCCCGGTCCGCTGCAGGTCCCGGCCTGACTCTTGGGTGTCTCCCTCGTCCCAGGGAGGGCTCCTTGCCTTTCGGTGACCAGTCCCTGAGCACCTGGACACGCTCCGATCCGCCGTCTCCAGGCCCAGGCTGAGCTTGCACTTGCCCTGGAGGCTCGACGGGCAGAGCAGGGCCTGGGTTGCCCAACTGCGTGCCCCAGGTGGGAGCCAGTCGGGGCAGGAGAGAGGTGTGTGGGACCCGCCCCGGCACATGGGAAGGAAGGCACAAGGTAGGTTAGGGTCACCCCCGACTGCAGCAGCTCCAGAAGTGTGCTTGGGAGGGAACGGCCCCACCCCTCCCCGGGGCTGCTGCACCCTGTCCTCCATGTCCTGGACACTAGGCTAGGCCAGCTTGGGACAGGGCCTGCCTCCTTGTTGCAAGCCCCTCCAGGCCACAGAGGCCGGCATGTACCACGTCTGACGTCTCTGGCCAGTTCATGCCAGCCTAGGGGGGCAGACATAGAGCCAGCAGCCCCTGTCCTCTCAAGTGCTTCTGACGCCCAGGTGAAGGTACCCTCGTGCCCCAGCCCTGGCCCAGCCTCCCTGCGTCTTAGCGGCTGTCACTTACTGTCTGCTTCCTGCTTCTGGGTCTGCGTGACTCACAGGTGCTGGGGTCTAACTATCCAGACTCCACCCAGCCCAGCCTTGGTGAAAGGGGAACCTGGCTGAGACCCCGCTGGGAAAGGGCCCTGTCTGGGCCACGTCGAGGACTGCCCAACATGCCCCTTCCCAAGAAAGAAGCCCATGTCTCCTGGTCCCAGCCCTCAACCTGAGGTCCACCTGGTAGTCGGGCTGAGCTAACAGAGGGCACCCAGGGCAGCCATCTGTGGGGGATGTTCTCAGAAGGGGGTAGAGTCGGCCCTCAGGATCTATGGGTTCCGCATCCGTGGATTCAACCAAGCAAGGATGTTAAATATTTGAAAAAACAAACATGGGTGGTTGTGCTTTTTTTTTTCTTGTTATTTCCTAAACAACACAATATAGCAACTCTTCCCACAGCAGTTACATTGTATTAGGTATTATAAGTAATCTAGAAATGAGTTAAAGTACACAGAAGGACACGTGTAGGTTATATGCAAACACTACACCATTTTTTTTTTTTTGAGATGGAGTCTTGCTCTGTCGCCCAGGCTAGAGTGCAATGGCATGATCTCTGCTCACTGCAACCTCCGCCTCCTGGGTTTAAGCGATTCTCCTGCCTCAGCCTCCTAAGTAGCTGGGATTACAGGCACGCCACCATGCCCGGCTAATTTTTTGTATTTTTAGTAGAGACGGGGTTTCAGGCTGGTTTCGAACTCCTGACCTCGTGATCCCCCCGCCTCAGCCTCCCAAACTGTTGGGATTACAGGTGTGAGCCACTGCGCACAGCCCCCCGCCCTTTTTTTTTTGAGACCAAGTCTTGCTCTGTCGCCCAGGCTGGAGTGCAGTGGCGCAATCTTGGATAACTGCAACCTCCGCTTCCTGGGTTCAAGTAATTCACCTCCCTCAGCCTACTGAGTAGCTGGGATTACAGGTTCCCACCACCACGCCCAGCTAATTTTTGTATTTTTAGTAGAGATGGGGTTTCACCATGTTGGCCAGGCTGGTCTCAAACTCCTGACCTCAGGTGATCCACCCGCCTTGGCCTCCCAAAGTGCTGGGATTACAGGCGTGAGCCACCATGCCTGGCCAAACACTACACTATTTTATAGCAGGGACTTGAGCATCTGCAGGGGTCCTGGAATCAATTCCGCATGGATACTGAGGGACATCTGTACATCTGAGTCTGTGAGTCTCTGAGGCGGTGCTTCTGGTGCCCATGGACTTCGAGGGATGGTTAGGAGTTTGATAAGCGGAGGGAAGAGTAGCAAGTGCAAAGGCTGCAAGGGAAAGGCTCAGCATGCCCCGAATTCACCAACCAAGGCAGCAGGGGTGATGGGAGGTCCTGTGGCATGGGCCAGCCCCGAAGGGCAGACATCTCCAGGAACGGCCCCTCTCCCACCCATCCTTGGATTCCAGCACGTGCAAGTTCTGAAGGCAGGAAACGGAACAAAACCTTTTCACTGCTGATGACATGTCCTGTGACCCTCCCACACTGTGAGTCTCTCGGTCTCCAAACAAAGGCAAGACCCCAGGTTCCAGGGAATTGCCACTTGCTCTGGCAGAGCTGCTGATGCTCAGCACCCAACCCTGCTCTGCTGGGGCACTCACTGTGAGACGCGTCCGAACTCCACGGTCAAGGGGCAGGCGGTGAGCCCCACGCCAGGACTTGACACGAAGCTGGACAATGGCTGAGGAAGGAGGCTCAGTAGCGTGGGATGGTGAGGCGGGCGGTCCAATAGGCACAACCCTGGACACCCCACAGTGGGGCCAGGGACCCACATCAGTGACGCCGTTACCCCCAAGTCTGGGCCCCTTCCCAGGAGGCATCACCCGGACTGGGCTGCTGACTGCAGACCTCAGGTGCTCTGCCCATGGCTCCCCAATAGCTGCCCAATCATGCCCAGGTGTCCTGTCACCTGGCCCAATGTCAGCCCTAAACAGGGCCTGAGGAGCACCCTTTCCCACCAGCCAGGGGTAGAGAGGCGGGGAGCAGAGGCTGGCCTCTTGGAGCGGGGGAGATAGCAGTACCCTGGAAGCACCCTTTCCCACCTGCTGGGGATAGAGAGGCGCGGAGCAGAGGCTGGCCTCTTGCAGGGGAGGAGATGGCGGCACCCTGGGTGGGCACACAGGGTTGGGGGCTGCTGCGGAGTAGCGGAGCAGCAACAGACCACCTGGGGGCACCCACACTCCAGGGCTCAGCAGTGAGGGTACAAGGGTGATCTTGCCCACAGGAGACTCGGGACGCCTAGGAACTTCGGGTGCGGTTCCTGCCTCCTGGCTGGCTGCTGCCCTTGGGCTGATGCTATGGCTTGCTGGTGGGGCCCTGGCTGGCCACCCTGACTCCGAATGCCATGAGGGACATGCACTTTCCCAGGATTGGCTGTGCCGGGAACCAGCGATGCCCACACACAGACATGACACCTTGGACTACGGTGGGGACCCAAGGGTACACTAGGGGGCACACCACCTGTGGACACAGGTGCACACACACGCATTAGACTTGCCGCCAGCGTGAGGGCCAAGCCTGGCTTCCAGCTTCCTCCTCCATACTGCTGTTCTAACTTGGGGGAGGGGAAGAGGAATGGGGAGGGGGCTGCTGCAGACTCAGCCCTGCACCTGTGGCTGGTCCAGCTCAGCTCCATCAGGGACACCTTGGGGCCAGTGCAGGTGGGGCTGGGCAAGCAGGTAGACCTGCTCCAACCTGCCCCTCCTGCTCCCGGGTTTGAGGCCCACAGTGTGTGTCTGTGGGGGACAAGATCCTGTGCAGATCCAGAAAGCTCTCCAAGCGGCTAGGCCCAGCCTGTGGTGTGACCGCAGGCCTGCGAGGCTTCAGACACCTCCATCCACTAACACCCCCACCCACCTAACACTGGACACTCACTCAGCTCCGTCCTCTGCTCCCTAACCCAACTCTCGGCCTTGCCTGTACCAGGAGCTCCCAGCTCCCACTTCCCCTGTGGTGGGAGGGCTCTGTGTCAGGTGAGGCAGGGTGCACTGCTTGTCTGACGGGGGTCAGGGACCCTTCTCCAGGCTGGGCCAGGGGGAGCCAGAGGCCAGTGGCTTTTTTTTTTTTTTGAGAAGGAGTCTCAATCTGTCGCCCAGGCTGGAGTGCAGTGGCGCAATCTTGGTTCATTGCAACCTCTGCCCCCGCTGGGTTCACGTGATTCTCCCGCCTCAGCCTCCCAAGTAGCTTGGATGACAGGTGCTGCCACTGCTAATTTTTGTATTTTTCTTAGTAGAGACGGGGTTTCACCATCTTGGCCAGGCTGGTCTTGAACTCCTGACCTCGTGATCCACCCGCCTGGGCCTCCCAAAGTGTTGGGATAACAAGCGTGAGCCACCGCGCCCGGCGGAGGCCAGTGGTTTTCAGGGGGTGTGACCCACAGAATTCCTCACCTTGGCTGTTCCCAACCATGACGGTTCCCCTGGTTGGAGCAGAGGCTTGGTGGGACCTTCATACTGGCAGCAGGGGGCCAGGGACCTGGGCGGCCCGCTCGCCTGCTGGCTCTGTCTCAAGCGCCCTTTTGGCCTCAAAGGGTGCCTGCCTGTCTGCCAACCACTCCACGTGGTCTCACCCCCTCCAACTACAGTCTAAGGAAAAACTGCTTCAGGCCAGGCGCGGTGGCTCACGCCTGTAGTCCTCGCACTTTGGGAGGCCAAGGCAGGCAGATCGCTTTAGATCAGGAGTTCGAGACCAGCTTGGACAACACAGTGAGACCCCCTCTCTACCCAAAACACAAAAAAATTAGCTGGGCGTGGTGGAGTGTGCACCTGGGGTCCCGGTTGCTCAACAGGCTGAGGTGGGAGGATCGCTTGAACACGGTAGGCAGACGCTGTAGTGAGCCGAGATCACGCCACTGCACTCCAGAGGCCCTGTCTCAAAAAAAAAAAAAAAAAAAGAAAAACTGCTTCAATTCTCCTCACCAAAGCCAGCACGCCCGAGGTGTCCCCATCTCAGGAAGTGACACTCCGTCCTCCCAGGAGCTCAGCCCGACGCCCCACAACCCTGCAGGCCTCCCCGCGACGCCCCCGTCCTGGGCCGGCGGAGCCCACCCCGCCTCCTGGACCCCGCCGTCCCCCTCCTAGTCTCCGGGGACACCCGGAGCTTCTGACCCCGCAGCCCCCCGGTCTCCCCTGCTCCTCGGGTGTGGCCACCGGAACACCACGGGCACCTTCGCGCCCCGACACCGCCGCCTGGCTCTGCTGATGCCCGCGCCCCCACCCCAGGCCAAGAGCCCTACCCCGCGCGCGCTCAGACTGCGCATGCGGCCGGGGAGGACCCTCGCGACCCTACCTATTGGCCCCTGCCAGGCTCGGATGCCGAACCCGCCGGGGCCAAAGCAGGCGCGACCTGCGACCGCCCGGGCGCGCGGAGCGGCGGGCAGCCCAGCCGACCCGGACCGGGTACGAACGCGCAGGCGCCCAGTCCCACCCGGCTCCGCCCCCGGCCGCCAGGGCACGTGACCCGCGAACTCCCGGGCGCGCCCAGACGCCGCGCACGCGCAGACCCAGCGCCGAGCCCGAGCCATGGCGTCCGAGCGGCTCCCTAACAGGCCCGCCTGTCTGCTCGTGGCCAGCGGCGCCGCCGAAGGTGAGGCCCGGCGGCCGGGGCCAGTGTCCGAAGAGCGTCCGCGAGGGGGCTGCCCGGGGCGGGAGGTTCGGGACACGGTGGGCGCGCGTCACGTGGCGCCGGAGGCCGAGGCCGCTGGGGGCGCCGGGCAGGGGCCGGGGGAGGGCGGAGCGGGGTCGGTGTCGGGATGGAGCTCGGGGCGGGGACGGGGGCGGGGGTGGGGTCGCGGGTTGGTGGGATGGAGCTCGGGGCGGGGTCGGGGGGTCGTGATGGATCCCGGCGCCGCGTCGCTCCTCCGAGTCTCGTCTGCCCGGCGAGGCGGCCCGGGCCCGACGTTTCTAGCGGAGGGAGCCGCGTGCCTGGGCCTGGTCTCTGAGGCCGCTGCGCTGCGAGAGGGGAGCCCGGGTGTGGGGAGGGGCCATTCCGGGAGTTGACCCAGCTCTGAGGTCGGGCGGCCGCGGGGACCCTGACCTTCTGAGCCACCGGCTTCTGAGGAGACCCGGAGCCCCCTCCTGGAGAAGGCGCCCCGCGGCCCCCGTCCTGGGGCAAGGGTACCAGGGCAGTACTGGCCTGGGGCTCACGCGGGTCGGAGCGCAGCGGGGTGCGTCCCCTGGCGCTGAGCCTGCAGGGTCTCAGGGCAGCAGGGGAGGGATGAGCAGCGGAGCACGAGGGTGCCTGGCCTTGTTCTGAGCCTTTTGGAGAGGGAAGTGAGCAGCCCAAGGTCACCGCACCACGGAGAGGTGGGGGCCGGGGTTGCGACCCAGGGGTCTGCCTCTTGAAGTCTGTAGCTCCTCAAGTGTGGACGGGGAGATGGGGCTGTGGGGTTGTGGCGTCACGATGTGCTGAGCTCCAGGGGTCCTGAGTGATGCCCCCAGACTGCGGGTGGGAGGAGCCTCGAGTGGGGTTCAGTCCTGGGGGGGTGGGTTGGGGCTTGTTTCCAGAGCAGGTAGGCGTGAGGAGGTCCGGCATGTTGAGGACGTGGGGTCTTAGCGCCAGCAGGCTGGGGGCAGCACTTCAGGAGGCCGGAAGGGCGGGCAGCTGGGGGAACAGAGCCTGCGGCAGTCTACTGGGCACTTTGTTTTTCCTCGATAAGTGGACATTTTACAGTGAATATGTATTAACTTATATAAGAATGAAGAGTCTGGGCGCAGTGGCTCACGCCTGTAATCCCAGCACTTTGGGAGGCTGAGGCGGGCGGATCACGAGGTCAAGAGATCGAGACCATTCTGGCTAAAACAGTGAAACTCCGTCTCTACTAAAAGTACAAAAATTAGCTGGGCGTGGTGGCACCCTCCTGTAGTCCCAGCTACTCGGGAGGCTGAGGCAGGAGAATTGCTTGAGCCTGGAAGGTGGAGGTTGCAGTGAGCCGAGATCGCACCACTGCACTCCAGCCTGGCGACAGACCGAGACTCCGTCTCAAAAAAAAAAAAAAAAAAAAAAAAAGAATGAAGATAAAAATGAAGCTGAGGGATTGGGCCCCAGAGTTAAAATAAATGTAGAGAGATACAGCTCACGCTACTTTGGAATAAACTTGTAAGTGCTCTCCGGCAGGCAGGGTGGGCGGGGCTGTGTCCTTCCCCTGGTAGGACAGAGGCCCCCAGAGCCTTCTGGATTGGGTGTGGTGTGTTGAGTTTCTTTTTTAAAAGTTTTTTGAGGGGCCGAAGGATGCTAGGAAGAGCTGGCGGGGGAGGGGTATAATCCCAGAACCCTTGTGAGGAAAGGGTCCCTCTGAGCGGCTTCCCTGGAAGGGGTGAGGGGGGGCCAGGACACTTCTGCGTTCTCCATGGTGCCTGAGGGCCTGAGTCCCTGGTGGTTCAGTGAGAGGATGAGCTGAACTCTGTGACCCTCACACCCGGGTTTGCCTTTCAGAAAGGTCTCTCGTGGCTCTGTTAGCACTAGGATGAGGCTGGGGTGTGGGAGTGGCATGGACAGTTGAGGTGGGCTGCATCCTCTCCCAGCTTCTGGCTGAGGCTGGAGGTGACAGTGCCAGGCTGGGGAAAGAGCCCGCCATGGGGGATGCAGGCCCGGGGATGGCCTACCGTTCTGGCAGACCTGGCTGTGCCCCTCTGACTCATGCCTTCCCAGCTTCCTTCTCCTGGACGTGAATGGGTGGCTGGCCCTGCCCCAGGGCTTCAAGTAGTCGTTCTTGGGTGTAGGGGAGAGGGCTGCTCCTCAGCGTGTTCTGGGGTCAGTCGAGGCCATGGGGGTGTCTGGGTAGCCCCCTGAGGCGGGGCACGCTAGTCCTGTCGAGCCCACACTCACTGGGACCTTCTGCAGGTGTGTCGGCCCAGTCCTTCCTCCACTGTTTCACGATGGCCAGCACCGCCTTCAACCTGCAGGTGGCCACCCCTGGGGTAAGTCCAGCCTCTCCTTCCCCACTGGACACTTGGGGTCTGTCTCCACCTCTCCGGGGGCAAGGTCAGGAGACTGCCGCCGCGGCCTGGGAGGAGTGGGGAGCCCCTGCAGTTGGTGGAGGGGTGAAGAGTCTGTAACCAAACCCTGGTGGCGTCCCCCTGTCCCAGTCCCCATTTCCTGGGCTCTGATCCCCCATCTGTGATGAGGGAGACCTTTTCTTTTCCTTTTTTTTTTGAGATGGAGTTTCGCTCTTGTTGCCCAGGCTGGAGTGCGGTGGTGCGATCTCGGCTCACCACAACCTCCGCCTCCCGGGTTCAAGCAGTCCTCCTGCCTCAGCCTCCCGAGTAGCTGGGATTACAGGCATGCGCCACCACGCCCAGCTCATTTTGTATTTTTAGTAGAGATGGGTTTTCACCGTGTTGGCCAGGATGGTCTCGAACTCCCAACCTCAGGTGACCCACCCGCCTCGGCCTCCCAAAGTGCTGGGATTATAGGCGTGAGCCTCTGCACCCAGCCCAAGGGAGACCTTTTTGCTGTGGGTCTGTGCTTCTGCACGTGTGTGAGGAGGAGACCAAGGCGCAGCCCTGGTGTGAGGGGCACATGTTTCCACTGGGAGGAATTCTCCACCCTCTGATCGTGGGGGACCCAGGGATATCAGATGTACATAAGTCATAGTAAGGATGCATTATGTATTTGTCACTGCGGGTTTTTGTTTATTTATTATGTATAAAAATTTTTGGTTGGTGGGTTGGCTAGGAAATAAACCACTGAGGCTGCTGCTGGGACAGGCTCCCCGACCCTGGGAGATCCCGTGAAGGAGGCTGGGTGGTCGGGGGCCTTTGTGCCTCAGGGGGATGCTGTTGGGTCCCTTGTCAGCTTTTTCAGGCTCCCTCTGAGCCGACAGGGATATCCCTGGTGCTGACCCTCGGCCCCTGGGCTCTGCTTCTCCAGGGGAAAGCCATGGAATTTGTGGATGTGACTGAGAGCAATGCACGCTGGGTGCAAGACTTCCGCCTCAAGGCTTACGCCAGCCCCGCCAAGCTCGAGTCCATCGATGGTAGGCCCGGGACCCACTCCTTGGGGGTGGGGTGCCTGGGACCTTGGAGGGTCAAGGGTTCCAGATAGGTTTGGGGTCTTAGTGAGCTCCCTAGCTCAGCCCCTGAAGCCCTGTGACCATTTGGGGCAGCCTCCAGCCCCACATCCTGGGCCCCAGAGTTTCTGAGCCCCTCTGGGGAGGAGAGTTGGTGAGTGTGTGGAGACAGGAAAGTCAGGGGGGCCCTTGGGAGCTGTAGCCCATGGAGGAAAAGGGACAGATGACATCACCAGGCTGGCTGGTCCCTGTGGAGGGTCTGTCCTGGCCACGCACTCGGGCCTGGTCCTGCAGGTAGTCTCACTTTGACATGTGGCTGCTACCTGGTTTGTGGTCTCCCCCCAGGTGCCCGGTACCATGCCCTCCTGATCCCCAGCTGTCCTGGGGCCCTGACCGACCTGGCCAGCAGTGGCTCCCTGGCCCGTATCCTGCAGCACTTCCACTCTGAGAGCAGTAGGTGACCCCTGGGACCCAGGGGAGGGGTTGGATGTGCAGTGTCACAAGAAATGGGTCTCCCACCAGCAGAAGAGAGGTGGGAAGACTCCAGGTAGGCGTTTCTGGATCTCTGGTCAGTGGCCACTGCAGTGGTTGTGGGCAGGAGGCAGGGACTGCCCCTTCCCCCGACACACACAGACTTTGTCGTCTCCTGGTGACCATCTTGCAGGCCTCTGGGTGGGCTCCCGAGGGTGGGTGGCCATGCCCTCCTGAGCAAGGCAGGACACCGGCCTGATTCCTTCTGGGAAAGCCTGGCATCCAGGGCTGGGCTTGGGGCTCAAGGCCAGCAGGGGTGCAGGGAGGAAGGCTGTTTGAGGAGACCTGGCAGCTGCCCCGGCTCCGGGTTGGGCTGTGATGAGTGTGTCCACTGGCCGGGGTGGACAAGCCAGCGCTCTACACAGCACCCTTTGTGTGTTGGAGTGGGGCCGCCGTCCCCAGCATGGCCTGGACAGGCAGCAATTGTTTGTGGCCACCTCAGCCGTGGGAACACACTCAGCCTTTCGGATGGAGCCAGGATGTCCCCACTGCAAGGCACAGGCATTGCCTCAGGCTACCTCCCACCTGCCCAGGGGCGTCCTGTCTAGCCGGGGAGGGGCCTTTCCCACAGTGCCTGCCAGGCTATGCAGTGGGGCTGCCGGGCAGCGTCCTAGGGTTTGGTAAACAGACCTGGAACCTCAGGACCTCCTCTCTGCGTGTGTCTCGGCTGCCAAAACCTGAGATTTGGGCTCTAAACCAGAGCCTAGTCCTGAAGCACCAGCTCCCCCGAGCAGATTCCTGATGCCAGCTGTGCGGGCTGAGCCAGGACACCCGGGTGCTGAGTCCAGTTTCCAGGGAAACCTGGGAGGAGGGGCCAGGCAGGCGGCACAAGCCTGGGGGAGCCACAAGCAGGGGCATCTGGGAGGGGCTTCAGGGTGCGGGTGGCGGGGTCCAGGGCCTCAACGCCATGTACGGCTTTCAGAACCCATCTGCGCCGTCGGCCACGGTGTCGCCGCCCTGTGCTGTGCCACCAACGAGGACAGATCCTGGGTGTTCGACAGCTACAGCCTGACAGGGGTGAGTGTCTGGAGGCCGAGGCACGCTGTGCTCCCTGCTCTGTCCTCCCCCATCACAGCCAGAGGTGAGGTCGGAGGCTCCAGGGTGAGTGCCTGGAGGCCGAGGCACGCTGTGCTCCCTGCTCTGTCCTCCCCCATCACAGCCAGAGGTGAGGTCGGAGGCTCCAGGGTGAGTGCCTGGAGGCCGAGGCAGGCTGTGCTCCCTGCTCTGTCCTCCCCCATCACAGCCAGAGGTGAGGTCGGAGGCTCCCGAACCTCTGGCCCCTAGTCTCCCGGAAGCCCAGGCCCACTCACCAGGGGACGTGGGGAGGGAGGGGCATCAGACTTGCGTGTGCAGTCAGGAGGGGCTGAGAGCCCAGCCAGGGTGTCCTCGGAGACACAGCCTTTGTCAATCTGAGGCCCAAAGGCTGTGAAGTGGGCTCTGTGGACACTGGGGGCGGCTGTGGGAGTGGCTGATCCACAGGCCCTGAGGCAGGGAGAGGTGGCTGCTGTGCGGAGGCTGGTTTCACTGGAAGTTAAACAGGCCTGGCCCCCAGCTCAGATGTCACTTCCCCTGCTGAGGGGACCCTTCCTCAGTGGGTACTCAGTGGTGCCCTCCGAGGGGTGACACCAACCCAGTCTCAGGTTACAAGTGGGCGTGACCCCTTGAGTGAGTGGTTAGATTCACTCCTGCCCAGAGGGTGCCCCGCCCCAGCACTCTGCCCAAGGGGCTCACCCCACCAAGCCCTTCTCATTCTAGTCACCTGTGTGCTCCGGTGCTGGGGGAGCTGGCCCGTCCTCCTGTAGTGGCCGTGTCGCTCTCAGGGACACCCCATGGGAAGATGGCTAGACTTTGTCATCTCTCCGCCCTCCAGCCTTAGCAGCTGTCCCTGTTATGAGCAGTGACACCCCCGGTCCCACTTGGTTGGGTGAGGCTCCCTGCCCTGACTTGACCTTCCTGACCCCTGGGGTGGGCCGCAGGGCCTGGGCCTGTCTCAGGAGCCCCCACCCCGCTCCCGCAGCCCTCTGTGTGTGAGCTCGTCAGGGCCCCCGGCTTCGCCCGCCTGCCGCTCGTGGTGGAGGACTTCGTGAAGGATTCGGGCGCCTGCTTCAGTGGTGAGCCTCGAGGGTGCCCCCTGCACTTACAGAAGATGGGGTGGGGGGCTTCCCTGCTGCAGCCTGGGGGAGAAGCCTCCTGGGCCCTGGGTTCTATAGACCCCCATGGCACTGACTCAGACCCAGACAGGCTGACCTACTGCTGACCCTGGGAGCCCGCCTGGAGTTCGAGGCTCTCAGTGGGTGAGGTGGACATTGCCTGAGGTTGGTGCCCTCGGTCCTCCCCAGCAAGCGAGCCTGACGCTGTCCACGTCGTGCTGGACCGCCACCTGGTCACAGGCCAGAATGCCAGCTCCACTGTCCCGGCCGTGCAGAACCTGCTCTTCCTCTGTGGCAGCCGGTGAGGGCACCAGGGTGGGCACATTCCTGCCACATCAGAGCTGCACCCGGTGCTTTTGCCCAAGCTTTGACCACACGTCTGTCCTGCAGGAAATGAACCTGCTGGGTAGATGCACCCCCTGAGACAGCCCAGGTGTCTCCAGAGGCAGCCCCGTCTCAGGCTTCAGGGACCCCGCCTCTTCCCTCCTGACAAGGGCCCTGGATGGCAGCCTGGTCTGGCCCTGATGGGATTGTTGGAGGCCTCCTGGAATCAGCTCTGAGGGGGTGTCGGCTCTCCTGGAGGGTCCAAACCCCCATCCTCCTGCATGTTCTCTGGTAGGAGGCAGAGAAAAGACCCCACGTGCCTGGAGAGCTGTGCTAGCTGCTAGGTGGTCCTCGGGAATTCCAGGCTGGGTTTTCTAGGGAGGACTGGTTGTCACGTGTGGTCACTGTTGACTAGACAGAGTCGGCTCGGGGGTCCTCTGTGTGGGTTTGCCCTGCTGTGGCCTGTCTGCCACCCACCACCTCTTTCACTGTTGGTGGGGGCCTTGAGGGGAGGGCCCAGCCGGCGGGAGCTGGCTCAGAACTTTGGCCAAAGGTGAACGGAATTTTTTAGGAGCAGCAGCCTCCTGCCCCAAGGCCGACCGGCACTGGCAGCACTTTCCTGTTGAAGAAATCTTCCTGGCGTGTGGTTTCAAAGTGTAAGCACCTCAGTGATGCACCCTGTCCTAAGCATTGAGAGGCACGTTTACTTGTGAATATGAGACCATGAGATTCTCAATGATAGGAAAGTGCTGTCCCCCACGGCCTTGCACAGTGGCCTCGGGTAGAGCGGCTATCAAGAGCAGACAGTGGTCCAGCCTGCTGGGCACCTGGCCTGGGCTGTGGCCCTCCAGCGGGCTGCCCCCTGGCCCCAGGTTAGGGCGTCCAGGAGAGGCTTAGGCCCTCTACTTCCTCACAGTTCCCCAGTTTGAGCCATCGAAGGCCTTCTTCCTGCCCACCTCCCCGTCTCAGCCACAGCCGTTCCCAAGCACCAGCGTGGCTCCTGGTGCCAGTGACCTGCCAGGAGGCCCCTTGTGATTATAAAACCGTTCAGTTGGGCCGGGCGCAGTGGCTCACACCTGTAACCCCAGCACTTTGGGAGGCCGAGGCGGGCGGATCACGAGGTCAGGAGATCGAGACCATCCTGGCTAACATGGTGAAACCCCATCTCTACTAAAAAACAAAAATACAAAAAGTTAGCCTGGCATGGTGGTGGGTGTGTGTAGTCCCAGCTACTTGGGAGGCTGAGGCAGGAGAATGGCGTGAACCTGGGAGGCAGAGCTTGCAGTGAGCTGAGATCGTGCCACTGCACTCCAGCCTGGGCAATAGAGTGAGACTCCATCTCAAAAAAAAAACGTTCAGTTGGCTGGGCGCGGTGGCTCACGCCTGTAATCCCAGCACTTTGGGAGGCCAAGGTGGGTGGATCATCTGAAGTCAGGAGTTTGGGAAAAGCCTGGCCAACATGGTGAAACTAAAATACAAAAATGAGCCGGGTGTGGTGTCAGGCGCCTGTATTCCCAGCTACTTGGGAGGCTGAGACGTGAGAATTGCTTGAACCTGGGAGGCGGAAGTTGCAGTGAGCCAAGATTGCGCCATTGCACTCCAACCTGGGCAATGAGTGAAACTCCGTCTCAAAAATAAAAAATAATAAAATAAAGCCGTTCAATAAGGAGAATTTGGAAAAAAGTGGAAGAAGGAAGCGCTGCAGCCACATCCCCGCCCTGAAGGCTGCGTCCCTCCAGTGCCTCGCAGATTAGTCAGGATGCCCACTTAGCACTGGCCACGGGGCCTTGCTCTGTCCCGGGTCCACTCTCATCCCCGTGTGGTGATGGACCTCTGTGGACAAATGCTTTTTATTTTATTTATTTTTTGAGATGGAGTTTGTCTCTCGTCACCCAGGCTGGAGTGCAGTGGCACAATCTTGGCTCACTGCAACCTCTGTCTCCCGGGTTCAAGCGATTCTCCTGCCTCAGCCTCCGGAGTAGCTGGGATTACAGGTGTGCGCCACCACGCCTGGCTAATTTTTGTATTTTTCGTAGAGACCGAGTTTCACCATGTTGGCCAGGCTGGTCTCGAACTCCTGACCTCAAGTGATCCTCCCGCCTCGGCCTCCCAAAGTGTTAGGATTACAGGCGTGAGCCACTGCGCCCGGCGTAATTTTTGTTTTTAGTAGAGATGGGGTTTCATCATGTTGGCCAGGCTGGTCTTGAACTCCTGACCTCAGGTGATCCATCTTCCTCAGCCTCCCAAAGTGCTGGGATTACAGGCGTGAGCCGCCACGTCCGGCTAACAAGTACTTTTTTATTTTTATTTTATTTTTTGGATGGAGTCTCACTCTGTCGCCCAGGCTGGAACACAGTGGCACGATCTCGGCTCACTGCAGCCTCCGCCTCCCGGGTTCAAGTGATTCTCCTGCCTCAGCCTCCCAAGTAGCTAGGACTACAGGTGCACACCACCACACCCAGCTAATTTTTGTATTTTTCCTTTTTTTTTTTTTTTGAGATGGAGTCTTGCTCTGTTGGCAGGCTGGAGTGCAGTGGCGCGATCTCAGCTCACTGCAACCTCTGCCTCTGCCTCCCAGATTCAAGCAGTTCTCCTGCCTCAGCCTCCCGAGTAACTGGGACTACAGGTGCATGCCACTACGCCCAGCTAGTTTTTGTATTTTCAGTAGAGACGGGGTTTCACCATGTTGGCCAGGATGGTCTCGATCTCTTGACCTCATGATCTGCCCGCCTCGGCTTCCCAAAGTGCTGGGACTACAGGCAAGCTCATGTCTTAATGTCCTAGTCCATTTGGGCTCCTATAAGAAAATACTGTAAACTGGCCGGGCACGGTGGCTCACGCCTGTAATCCCAGCACTTTGGGAGGCTGAGGCAGGTGGATCACCTGAGGTCAGGAGTTCGAGACCAGCCTGGCCAAGATGGTGAAACCCCGTCTCTACTAAAAATACAGAAATTAGCCGGGCGCGGTGGTGGGCGCCTGTAATCCCATTTACTTGGGAGGCTGAGGCAGGAGAATCGCTTGAACCCAGGAGGCGGAGGTTGCAGTGAGCTGACATCGTGCCACTGCACTCTAGTCTGGGTGACAGAGCAAGACTCCATCTCAAAAAAAAAAAAAAAGAAAATATTGTAAACCTAGTGGCTTATAAACAACAGAAATCAGTTTCAGTTTTGGAGGCTGGAAGCCCAAGATGAAAGCACCAGTAGATGCAACCTCTTTTGTGAGGGTGATGGTCCCATGATGAGGCTGTGCCCCTGCCCTGTGACCGGATGACCTCCCAAATGCCCCACCTAATACCATCCCCTTGCAGGTGAGGACTTAAGCAGGTGGGTTTTGGGGGGACGTGCTCAGGCCACAGCAGGGTGCATGAAGAGCCAGTGAGCCTCATTGAGCCCCTCTGGTCAGCCAGATCTGACATTGAGCCCAGCATTGAAGATCAAAGCAGGTGGGGCTTTGGGATGTGAAGTGGGTTCTGACGCGGGGCCCCACAGACCTGTCTCCGCGTGAGCTGCCTGCAGGCCCCTGCGTCATTCCTCAGCTGCGTGCGAGGCCTCTGGCTTGGAGAGCCTCCCCGCTGTGCACAGTTCTCTCTTTGCCAGGGCAGGGCTTGGGGCAGCACCAGGCTGGGGCAGAGGAGGAAAGCAAGAGGACAGACCTCCAGAAGAGCAGCGGAGGGCGGGTGAGGATTTCCCCATATACCAGTGTGTGTTCATCTACCCATGAGGAATAAAACCATGCAGCAGCATGCAAATGGTGTCCTGGTGTTCGCAGCAGAACTGCTCATGGTAATGGATAAGTTGTTTTCATACAGTGGGTTGTCAATATGTTTAATAATTGTTGGTATCTATTAATAAGGGCAATATATTCATATGGTGGATTATTTGGCTATTAAAATGGAATGAAGTTATTTTTAATAGGATCTTGCTGCATTGCCCTGGCTAGAGTGTGACTATTCACAGGTGCAGTTACTGCTCGCTGCAGCCTTGAACTGGCCTCAAGTGATCCTTCCACCTCAGCCTCTCCAGTAGACAAGACTGCAGGGACACACCCCCATGCCCAGCTACTGCAGGGACACAGCCCCATGCCCGGCTAGGAGGGACACACCCCCGTGCCTGGCTAGGAGGGAAGTTCTTTTACGTTCTATGATGTGGGCGGACCTGGACAGAATGCTGAGTGAGTGAAAGAAGACTGTCTCAAAAGGCCTTTACCCTGTGATACCATTTTTGTGAAATATCCAGAAAATGTAAGTCAGACAGAAAATAGATTGTTTGAGGCTGGGAACAAATAGGTATGAGATTTCATTTTGGGGTGATGGTTTCACAGTTCTAAGATGACTGAATCATAGGGGCAAGTGGGTGAACTTGATGTTTGCAAACGACACTCACAAACTTAGTCACATCCCCAGAGCCCCATTCTGCTGGGCCTCCTTGGAGATAGTGGTGCTGTTAATAATTGGGAGCCACAAGACCTTTGATGTCCTCTTAGGACTTAGCTTGTTGACCGGCTCGGAGGCAGAGGCCTGGCCTCCTGTGGGAAGCCTTGAAGGGTGGGAGGGACTCCTCAGCAGTGGGGGTTGGTGTGGGGAGGGCTCTGCCCACTCAGCTCTCCACCCCAGGAGGAGCCCTGCACTGGTCTTGATCAAGGGCACTGGCAGCCCAGCTGCCTCCCTGGCCTGCTGCTCTGCCCGAGTTGTCCCCTCTTGCACCCTGGATGGGCGGGCATGCCCAACCCAGACTGGAGTTGAGGGGCAGTGGCCAGATGGCTGGTGTAAGGTAGGGTAGCTTGTTTTAGGTTCAGGGTGAGAAGCTGCAGCTCCATCCTACAGCCCAGTGCTGTAGGATCCGTAAAGGTGGCCGGGTGCAGTGGCTCAGGCCTGTAATCCCTGCACTTTAGGAGGCCGCAGAAGGAGGATCGCATGAGCCTAGGAGTTCGAGACCAGCCTAGGCAGTGTGGTGAGACCCCCCATCTCTACAAAAAATAGAAAATTAGCCATGCATGGTGGTGCGCGCCTGTAGTCTCAACTACAGGCGGGAGGATCACTTGAGCCTGGGAGGTGGAGGCTACAGTGAGCCAAGATTGCATCACTGCACTCCAGCCTGGGCAACAGAGTGAGGCCGTGTATTGAAAAACAGGGAGAGGCCGGGCATGGTGGCTCACACCTGTAATCCCAACACTTTGGGAGGCCGGGGTGGGTGGATCACAAGGTCAGGAGTTCAAGACCAGCTTGGCTGAAATGGTGAAACCCTGTCTCTACTAAAATACAAAAAATTAGCCGGGCATGATGGCAGGCGCCTGTAATCCCAGCTACTTGTGGGGGCTGAGGTAAAGAGAATCGCTTGAAACTGGGAGGCGGAGGTTGCAGGGAGCCGAGATCGCACCACTGCCCGGGGCGCACTCCAGCCTGGGCGACAGAGTGAGATTCCGTCTCAAACAACAAAAAAAATGGGGGTGGCGACTTCAAGGCCAGTGGCTGGTGCATGTCGTGCTGCCCCCACAAGGTGGCACCATGACCCCATGCAGGAACCTGGCATCCCATGTAAGGTCTCAGCCACAACAGGACAGGAGGGGGGCGGGGGGCATGGGCAGGGCAGCCTTGACAGGGAACAGGAGGCCCAGGCCCTCAAGAGCAGGAGGGAGGGTCCGGCTGGGACTGCTCCTCTGAGAGGCATCCACATCTGCCCACGCTTGGAGGCTTGAGACTGTTCATCTGTGACCCACCTGGGACAGCACCTTGGGAGCCCCTGGCATCAGAAGCCTGCCCTTTGCCTAACTCCACCAATGGCCTCCCAGCAACAACCCTGACCTGGGTTCCCAGGTGGTGGCCCAGGCGGTGGGTTGTGTCTGGGGTACCCTGACCCCGACCCCATCTCTGAGTCCTAACCTAGGTTACAGCCCATCACAGCTGGGGCAGGTGATGCTTAGGGGACAAAGGGGACGGAGACAGTGAATGAAACAGCACAGGAAAAGTGACTGCTTTAATGTATTAGGCAAAATTTTACATAAAATCAGAAATCTATGATCTGTCCCTGCTCCAATTTGTAAAAAACGCAAGATTCATCAGAAGCCACGTGCAGTCAGATCCCAGCTGGCCGGCGGTGCAGATCTGGAGTCCAGCCTCAGGGATGCGCTACTTTCCATTCTCTGCATTGAACATTCGTTCCTAGAAACAAACAGAGCACGAGCTGTGTCTCCCCACCCTACCTTCTGCACCTTGAAGCCTCACAAGGCACCATGTGGAAGGAGGGAGGCCCTTGTGGGGTCTGCACTCTGTGTGGGGGCCACGGCCACAGGGTGGCCAATACCACAGTCACCACACAGGCCAGAGAGGAGCCAGGACCCACCAAGCATCCTGGGGGCACCCCTGGGTGCCATGCACCCTCCACCCTGGGATGGCCTCAACAGGCCCCACTTGCTGGACAGCACGTGAATGAGACCTGGGGTCTCACCAAAGTTTTAACTCTGCCCAGCTTGAACCCCGACGCCCAGGCCCGGGCTCTCATAGGGCTTGGCATATGTAGGTACCCACACACAACACTCACTGTCAGCATCCGCTCCAGCTTCACTGCATCAGCGGCAAACTTGCGGATCCCGTCAGAGAGCTTCTCCACAGCCATCTGGTCCTCGTTGTGCAACCAACGGAAAGACTTCTCATCCAGGTGGATTTTTTCCAGGTCACTGGCTTGGGCTGGGGGACAAGAACCAGCCTTCCATGCCTGCTCCATGTCCCTGCCCACCTTGGCCCCTTGGGCTCAGGGCCTGAACTGCTGCACCCAAGCATCTCCCACCAGGGCCAGGCCTTGGCCCCAGCAAGGCTCACGCTGGAAGTGGGGTTCAGCCCACAGAGCCTTGGCTGATGACTTGAGTGAGATGTGTTAGGAAAGCCAAGCCCTCCGTTGAGGTCTACTTCACCCTCATGTCTCCCAAGATGAGCTCGCCCCACAGGTGGGAGGGATCACCCACAGGGCAGCGTGGCACGGCAGTGCTGGCCTTGCCCGAGCAGGAGCCACAGCTGGGCAGTGGGGCCTCACCCGCCTTGGCTGAGAGCACAGGCACCAGCTTGGCGTTGTCCTGCAGCAGCTCTCCCAGGAGCTTGGGTGAGATGGTGAGGAAGTCACAGCCGGCCAGTGCTTTGATCTCGCCCGTGTTGCGGAAGGAGGCGCCCATGACAATGGTTTTGTAGCTAAACTTCTTGTAGTAGTTGTAGATTTTAGTGACACTCTTTACCCCTGGAAAGAGACCAAGCTGTGACCAGGAAGGCTTCGGCAGAGGTACCACCCCACCTGCCCTCCCAGTGCCTGCCGGCTGCACTACCTTGAGCCGCCACCCCTGCCTGCCCCGCGCCGACCTGTGCACCTCACTGCTTGTTGATGCGGCAGCTCCGTCTCGGGCTCTTCCTGCCTGAGGTGCTGCTGAGGCTGCTCCCCTTACCCCATTACCACAGAGGGACCCTCACCAGGGTCTTCCAGGGGCTCATAGGATTTCTTGTCGGTGTTTGCCACATGCCAATCAAGGATGCGCCCAACAAATGGGGAGATGAGGGTCACACCCGCCTCGGCACAGGCCACAGCCTGGGCGAAGGAGAAGAGTAACGTCATGTTGCAGTGGATGCCGTGCTGCTCCTCGAGCTCCCTGCGGGGCGGGGACAGGTGAGGGCGGGGCAGGTGAGGGCGGGGACAGGTGAGGGCGGGGGCGGGTGAGGGCGGGGACGGTGAGGGCGGGGATGGGTGAGGGCGGGGGCGGGTGAGGGCGGGGGCAGGTGAGGGCGGGGCAGGTGAGGGCGGGGCAGGTGAATGCAGGCCAGGTGCCCACCCAGAGCCACAGGCTGCCAAAGACGCTCACGGGCCTTAAACTAAAAAGGCAGGAACAGGCTCATGCCATTGTTAAGAACAAATCGGTAAGACTCGAGGGCTCTAAGTGGATAGTGGGTTATGGGTGACCAGGATTTTCTCCAACCCACATGACACAATAGACAAAGGCAAGGGAGGCCCTCTGGGTGCCCGTGCTCTTGCGCCAGGCCGTCACCTCATCCCAGAACTCACCAGGGCTCAGCTCCCAGGCTAGAACCACTGAGTCATCTCTGACCACATTCCAGTCCTCACCCTGTTCCACCCTACCCATTCCTGGGGCCACCCTGCAGCAGGCCCGTAGCACCCTGGTTTCTGCTGAGAGGAGCCCCTTGGCCTCACTAGGCCACTTGCCCAAATCCCAGTGCACTTTGGACATCCTGGGGTTGATCCCCAAGGACGGAGCAGTGCCCATACTTTGCCATGTGGCTGGGGCATGGGATGAGACAGCCAAGGCTCTGCTCAGGCACCTTCAGACACAAGTTCCCTCCCCAGGCGCCTCTGCCACATGGCCACACGGGGGTGTTCGAGGGGGACAGCAGATGGCACAGCTGAGTTGGGAAACAGCCTGCAGTTCCTCCAGCAGTCACCCAGAGACTCCACTCCTAGGCATATGCCCACGAGAAACAAAAACACATGTCCAGGACAAAACTTGCACATCTGTGTTCAGAGCAGCAGATGTGTTCATAGCAGCAGATGTGTTCAGAGCAGCAGCATACATCACAGCCCGAGAAATGGAAACCGACCACAGCAATATACATCACAGCTCAAGAGATGGAAACTGACCAGGTGTCCACCAACAGATGAATAACTGTGGCCTATCCATAAAATGGAGTATTTTCCAACATATAAAAACAAATGGTCCGGCCAGGTGCAGTGGCTCAAACCTGTGATCCCAACACTTTGGGAGGCCGAGGCGGGCGGATCACCTGAGGCTGGGAGTTTGAGATCAGCCTGACTAACATGAGAAACCCCATCTCTACTAAAAATATAAAATTAGGCGGGAGTGGTGGCGCCTGCCTGTAATCCCAGCTACTCCGGAGGCTGAGGCAGGAGAATCTCTTGAACCCCAGAGGTGGAGGTTGCAGTGAGCTGAGATAGCACCATTGCACTCCAGCATGGACGAGAATGAAACTCCGTCTCAAAAACAAAAAAAAACAAAAAAACACACAAATGAGGCCAGGCACAATGGCTCATGCCTATAATCCCAGCACTTTGGGAGGCCAAGATGGGTAGAGATCTCTTGAGCCCAGGGGTTCGAGACCAGCCTGGGGAACGTGGTGAAATTACCCAGGAGTGGTATGTGTGCTTGTCATCCCAGCCACTTGGGGGACTGAGGTGGAAAGATAGCTTGAGCCTGGAGTCAAGGCTGCAGTGAGCCAAGTTCGTGCCACTGCACTCCAGCCGTGGTGAAAAAGTGAGATGCTATCTCAGAGCAGGTCAGTGATGGCAGGTGGTAGAACATGCAGACACACAGATGTGGAAACAAAACACCTCTTCCTGATGCGAATTATTTGAGTATAGCATTGGCTGCTTCTGGGTGAGAACATCATAGAGGAGTTTTACTTTGTTTTATACATTTTCTGTCTCTTCCACTCTGAACGTACATATGTTTGGTTTGGTTTTTCTGAGACAGGGTCTCACTCTGTCACCCAGGCTGGAGTGCAGTGGTACGATCATAGCTACTGGAACCTCAACTTCCCAGGCTCAAGCGATCCTCCCGCCTCAGCCTCCTAAGTAGCTGGAATCACAGGGGTGGGCTAGTTTTTCTTTTCTTTTTTTTTTTTTTTTTTGAGATGGAGTCTCATTCTGTCACCCAGGCTGGAGTACAATGGTGCAATCTCGGCTCACTGCAACGTCCACCTCCCAGGTTGAAGTGATTCTCCTGCTTCAGCCTCCCATGTAGCTAGGATTACAGGCACCTGCCACCACGCCCAGCTAAATTTTTTGTAGTTTTGGTAGAGACGGGGTTCCACTATCTTGGCCAGCCTGGTCTCGAACTCCTGACCTCAGGTGATCTACCCACCTCAGGCTTCCAGAGTGCTAGGATTACAGGTATGAGCCACCGTGCCCGGCCTAAAAGTTTTCTTTTCTTTTTGAGACAGAGTCTTGCTCTGTCACCCAGACTGGAGTGCAGTGGTGTGATCTCAGCTAACTGCAACCTTCGCCTCCTGGGTTCAAGCAATTCTCCTGCCTCAGCCTCCTAAATGGGACTACAGGTGTGTGCCACCATGCCCGGCTAATTTTTTATATTTTTTAGTGGAGTCGGGGTTTCACCGTGTTAGCCAGGATGGTCTCGATCTCCTGACCTCGTGATCCCCACGCCTCGGCCTCCCAAAGTGCTGGGAGCCACCGTGCCCAGCCTAAAATTTCTTTATATTTTTGTAGAGACAAGGTTTCACTTTGTTGCCCAGGCTGGTCTGGAACTCCTGGGCTCAAGTGATCCTCCCATCTCAGCCTCCCAAATTGCTGGGATTACAGGCATGAGCCATCTTGCCCAGCCAGCATATATTTTATATAACAATAGTTTACTTTTTAAAAATCATGTAAACATAGGCTTGTGTTGATCAGGACAGAGGAAGGACAGAATCTGAATCTGCAGGTGCTAACTAGTGGCTTTTCTTCTCTGCTGAGTGGGTGGATGGTACTTCCTGGGAAATCCCTCATTTCTGATCACCAGCAAGTGAGGGAGCTGGCTCTGGAGCAGAGGGCAGATCTAGGCTGACATGAGCTGGTCAAGTCCAAGCTGTGGGCTGTGCTCCCCAGTCTGGCATTCCCCAGGGCTGAGAGAGTCAAACTTGCCTGATGCCATGTAGACCCTGCTCCAACAGAGGAAAAATCTCTGAGAGCTCCTTCCTTGTGGGGGACCACTTACTTTCCAGCCTGAATTCCTTCCCAGGTTGATGACAGCTTTATAAGAATTCGGTCCTTGCTGATCCCAGCTTCCTTGTAGAGCTCGATGAGCCGCCTGGCTCTGGCCACCATCGCATCTTTATCAAAGGAGAGCCTGTAGGAGCAAGAAGAACCCATCCCCTCAGATCACGCAGGTTGCCCACCACGCAGAGCAAGCTGGAGGCCGGGTGTCTGCCTGTCAGTTTTGAGCAGCACCACCGTGAGCACCAACCACTGCCCTCAACCTTCCCCTCACTGGAGGTTTGCAGAATGGCTCTGACAGCAACTCACACCCAGTCTCACAAACAGAGGTCCTCAGTGGGATCCATAGGCTATAATTTGTATTAAAAAACACTGGGCCAGGTGCCGTGGCTCACGCCTGTAATCCCAACACTTTGGGAGGCTGAGGCGGGAAGATCACAAGGTCAAGGGATCGAGACCATCCTGGCCAACATGGTGAAACCCTGTCGCTACTAAAAATACAAAAAAATTAGCTGGGTATGGTGGCGGGTGTCTGTAGTCCCAGCTACTTGGGAGGCTGAGGCAGGAGAATCGCTTGAACCCGGGAGGTGAAGGTTGCAGTGAGCTGAGATCACACCACTGCACTCTACACTGGCAACAGAGCGAGACTCTGTCTCAAAAAACAAACAAAACAAATCAAAACAAAAAACACTAGCAGCCGGGCACAGTGGCTCATGCCTGTGATCCCAGCACTTTGGGAGGCCGAGGCAGGTGGATCATGACGTCAGGAGTTCAAGACCAGCCTGGCCAAAATGGTCAAACCCCATCTCTATTAAAAATACAACAAATTAGCTGGGCATGGTGGCAGGTGCCTGTAATCTCAGCTACTTGGGAGGCTGAGGCAGAGAAACGCTTCAAGCCGGGAGACAGAGGTTGCAGTGAGCTGAGATTGCGCCACTGTACTCCAGCCTGGGTGACAGTGCGAGACTCCATCTCAAAAATAAATAAAAATAAAAATAAAAAACACTAGAGATCAGTTGCTAAACAAGGAGCTCTTGGTCATCACTACCAACTGTGGGAGAGCTCAAAATAAACCTCCTCTTGGGCCCTTGGGATGAAGACCATGGGTGGAGCAGCCCCTTGACCTCATGTTGGCATCCACGTGTGCAACTGTGGACACCTGACCAGCCCATCCAGTGCAGGAGCAAGCATCCTTACCTTGCGTCTACTTCTGTGGATACTCGGCCCGGAATCTTCTTTAGTATTTCTGCTCCAAACAACACAAAAAGTTTATCAATAGCATTTTTAATCTGGTCCTCTTGTGACCTGAAATTCAAAGGGAAAAAAAGCAGGTTAGAAGCTTCTGAGGTTCGCCAGGTGCGGTGGCTCACGCCTGTAATCCCAGCACTTTGGGAGGCCGAGGTGGGCGGATCATGAGGTCAGGAGATCAAGACCATCCTGGCTAACACGGTGAAACCCCGTCTCCACTAAAAATATTAAAAAATTAGCTGGGCATGGTGGCGGGTGCCTGTAGTCCTAGTTACTAGGGAGGCTGAGGCAGGAGAATGACGTGAACCTGGGAGGTGGAGCTTGCAGTGAGCAGAGATCGTGCCACTGCACTCCAGCCTGAGCGACAGAGCGAGACTCCATCTCAAGAAAAAAAAAAAGAAGCTTCTGAGGTTCAAGTGCACAAGACTCTACAAAATAAATTCTGTTATTTCTTTGCCAAATTTCCTTCCCTCCATCTTTTTTTTTCTCTTAAAACATTTTTTTATTGTGGCCAAATAATACATATAACATAAAATTTCCCATCTTATCCTTTTTTTTTTCCCCCAAGACAGGGTCTCCAGCTAAGGCTGGAAGCACAGTAGTGTGATTATGGCTCATTACAGCCTTGACCTCCCGGGCTCAAGTGATCCTCCTGCCTCAGCCTCCCAAGTAGCTGGGACTACAGCTGCACACCTCTATACCTGGCTAATTTTTTTGTTTTGTTGAGATGGAGTGTCACTCTGTCGCCCAGGCTGGAGTGCAGTGGCACAATCTCGGCTCTGCCAGCTCTGCCCCCCGCGGTTCACGCCATTCTCCTGCCTCAACCTCCTGAGTAGCTGGGACTACAGGCGCCCGCCACTGTGCCCGGCTAATTTTTTTGTATTTTTGGTGGAGACGGGGTTTCACCGTGTTAGCCAGGATGGTCTCGATCTCCTGACCTCGTGATCCGCCTGTCTTGGCCTCTCAAAGTGCTGGGATTACAGGCGTGAGCCACCACGCCTGGCCCATGCCCAGCTAATTTTTATATTTTTTTGTAGAGACAGAGTTTTGCCCTATTGCCTAGACTGTTCTCGAACTCTTAGGCTGAAGGGATCCTCCCATCTTGGCCTACCAAAGCACTGGGGTTACAGGCGTGCACCACTGCCCCCAGCCCACCATTTTAAAATGTATTCAGCACATTCACAGTTCTGTACAACCATCACCATCCATCTCCAGAGCTCTTTTCATCATCCCAAACTGCATCCCTCTATCTTTTGGCACTTGCAAAATATTATATTTTCTATCTCTTCAAAGTTATTGGACAGACACCCAGTGAAGTCCATGATTCTGTTCCAAAATCTGAGCAGCCTTGTTAGCCCACTACACACAGGAAGATCTTCAGCTAGACGCTCAGAGGTTAGAATTCTTGGGCCAGACTGGGTGCAGTGGCTCACGCCTGTAATCACAGCACCCTGGCAGGCCAAGGTGGGCAGACTGCTCAAGCTCAGGAGTTCGAAACCAGCTAGGGCAACATGGTGAAACCCTGCCTCTAAAAACAAATACAAATATTAGCCAGGTGTGGTGGCGTGCACCTGTAGTCCCAGCTACTTGGGAGGCTGAGGTGGGAGGCTGGCTTGAGCCTAGGATGTAGAGGCTGCAGTGAGCTGAGATTGTGACACTGCACTCCAGCCTAGGTGACAGAGCCAAACTCTATCTCAAAAAAAAAAAAAAAAAAAAATTTGGGGCCATCTGGACATGGGTGCAGGGCTCATCTGTTGATCACCCAGCCAAGCAAAGGCACCAATGTCACCCAATAACAGGAGCACCAAGGCCTCACTGATGCCACAGGGGTGCAACACCACGAGATGAGGAAAAGGGAGCTAAGAAGAGAGAGGAGAGGGTCAGACTCAGTGTCCAGAGTGGCTGTCACAACATGGTCAGGGGAGCCACTCACCAGCCACCTGGACCTAAGCAAAGCCAGTACCAGAGAGGGACCTGCTCCTGTGTGGTGCCCACGTTGCCTGCTCGGCACCATCTTCAAGCTTTGAATTATTACCCTGAAGAGAATCTAAAATGACATCTAAAATATGCAAAGCCACAGGCATGAAGAGGGCTCTACAGTTGCTTGGTTGGGTAAGGGAGTGGGGAGCTACTGCAAACAGGTACCAGAGAACATTCTGGGAGTTATAAAAGCTATTAAAAAATTAAAAAGCCAGGCACGGTGGCTCACGTCTGTAATCCGAGCACTGTGGGAGGCCAAGGCAGGTGGATCACTTGAGGTAAGAAGTTCGAGACCGGCCTGGCCAACATGGTGAAACCCTGTCTCCACCAAAAATACAAAAATTATAGCCAGGTGTGATGGCGCATGCCTGTAATCCCAGCTGCTCGGCAGGCTGAGGCAGGAGAATCGCTTGAATCTGGGAGGCAGAGGTTGCGGTGAGCCGAGATTGTGCCAGTGCACTCCAGCCTGGACAACAAAAGCAAAACTCTGTCTCAAAAAAAAAAAAAAAAAAAATACAAAAATGAGCCAGGAGTGGTGGCACACACCTGTAAGCCCAGCTAATTGGGAAGCTGAGGCAGGAGAATTGCTTGCACCAGGGAGGCGGAAGTTGTAGTGAGCCAAGATTGCTCCACTATACTCCAGCCTGGGTGACACAGCGAGACTCCGTCTGAAAAGTAAAAAATAAAATGACAGCCAGAAGGTAAGTGTTACCAGAGCTGGGGAGACTGACTACAGGAGGGGAGGAGGGGCCTGTGGGGGTCTGCAAGTGCTCTGCATCTTGACTGGGGTGGTATTTACAGGGTACACACATTGGCAAAACTCTCTGAACTGCTCATTTACCACAGGTGCAGGTTACTTCATGCAGATTACACTTCAATAAACAAAAATAGGCAAAAAGATAGGGTTTTTTTCCCCCCTTGAGTTCATGGTGTTTGAGAACTAAAATTCAGTTAGGGAGGGAAGCAAGGCCAACTAGACTAGCACGAGGGCCTAGCTGGGACCCTCCCGAGTCCAGGCACTCACCCGCCCAGCTTCCGGCCATAGGCAATCGCCTCCTCCACCAGCTCCTGGTAAGCGGGCATCTGTGCTGCGGCCAGGATCAGGGACGGGTTGGTGGTAGCATCCTGGGGCTTGTACTCGTCGATGGCTAGGGAAATAGTTTTCAAAAGCCAAAGTAAGTGGAGTACTTGCTTCCAACTGGAAACATGTGAAGGAACCCTGTAATTCCCCAGGACGTTAGGGGAGTCCAGAGCATTTCCGAAAGCGGGGTCCAGCCACACTTCTCACACCTTCTTCTGGGTCACTGAAGGTTCATCAAGAGGCGGCTGTTTGCATAATGATGGAACAACAAACACTAAGTGCCCAGCGATCAAATATGCCCCTGCAAGAGGTGACCTGTAACAGCATGGGAGTGAGCGGTGCGACAGCTGGGAGAACGCTGGTCAAAGGAAAATGTGCATCCCACTGCCGTACCACCACAAGGAGGCGCGCGGTCTAGTCATGAGCCACATGTGAACGCTGATCTTATGGACTGGGTCATTATCACCATACCCAGCTGCAACAGAGTCAAGAAGCCAAGGGGAGCTGGGCGCGGCGGCCCACGCCTGTAATCCCAGCACTTTGGGAGGCTGAAGCGGGTGGATCACGAGGTCAGGAGATCAAGACCATCCTGGCTAACACGGTGAAACCCCGTCTCTACTAAAAATACAAAAAACTAGCTGGGTGTGGTGGTCGGCACCTGTAGTCCCAGCTACTCGGGAGGCTGAGGCAGGAGAATGGCTTGAATCCAGTAGGCGGAGCTTGCAGTGAGCCGAGATCGCGCCACTGCACTCCAGCATGGGTGACAGAGTGAGACTCCATCTCAAAAAAAAAAAAAAAAAAAAAAAAAAAGGCCAAGGGGAAAAGCACTCAGGACACACAGCATTGCTCCAAAAATTATTACCTGCAAGCCTAGTTGCTGAAGCGGCCTCTAACCTGAAACCAGTTTATCTAATAGTTGCTGAACCGCACTGCTGCAACTTTAAGACTAATTTTATCCACTGCTATCACTCACCAATCATTCTTTTTAGGTTTCATAGAAAGACTAAATTAGCCAGGTGTGGTAGTGCATGCCTGTAGCGTCAGCTACTCAAGAGGCTGAGGCAGGAGGATCGCTTGAGCCCAGGAGGTTGAGACTGCAGTGAGCCATGATCATGCCACTACACTCCCACCTGGGCCAGAGAGCAAGACCCTATCTCTTAAAAAAATAAATTCAGGCCGGGTGCAGTGGCTCATGCCTGTAATCCCAGCATTTTGGGAGGCTGAGGCTGGTGGATCGCCTGAGGTCAGGAGTTTGAAACCAGCCTGGCCAAAATGGTGAAACCCAGTCTCTACTAAAAATACAAAAATGAGCTGGGTGTGGTGACACATGCCCGTAATCCCAGCTACTCAGGAGGCTGAGGCAAGAGAATCGCTTGAACCCAGGAGGTGGAGGTTGCAATGAGCTGAGATTGCACCACTGCACTCCAGCCTGGGTGACAGAGTGAGACTCTGTTTCATAAATAAATAAGCAAACAAATAAATAAATATCGCATTCAGTAGCTTCTGCAGGTAACTTGACAAAACCTGACCTAAGAATCCTTTTAGTCGGAGTGGACAACTTTGACAATGTCCCAAGTTTTTGTTCAAATTGTACTGGTGGTCCCTTTTATAAAGCTGACATTCTCTGCTTTAATCAACCCAGTCATAAAATGCTACTCAGTGGCTGGGCACAGTGGCTCACACCTGTAATCCCAGCACTTTGGGAGGCCAACGGGGGTGGATCACTTGAGGTCAGGAGTTCGAGACCAGCCTGGCTAACACGGCGAAACCCTGTCCCTACTAAAAATATAAAAATTAGCCAGGCGTGGTGGTGCATGCCTATAATCCCAGCTACTCGGGAGGCTGTGGCAGGAAAATCACTTGGACCCGGGAGGTGGAGGTTGCAGTGAGCCGAGATTGTGCCACTGCACTACAGCCTGGGCAATGGAGCAAGACTCTGTTGCAAAAAAAAATAAAAAAGTTTTTTTCTTCAGAGTAACCAACTAAACAGTTCAAAACGTCCAAACTTGTAGCCACTGAGTAGCTTTTTTTTTTTTTCTGACACAGAGTCTCACTCTGTCATCCAGGCTGGAGTGCAGTAAAATGATCTCGCCTCACTGCAACCTCCTCCTCCAGGGTTCAAGTGATTCTCCTACCTCAGCGTCCTCAGTAGCTGGGACTACAGGCTCACACCATGATGCCTGGCTAATTTTTGTACTTGTATTTATTTTTTATTTTTTTCCGAGACGGAGTCTTGCACTGTTGCCCAGGCTGGAGTGCAGTGGCGCAAGCTCAGCTCACTGCAACCTCCAACTCCCAGGTTCAAGTAATTCTCCTGCCTCAGCCCCATGAGTAGCTGGGATTACAGGCACGAGCCACCACGCCAGGCTATGGTTTTTTGTGTTTTTTTTTTTGTATTTGTATTTTTATTTTTTTGAGACGGAGTCTCGCTCTTTCACCCACGCCGGACTGCAGTGGCGCCATCTCGGCTCACTGCAAGCTCTGCCTCCCGGGTTCACGCCATTCTCCTGCCTCAGCCTCCCGAGTAGCTGGGACTACAGGCGCCCGCCACTGCGGCCGGCTAGTTTTTTGTATTTTTAGTAGAGATGGGGTTTCACCGTGTTAGCCAGGATGGTCTCGATCTCCTGACCTCATGATCCGCCCGCCTCAGCCTCCCAAAGTGCTGGGGTTACAGGTGTGAGCCACCACACCCGGCCTTTTTTTTTTGTATTTTTAGTAGAGACGGGGTTTTGCCATGTTGGCCGGGCTGGTCTCGAACTCCTGACCTCAGGTGATCCACCCACCTTGGCCTCCCAAATTGCTGGGATTACAGACGTGAGCCACTGCGCCCGGCCTCTGAAGAAACAACCTGAACTGCATTCCTCTGCTCTCATACCAGAATAATCAACAGAGAGGACTTCTGTGACCGATGTGTGGGGGTTTCTCCCCACGCACCAAACAAGCAATTAATTCTTCAGTGGATACCAGCTGGGCATCCTCCAATTCAATTCCAACCCTGTCTACCTGGAGACAGCCTCAGATCCCACAGGTTGAAGGCTTAGTCCCAACCAACCATTCTCCATTCCCACCCGTCACAAGTCTGGGCTCCAGAACTTCTGATCCACTGGCTTCAACTTGGGGTTGTCAACTTGAATTAACCTTTGTGTTCCATTAATTTGCTGGAGCAGATCACAGAAGTAAGGGAAACACTCACTTACATGTACTGGCTTATTATACAAAGGACACAGAGGAAGAGATGCATAGGGCAAGGCATGTGAGAAGGGGCACGGTGCCTCCATGCCCACCCTGGGTGCACCACCCTTCAGGAGGCTCCATGTGTTCAGGTATTTGGAAGCTCCCTGAACCCTGTCCTCTTGGGCCTTTTATGGAGACTCTACTGGAGAGACATGACTGAAGTATGGACAGCCCTGTTGAAATATTATCATCTAATGAGTGAGGAAACCCAGCAACGCCTCTGTGTTCACCTTCTTACCGTCCTCCGTGCAACATTCCTTCCTCCAGGGTATGTGATGGGACCCCTTTTGAAATGAGGGTCTTAGGACCCACAATTAGAAAAGCAAGTAGACGGCCGGGCGCGGTGGCTGGTGCCTGTAATCCCAGCACTTTAGGAGGCCGAGGCGGGCAGATCACGAGGTCAGGAGATCCAGACCATCCTGGCTAACACGGTGAAACCCCATCTCTACTAAAAAAAAAAAAAAAATACAAAAAATTAGGTGGGCGTGGTGGCGGGCGCCTGTAGTCCCAGCTACTCTGGAGGCTGAGGCAGAAGAATGGCGTGAACCCGGAAGGTGGAGCTTGCAGTGAGCTGAGATCACGCCACTGACTCCAGCCTGGGCGACAGAGCGAGACTCCGCCTCCAAAAAAAAAGAAAAGAAAAGCAAGTAGATAATTTATTTATGGACAGCTCCAAAACAGGCAGGAAAGATTCCTCCCTTGAAGAGAGAAAGGAACAGGTGAAAGGAGAGGAGAAGGTCAGTGATGGAAATTCTGTTTTCCAAGGCCTGCTCCTGAGGCCTAGAGTGCCCCAACATTATAACAGGGCTGTGGGAGTTATGAGACAGGAACTGTGTACACACACATGCATGCATGCACACACATCAATTACCATCAAAATGAGGTTGATGGTTTATTATTATTATTATTGTTATTTTGAGATGGAGTCTCGCTCTGTCGCCCAGGCTAGAGTGCAGTGGCGTGATCCCGGCTCACTGCAACCTCCGTCTTCCAGGTTCAAGCAATTATCTCGCCTCAGCCTCTCGAGTAGCTGGGATTACAGGCACCTGCCACCATACCCGGCTAATTTTTTGTATTTTTAGTAGAGATGGGGTTTCACCATGTTGGCCAGGCTGGTCTCGATCTCTTGACCTCAGGTGATCCACCCTCCTCGGCCTCCCAAAGTGCTGTGATTACAGGCGTAAGCCACCAGCCAAAAATTTTTTGTAGAGATGTGGTCTCACTGTGTTGCCCAGGCTGGTCCCGAACTGCTAGGCCCAAACAATCCTTCTGCCTCAGCCTCCCAAAGTGCTGGGGATTATACGCATGAGCCACCGAGGCTGGCCCCAACTTTCTCTTGTTCTTTGGACAGATCGAAGACCACCCAGTCTGCTTGAACTGCAATTTTTTCTTCCCAAATAAAACGTTGAATTTAGAGATTCGTCTCTACATTTTATTTTGACTTCAACACAGATACCACATGGTTATCTTCAGCAAGGATTGTTAGCTGGGAGTGGTGGCGCACATCTGTAGTCCCAGCTACTTGGGAGGCTGAGGTGGGGGGATCACCTCAGCCCAGGAGGTCAAGGCTGCAGTTAGCCGTGTTGCACCACGTGATTGCACCACTATACAGCCTGGGTGACAGAGCAAGACCCTGTCTCAAAAAAAACCCCAAAAACAAAAACCCAAGGATTCTTTATTCTTAAAACTATTGTTTCTTTTAACACATTAGTTATTTCTCACATAACCAAGCTAGGAATTCAAAGAAGCCAACGAGGCTTAACCTGGGGTCTTGTTCATCTGGCTGTCCAAATGGAAAGTGGAGGTGAAGAGTTATGGCCATTGACACCCATAGAATGGCCCATTGCTCCAGATTAGCCAGTTCAGTAACTTTTTTTTTTTTCTTTTGAGACAGAGTCTCGCTCTGTCGCCCAGGCTGGAGTGCAGTGGCGCGATCTCGGCTCATTGCAAGCTCCGCCTCCCAGGTTCGCACCATTCTCCTGCCTCAGCCTCCCGAGTAGCTGGGACTACAGGCGCCCGCCACCACGCCCAGATAATTTTTTTGTATTTTTAGTAGAGATGGGGTTTCACCGTGTTAGCCAGGATGGTCTGGATCTCCTGACCTCATGATCGGCCTGCCTCGGCCTCCCAAAGTGCTCGGATTACAGGCTTGAGCCACCACACCCGGCCGAAGTTCACAAGTTCAGTAACTTTATTTGGCAAATAAATATCTTTTTTTTTTTTTGAGACAGGGTCTCACTTTGTCTCCTAAGCTGGAGTGCAGTGGCGCAGTCACAGCTCACTGCTGCCTCAACCTCCTGGGCTTAAGTGATCCTCCCAACTCAGCCTCCTGAGTAGCTAGGACTACGGTGTGCACCAATACGCCTGGCTATTTTTTTTTCTTCCTTTTTGTAGAGATGGGGTTTTACCATGTTGCGCAGGCTGGAATAAGTACTTTCAAAGGGTCCTTTAATGACAAAACTATAGAGGTAGAGAACAGGTTAGAGGTTGCCAAGGAACAGGGAATGAGGGGTCTCTGAGGGACACGGGGATCTCAGTGACAATGGGACAGCTATGTCCTGTCACAGTGGTCCAGGAATTTACACACTTTATGAAACTGTCACATAGCCTCCTTGCCCCAGTGCAGGGGGAAACTGGGGAGCCCTGAGCCAGGCCTGCAGTCTATAACAGCATCAGCACCACAGCAGTGCCCACTTCCCGGTGTGGATGCCATGCCATGGTCACATGAGATGTCACCATGGGGGACAGTGGTTGAAGGGTTCACAGGACTGTATGGGCTGATTTTGCAACTTCTGTGCATCTATACCCATTTCAACATGACAAGTTAAGAAAAAGCCTGTTGTGCATCTATACTCATTTCAACATGACATCTGGCACAGTGCTAACACAGGTCTGCCAGAATGCACTGAATGAGGCACTGAAAACAGCCCATTTCGTCCTGTAAAATCACCCCTGGATAAAGTCAGCTTTTAGCAAATGGCTTTTACAAAATTAAAACAAAACCAAGGCCCATTGGGGCAAAAATGGGTTTCAGGGTCCAGGGATCCTTAAACTGAATGCAAAATGGGGAGGATCACATTGTGGGAAGAGCATTCACAGCTTTGATTCTATTTCCAGAGGCCTGTGCCTCCCTCCCACAAGGAGTTAAGAACCTTCACTTCACAAACTACAGATCACAAACCCAACAGACTATTTTACAACTATATAACATTTATGAACATATACTATCAATGAATGTATTTTTTTGTTAATATTCATTAAAAAAAAATGTCACAACTTGGGTTTAGAAGATTTTTTTTTTTTTTTTTTTGAGACGGAGTTTTGCTCTGTCGCCCAGGCTGGAGTGCAGTGGTGTGATCTTGGCTCACTGCAACCTCCGCCTTCTGGGTTCAGCAATTCTCCTGCCTCAGCCTCCCAAGTAGCTGGGATTACAAGCATGCAACACCGCACCCAGCTAATTTTTGTATTTTTAGTAGAGACGGGGTTTCACCATGTTGGTCAGGCTGGTCTCGAACTCCTGACCTCGTGATCCACCTGCCTCAACCTCCCAAAGTGCTGGGATTACAGGCGTGAGCCACCTCGCTGGGCCAGAAGTTTTCTTAAAAAACAATACAAAACAAAACCAGAAACCCAGGACTCCCCAGCCCTCCTGTGGGTGTGGGTTTAGGAAAATCCATCTTTATTGGCCCTGCACTGCCAAGTGTAATGGACCTGACACTCCGCACCAGCTCTGCCCTAACTGGTGAGGGCCAGTAAGGAACAATACAGATGAGCGCTCTGTCCACCAGGCAAACTGCAAATTATTCTCAGTGCTAAGAAGGGAAAAAACTGAGCAGCAGAAAAATGTGTAGCCCCTTTTCTGGAGCTTTCTTTCTTATGAAGAGAGGTCTGGACTACAACGGGGGGGCTGTGTGTGTGAGGGATTCACAGCTCTAGCTTTGGATCTCCCAAAGAGGGGTCCGGAGCAGACTGTGGCACCCCAAGCCAGTCACTGAATCCCCATATTTTATGGTTAAGCAGCCAAACATGCCAATTCACTCTCTAGGCTCTGCTAGATAAACAATGCCCTTACTCAGTTACCAAAGAGGAATTAAAGCCTGTTTCTCAAGTCACCATGAGAAAGCAGAAAAGAGAGGAAGTCACTTCCGTATTAGGTGCTCGCAGCATTCATCCATGAAGCGTTTCATGATTTTCTTAAAAAATATTACTTGTTCTCAACAAAACATAGACACAAGGCTCGTCTACTCTGCACTGCAGAGGACAGAAGAGCTAAGTATTAATAAATAATCCTTCTTTGTATTTTCCAAGTTCTCTCCAATGTAAACAACTCAAGCCCAGGAAAATCCAGTATTTAACAGTGTACCAACCCTGTGCTTTCATGGGCACCGGCTTTTACCCACCCGGTGCGTCTGGCGGTGGCTGTCCAGCAGGCCGGGCACCTGCCGCCCACGGAGTTGTCCCACTGGGCACCGCAGGGCTCAAGGGCGATGGCAGCACTGGCAGCTTCTGGTCAGAGCTAGCTGATGTCCCCGCTCTGCAGACATCAGCCCAACAAAATTGCATCTCGCTGACCACAAACTGGCCACGTGGAAGTCAGCTCGAAGCTCTACCCTGAATCTCTCCTGAACTCAAAGGCTCTGAAAGCTGCCTCGACCCATGAAGGTGCACAGAGGGGCTCCCGCGGGCTGCCCACAGCCCGTCCCGGGTGCGGGGTCTGAGGGCGCAGCCGACCCCACCCTGGGCGGAGGGCGAGGCTGGGGCTCCGGCTTCGTGCCCCACGGCTCGCAAGGACCCGTCAGTACCGCCCGCACCGCTGACCCCAGCACCGAGCCCCTCACGGCTGACCCCAGCTCCTCACGGCTGCCCCCGGCCCTGCTCCCTCACGGCCGACCCGGGCCCCGTTCCCCTCACGGTCGCCGCTGGCCCTGCGCCTCTCACGGCCGACCCGGGCCCCGCTCCCCTCACGGCTGTCCCTGGCCCCAACATCCGGCACCTGCGCTCATTCCTCCCGGAACGAGCCGCCCGGGGCACCGCCACCCGGTCCGCGTCCCGGAACGGGAGACCCGGGGAAATCGGGGCGCCGGGGCCTCTGGAGGGCGCTTGCGCCGCGCCCGGGCTCCGCGCCGTCCTCACCGTGGAAGTCGCCCGTGTCGGCCACCACGGTGGTGAACTGCTTGAGCTGGTCCAGCGCGGACTCCATCCTCTGACGCTTCACGGGTGAGCTCGACATAGCAAGACCGAGGGGTCTGCGGCGGCGGCGGCGGCGACGGGACGGGCGCGCGGACGGCCCACAATGCCCCGCGGGCGGCTGCCAATCGGAAAGCGGCGCGGGAGGGCGAGGCCCGCTGGTCCCTGCGCGCCTGGACGAAGCCCCGCCCCCGGGGACGAAGCCCGAGCGCCACTGCCGGCCGCGCACCGCAGCTGCGGATCCTACAGGCTGGGTCTCCCCAGGTCCTCAGCAGCCGCCGCGGACGGGCCCGGGAAAACACCTGCACGACACGGGGCGGCTGGGCCTCGCCTCCTTCCTGCCCCGCGGGACGCACCGGGAGGGCTGGAGGAGATGGACCTGGCCCGGGTGCCGACTCTGCGGGGCTGAACCCGCCAGGGCCGAACCCGGCGATGCAGGATCCATGGTGGGGCCAGGACTGGGGTCGGGGGCCGCTGCAGGAAGCAGGGGAGGGAGCGGCGGGGGACGCCCTGCGGGTGCAGGAGGCAGAGCAGGGGGCGGCTGCAGAGCCCGGGCGCCGGACGCGGCGGGGAACCTGCTTCTGGGAATCTGTTCCCCTGAGTCCTAAGCCCAGAGGTGTCCGGGGGACCGAACGGCGAGGCAGGCGTAGGAGGCCCAGCTGCCCTGCTTCTTACCATCGCTGACTTGCAGAGTTCCTTGTATATTCTGATCAAGTCTCTGTCGCTTGTGTCTGCGTTGCAGACACTGTAACCGCCCCATGGGTTCGCCTTGCCAGCTGCCGGGACAGAGTCTATTGTCAAGACAGGGGAATTGCAATAGAGAAAGCATAATTCACACAGAGCCGATTGTTCGGGAGACCAGAGTTTTATTCCTCAAATCAGTCTCCCCAAAACTCGGGGATCCCAGTATTTAAGAATAATTTGGTGGGTAGGGGGCCAGTGAGTCAGAAGTGCTGACTGGTCAGCTAGGGATGAAATCACAGGGAGTCGAAGCTGTCCGCTTATGCTGAGTCAGTCCCTGGGTAGAGGCCACACAACTGGTTGGCAGGTCCAGGTGGGGCCATCCGGTTGTCAGAAATGCAAAAACCTGAAAAGACTTTTTTTTTTTTTTGAGACGGAATCTCGCCCTTGTTGCCCAGGCTGGAGTGCAGTGGCGCGATCTTGGCTAACTACAACCTCCGCCTCCCGGGTTCGAGCGATTTTCCTGCCTCAGCCTCCCGAGTAGCTGGAATTACAGGCGCTCACCACCACGCCCGGCTAATTTTTGTATTTTTAGTACAGACGGGGTTTCATCATGTTGGCCAGCATGGTCTCGATCTCCTGACCTCGTGATCCGCCCACCTCAGTCTCCCAAAGTGCTGGGATTCCAGGCGTGAGCCACCGCGCCCGGCGGAAAAGACTTCTTAAAAGGCAAATCCTAGGCTGACGCGGTGGCTCAGGCCTGGAATCCCAGCACATTGAAAGGCCAAAGCAGGCGATCACTTGAGGTCAGGAGTTGGAGACCAGCGTGGCCAACATGCAAAACCCCGTCTCTACTAAAAATACAAAATTAGCCAGGCGTGGTGGCACATGGCTGTAATCCCAGCTACTTGGGAGGCTGAGGCAGGAGAATGGCTTGAACCTGGGAGGTGGAGGTTGCAGTGAGCCGAGATTGTCCCTCTGTACACTAACCTGGGCTACAGAACGAGACTCCATTTAAAAAAAAAAAAAAGGCCAACCCTAGGTTCACAGTAGTGTTGATATCTTGGGGAAGTTGCAAATCTTATCTTATGACCTCCAGAATAATGGCTGATAATATTTAGACTTCCAGCCCCTCTCATTCTAACTTGGTGGCTGGTGGCCTTTCATTCATTTTACAAGAACAGTCTAGTTTTGGGGAAGGGCTATTATTTAAACTATAAATTAAATTCCTTCCCAAGACTTGTTTGGCCTATGGCCAGTAATGGACAAGGACCGTTTGAAGGTTAGAAACAAGATGGAATTGGTTAAGTCTGTTATCTTTCACTGTCATAATTTCCTTAGTTATAATTTTGCAAAGGTGGTTTCAATACTTCCTCTCAGCATGTGTTCCCTTTTCATTTTAATAGTGTCTTTAATGAACGTTAGCTTTTTATTTTGATTAAGTTCAATTTATCAAGTTTTAATTTTATATTTACTCCTCTTTTTTGGTATCTTCTCTAAGGAGTCTTTGCTTGCTCCAAAGTGACAAATTTTTTTTTTTTTCTGGTGAGATGGAGATTTACTCTTGTTGCCCAGGCTGGAGTGCAATGGCGCGATCTCAGCTCACCGCATCCTCCGCCTCCCAGGTTCAAGCGATTCTCCTGCCTCAGCCTCCCGAGTAGCTGGGATTACAGGCATGGGCCACCATGCCCGGCTACTTTTGTATTTTTAGTAGAGACGGGGTTTCACCGTGTTGCCCAGGCTGATCTCAAACTCCTGACCTCGTGTTCCACCTGCCTCGGCCTCCCAAAGTGCTGGGATTACAGGTGTTAAGCAACTGCGCCCGGCCAACGCCCAGCTAACTTTTGTATTTTTAGTAGAGACAGAGTTTCACCGTGTTAGCCAGGATGGTCTCAATCTCCTGACCTCGTGATCCGCCCACCCTAGTCTCCCAAAGTGCTGGGATTATAGGCGTGAGTCACCACGCCCAGCCAACAAAAATATTTTTTTTTTTTTTTTTTTTTGAGACGGAGTCTCGCTGTCGCCCAGGCTGGAGTGCAGTGGCGCAATCTCGGCTCACTGCAGGCTCCGCCCCCTGGGGTTCACGCCATTCTCCTGCCTCAGCCTCCCGAGTAGCTGGGATTACAGGCACCCGCCACCTCGCCCGGCTAAATTTTTTGTATTTTTAGTAGAGACGGGGTTTCATCGTGTTAGCCAGGATGGTCTCGATCTCCTGACCTCGTGATCCGCCCGCCTCGGCCTCCCAAAGTGCTGGGATTACAGGCGTGAGCCACCGCGCCCGGCCTCAAAAATATTTTCTTATGATGTCTTGGTTTTCAGCTGTTATGTTAAGAGTCTTTGAGGCCACTCCAGTTTGTTTGTTTTTTTTTTGTTGTTTTTTTTTTTTTGAGACGGAGTCTCCCTCTGTCGCCCAGGCTGGAGTGCAGTGGCACGATCTCGGCTCACTGCAAGCTCCGCCTCCCAGGTTCATGACATTGTCTTGCCTCAGCCTCCCGAGTAGCTGGGACTACAGGCGCCCACTACCACGCCCGGCTAATTTTTTGTATTTTTAGTAGAGACGGGGTTTCACATGAGCCACCGCACAGGGCCCCCTTGATTTTTGTCTCTGTGACCTAGAAGTGGAAGGTAGTTTTTCTCTACCGCGCCTGGCCCCCTTTATTTTTGTCTCCGTGACCTGGATATGGAAAGTAGTTTTTCTCCACCTGTTCCAGCATCTGTTGAGAGGACTTTCTTCTCTCCATTGAAATGCAAAAATAGGAAATATACATCACAGAAGAAGGTATAGAGCAGGTAGCCATCTTTTGTCTTCCCTTGCCACACTGGAAGAACTGTCTTGGGCCACATGTAAAATATACTAACAATAACTGATGAGCTTAAAAAAAATTGCAAATAAAAAATCTCATGTTCTAAGAAAGGTTGCGAATTCGTGTTGGGCCACATGCGGCCTGCAGGCCAAGGGCTGGACAAGCTTGGTGGTATACAGTATTTATTAGGGAAATGCAAATGAAAACCACCATGAGATCTGTCCACATGGATCATAGTGAGAACAAAAGACTGGCAACACCAAGTGCCAGTGAGGACATGGAGCTCCAGGAACACCCATGCGCTGCTGGTGGGAATGAAAGTGGAACAAAGGCTGGGTACGGTGGCTCGCGCCTGTAATCCCAGCACTTTGGGAGGTCGAGACAGGTGATCACCTGTGGTCAGGAGTTCGAGACCAGCCTGGCCAACATGGTGAAACCCCGTCTTTACTAAAAATACAAAAATTAGGCTGGGTGCAGTGGCTCACGCCTGTAATCGCAGCTCTTTGGGAGGCCGGGGCAGGCAGATCACGAGGTCAGGAGATCGAGACTATCCTGGCTAACACAGTGAAACCCTGTCTCTACTAAATATACAAAAAATTAGCCGGGCATGGTGGCAGGTGCCTGTAGTCCCAGCTACTCGGGAGGCTGAGGCAGGAGAATGGCATGAACCTGAGAGGCAGAGCTTGCAGTGAGCCGAGATCGCGCCACTGCACTCCAGCCTGGGCGACAGAGCGAGACTCCATCTCAAAAAAAAAAAAAAAAAAAAAAAAAAAATTAGCCAGGCATCGTGGCATGTGCCTGTAGTCCCAGCTACTAGGGAAGCTGAGGCAGGAGGATTGCTTGAACCTGGGGGGCGGAGGTTGCAGTGAGCCAAGATTGCGCTACTGCACTCCAGCCTGGGCAACAGAGCGAGACTCCACCTCAAAAAAAAAAAAGAAAGAAAAAAGAAAGTGGAACAAAATGAGCTGTGGAAAATTGTCCTATGGTTTCTCATAAACTTAAGCATGTACTTACCATGGGAACTGGCAGTTCCACTCCTCAATAAAAAGTTCTCCACAAGAAGATTGGCACACAGATCCTCATAGTGGCTTTATTGACAAAAGGTCCAAACTGGAAACAACCCAAATGTCCATCAGCAGGAGAATGGGCCAAACTGCAGCCCCTCCACAAAGTGGAGCACTACCCACCATACAAAGGGAGCACTGCCCACCATAGAAAGGGAGCACTGCCTACCATACAAAGGGGAGCAGCCCCTCCACAAAGGAGAGCACTACCCACTATACAAAGGGATCACTGCCCACTATACAAAGTGGAGCACTACCCACCAAAGGGAGCACTGCCCACCATACAAAGTGGAGCACTACCCACCATACAAAGGGAACAGCCCCTCCACAAAGGGAGCACCGCCCACTATACAAAGGGGAGCAGCCCCTCCACAAAGTGGAGCACTGTCCACCATACAAAGGGATTCAGCCTCTCCACAAAGGGGAACATTGCCCACTATACAAAGGGATGGCCCCCAAGGGATGTGGTGAGTGAAAGAAGGCCCACATACACACAGAATGTGGCAGCTCACACCTGCATTCCCAGTGCTTTGGAGCCCAAGGTGTCAGAGATGTTTGAACCAGAGCAAATCCATCTTGAATAGAGGTGGGGTAAAATGAGTCTGAGACATGCTGGGCTGCATTCCCAGGAGGTCAGGCATTCTTAGTCATTGGATGAGATAGGAAGTCAGCACAAGATACAGGTCACAAAGACCTTGCTGATAAAACAAGTCATGATAAAGAAGTCTAACCCTACCAAAACCAAGATGGTGATGAAAGTGACCTCTGGTCGGCTGGGCGTGGTGGCTCACGCCTGTAATCCCAGCTCTTTGGGAGGCCAAGGCAGGCGGATCACCAGGTCAGGAGATCGAGACCATCCTGGCTAATACAGTGAAACCCTGTCTCTACTAAAAATACAAAAAATTAGCCAGGCGAGGTGGCAGGCACCCGTAGTCCCAGCTACTGGGGAGGCTGAGGCAGGAGAATGGCGTGAACCCGGGAGGCGGAGCTTGCAGTGAGCCCAGATCACGCCACTGCATTCCAGCCTGGGCAACAGAGCAAGACTCCGTCTCGGAAAAAAAAGAAAAAAAAAAAGTGACCTCTGGTCGTCCTCACTGCTCATTATGAGCTAATGATAATGCATTAGCATGCTAAGAGACACTCCCACTAGGGCCATGAGAGTTTACAAATGCCATGGCAATGTCAGAAAGTTACTCTATATAATCTAAAAGAGGAGGAACCCTCAGTTCTGGGAACTACCCACCCCTTTCCTGGAAAACTCATGAATAATCCACCCCTTGTTTAGCATATAATAAAGAAAGAACCGTAAGTATGCTCAGTAGAACAGCCTATGCCCCAGGCCCCTGCTCTGCCTATGGAGTAGACATCCTTCAGTTTCTTTACTTCTCTGATAAACTTTTCTATTTATTCTTTTTTCTTTTTTTTTTTTTTTTTTGAGATGGAGTCTTGTTCTTGTTGTTCAGGCTGGAGTGCAATGGCACGATCTCGGCTCCCCTCAACCTCTTCCTCCTGGGTTCAGGCGATTCTCCTGCCTCAGCCTCCCAAGTACCTGGGACTGCAGGCACACACCACAACACCCGGTTGATTTTTGTATTTTTAGTAGAGACGAGGTTTCACCATGTTAGCCAAACTGGTCTCGAGCTCCTGACCTTAGGTGATCCACCCGCCTCAGCCTCCCAAAGTGCTGGGATTACAGGCGTGAGCCACCGCGCCTGGCCTGATAAACTTGTTTTCACATTATGGACTTGCCTTGAACTCTTTTTTTTTTTTTTTGGTTTGAGATGGAGTTTTGCTCCTGTTGCCCAGGCTGGAGTGCAATGGCGTGATCTCAGCTCACCGCAACTTCTGCCTCCCAGGTTCAGGTGATTCTCCTGCCTCAGCCTCTCAAGTAGCTGGGGTTACAGGCATGCACCACCAAACTCAGCTAATTTTGTATTTTTAGTAGAGACGGGGTTTTCCCATGTTGGTCAGGCTGGTCTCGAACCCTCGACCTCAGATGATTTGCCCGCCTCGGCCTCCCAAAGTGCTGGGATTATAGGCGTGAGCCACCATGGCCAGCTTTTTTTTTGAGACAGAGTTTCGCTCTGTCTCGCAGGCTGGAGTGCAGTGGCATGATCTTGGCTCACTGCAGCCTTCGCCTCCCGGGTTCAAGTGGGTCTCCTCTCTCAGTCTCCCAAGTAGCTGGGATTACAGGTGCCCACTACCACACTGGGCTAATTTTTTTTTTTTGGAGGGGGGACAGTTTCATTCTGTTGCCCAGGCTGGAGTACAGTGGCACGATCTTGGCTCACTGCAACCTCTACCTCCCAGGTTCAAGCTGTTCTCCTTTCTCAGCCTCTCAAGTAGCTGGGATTACAGGTGTCTGCCACCATGCCCGGCTAATTTTTGTTTTGTTTTTTTTTTGTTTGTTTGTTTTTTGAGATGGAGTCTCGCTCTGTCGCCCAGGCTGGAATGCAGTGGCGTGAACTCAGCTCACTGCAAGCTCCGCCTCCTGGGTTCACGCCATTCTCCTGCCTCAGCCTCCTGAGTAGCTGGGACTACAGGCGCCCACCACCACGCCTGGCTAATTTTTTTTGTATTTTTTTTAGTAGAGACAGGGTTTCACCATGTTAGCCAGGAGGGTCTCGATCTCCTGACCTCATGATCCGCCCGCCTCGGCCTCCCAAAGTGCTGGGATTACAGGCATGAGCCACCGCGCCCGGCCTAATTTTTGTATTTTTAGTAGAGATGGGTTTTTACCATGTTGGCCAGGCTGGTTTCGAACTCCTGACCTTGTGATCTGCCTGCCTTGGCCTCCCAAAGTGCTGGGCTTACAGATGGGAGCCACCACGCCCAGCCATGGCCAGCCAAATTTTTGTATTTTTAGTAAAGGCAGGGTTTCACCATGTTGGCCATGCTGGTCTCAAATTCCTGACCTCAGGCAATCTGCCCACTTTGGCCTCCCAAAGTGCTGAGATTACGGGTATAAGTCACCAAGCACACCAAAGTGGGCAGATCACGAGGTCAGGAGTTTGAGACCAGCCTGACCAACATGGTGAAACCCCATCTGTACTAAAAATACAAAAATTAGCTGGGCATGGTGGCGGGCACCTGTAATCCCAGCTACTTGGAAAGCTGAGGCAGGAGAATCTCTTGAACCGGGGAGGCAGAGGTTGGAGTGAGCTGAGATCGAGCCACTGCACTCCAGCCCTGGGCGACAGAACGAGACTCCCATCTCAAAAAAAAAAAAAAAAAGAAGTAAAAAAGGAAGGGAATTCTGACATAGGCTACAACACGGATGGACCTTGAGGATATTACACTGAGTGAAACAAGCCAGTCCAGAAAGGACAAGCACCGTGCGATTCAGTCATCTGAGGTCCGGAGAGTGGTCCCATAGAGGCAGAAAGCAGAATGGTGGGTGCCAGGGACTGGAGGAGGGAAATGGGGAGTCGGTGTTTTATGAGGACAGAGTTTCAGTTTTGCAAGATGAGAAAGTTCTGGAGACAGTAGTGATGATGGCTGTACAACATTATGAGTATACTTAATCCTGTGATATTCTGATAAATTAGATAATGGATATAGACAGAGTGACAGATATAGATTACAATGACATAGATACATAGGCAGGTAGATTGATACACAGAGATAAGTAGATATAGATAGATACAGATTAGATAGATCGATCAATCCACGTATCGATAGAGGTGTATATATAGCTTTTAGAGACGAGGTCTCACTATGTTGCCCTGGCTGGTCTTGAAATCCTGAGCTCAGCCGGGCGGGGCAGCTCATGTCTATAATCCCAGCACTTTGGGAAGCTGAGGAGGGCGGATCACCTGAGGTCAGGAGTTCGAGACCAGCCTGGCCAAAATGATGAAATCACGTCTCTACCAAAATACAAAATTAGCCAGGCGTGGTGGCAGGCGCCTGTAATCCCAGCTACTCAGGAGGCTGAGGCAGGAGAATCGCTTGAACCCGGGAGTCAGAGGTTGCAGTGAGCCAAGATCGCACCACTGTACTCCAGCCTGGGCAACAGAGCAAGACTCCGTCTCAAAAAAAAAAAAAAAAAAATCCTGAGCTTAAGTGATCCTCCCGCCTCAGCCTCCTAAAGTGCTGGGATTAAGGTGTGAGCCAGTGCACCCAGCCCCACAGAGGTTTTCATGCAGGGTTCCTGCCTCCTACCTCCCACAGCTCGTTACAGTCTCTTGTTATAATGTTGAGGCGCTTTAAGCCTTTAGAAGCAAAATTTCTCTCTGCCCTCCTGTCTCTGGCTCCTCTTTCTCCCATAGAAACCAGAACCACTTTTCCCCAAAGCCAGCCAAAAAACCTAAAAATAGGCAGGTTGCAGTGGCTCACGCCTGTAATCCCAACACTTTGGGAGGCCAAGGCAGGCGGATCACCTGAGGTCAGGAGTTCAAGACCAGCCTGGCCAACATGGTGAAACCCAGTCTCTACTAAAAATACAAAAAAATTATCTGGGCACAGTGGCTCACGCCTGTAATCCCAGCTACTTGAGAGGCTGAGGCAGGAGAATCGCTTGAACCCGGCAGGCGCAGGTTGCAGTGAGCTGAGATCACACCACTGCACTCCAATCTGGGCAACAGAGCAAGACTCTGTCTCAAAAAGAAAAAACAAACAAACAAACAAAAAACTAAAAATAGGACTCTAACCTCCCCTTGCCTGTCTTGGAGATGGCCATAAATAAATTCTCTGACCTTCCTTGTCTGACTGTGGGTCACAAGACCCACATTTCTGAAGGGGCCCTGCCCCACACCCCAGGGGAAGGAATGCCGCACAGAGAAGCCGGGAAGAATCTGCACAGACAGGCCCTGCTGGGTTTAGATCACACCCTTTTGGTCCAGTCCCATTTGTACACAGCTGTCAATCATGCCTATCCAATGAAGTCTCCACAAAAGACCCAGGAGGACAGGGTTTGGGGAACGTCCAGATAACTGAACACATGGGGCCGACAGGAAGGTGAACAGGAACTCCTCTATGTGCAGGGAGGGTGGAGCACCCCAACTCCACGGCGACGGAAGCTCCTGCTCTCGGGGCCCTTCCAGACCCCACCTTGTGCGTTTCTTCATCGGGCTGTCTTTCTATGCTTTTAAATATTCTTTGTGATAAATCGGTAAAAGTGTTTCCCTGAGTTCTGTGAGCCTCTCTAGCAAATTAATCAAGCCCAAAGAGGGCGGTGGTGGGAACCCCAATTTAATGCCATTTGGTGACACCTTCCAGAGGCCTGGACTCACGACTGGTGGGAAGTGTGGGGCAGTCTTGTGGGACTGAGCCCCCAGCCTGTGGATCTGGGGCTAACTGCAGGTAGACAGCCTCAGAAGCGAACTGAAAGGGAGAACACCCAGCCGGTGTCTGTGGCAAAGCTGAGGGCTTGCTCGGTGTGCGGGAGACACAGCTGACTGCCTGCTCCGTGTGCAGGAAAAACGGAGCTGGCCGCTTGCTGGGTGTGCGGGGAGAAACAGAACTCCTCTGTGTCTGTTGCAAAGCTGGCTGCTTGCTTGGTGTGCGGGAGAAACAGAAGTTCTCTGTGCTGATTATTACTGTGCAGTGAGACCAGAGGGAACACGGTTTGAGTTTTTCCACTTTCTCAATGCCACTGAACTGTTCAATTGAAAATGGTTAAGATGGTAAATTTTCCTTGTGTTTTTTTTTTTTTTTAATTTTCCTTGTTCTTGACAGCCAGTTTTGGGGGGAAAAAAAGATGGAGCCGGGTGCAGTGACTCGCGCCTGTAATCCCAGCACTTTGGGAGGTGGAGACTGGGAAGATCCCTTGAACCCAGGAGGTCGAGGCTGCAGTGAACCCCAATTGCCCCACTGCACTCCAGCCTGGGCAACAGAGCGAGACGCTGTCTCAAAAACAAAACACAACAGGCTGGGCGCGGTGGCTCCCGCCTGTAATCCCAGCACTTTGGGAGGCCGAGGCGGGCAGATCACAAGGTCAGGAGATCGAGACCATCCTGGCTAACACAGTAAAACCCCGTCTCTACTAAAAATACAAAAAAAAAAATCAGCCGGGCGTGGTGGCGGGCGCCTGCAGTCCCAGCTACTCGGGAGGCCGAGGCAGGAGAATGGCGTGAACCCGGGAGGCGGAGCTTGCAGTGAGCCGAGATCGCGCCACTGCACTCCAGCCTGGGCGACAGAGCGAGACTCCGCCTCAAAAACAAAACAAAACAAAACAAAACAAAACAAAACCAAAAACAATGATGGACCATTGAGCTGTGGAACATATCAGGAAACTTACCCAGGACGATGAGGTTGTGAGTGACTTATTTTGGGAACTTCCTGACAGTCGTTGCCTAGGACCTGTGAGCGGACAGCACAGCTGGGCTCAGTCTCCAGACTCACTCCAAACCCTTCTTATGTCCATCAGTCCCGAACCACTTCCGTCCCAAACATGCCCAATCCTAACGAAGCCTCCTGAAGACTCACCTGAAGCCACACCCCAAAACCTTCCACACGCCCACCCCGGCCCTGCTTTCCCCTCAGACCCCGTGAAGACCCTCAGGCGGGATTCCCGCTCCGGCAATGGCGCCCACTCAGACCCCGTGAAGACCCTCAGGCGGGATTCCCGCTCCGGCAATGGCGCCCACTCAGACCCCGCGAAGACCCTCAGGCGGGTTCCGGCTCCGGCAATGGCGCCCACTCAGATGCTGTGAAGACCCTCAGGCGGGGTTCCGGATCCGGCAATGGCGCCCACTCAGACCCCGTGAAGACCCTCAGGCGGGTTCCGGATCCGGCAATGGCGCCCACTCAGACCCCGCGAAGACCCTCAGGCGGGGTTCCGGATCCGGCAATGGCGCCCACTCAGACCCCGTGAAGACCCTCAGGCGGGTTCCGGATCCGGCAATGGCGCCCACTCAGACCCCGTGAAGACCCTCAGGAGGGGTTCCGGATCCGGCAATGGCGCCCACTCAGACCCCGTGAAGACCCTCAGGCGGGTTCCCGCTCCGGCAATGGCGCCCACTCAGACCCCGCGAAGACCCTCAGGCGGGGTTCCGGATCCGGCAATGGCGCCCACTCAGACCCCGTGAAGACCCTCAGGCGGGTTCCGGATCCGGCAATGGCGCCCACTCAGACCCCGTGAAGACCCTCAGGAGGGGTTCCGGATCCAGCAATGGCGCCCACTCAGACCCCGTGACGACCCTCAGGCGGGTTCCGGCTCCGGCAATGGCGCCCTCTCAGACCCCGTGAAGACCCTCAGGTGGGATTCCCGCTCCGGCAATGGCGCCCACTCAGACCCCGCGAAGACCCTCAGGCGGGTTCCGGCTCCGGCAATGGCGCCCACTCAGACCCCGTGAAGACCCTCAGGCGGGTTCCCGCTCCGGCAATGGCGCCCACTCAGACCCCGTGAAGACCCTCAGGCGGGGTTCCGGATCCGGCAATGGCGCCCACTCAGACCCCGCGAAGACCCTCAGGCGGGGTTCCGGATCCGGCAATGCCGCCCACTCAGACCCCGCGAAGACCCTCAGGCGGGTTCCGGATCCGGCAATGGCGCCCACTCAGACCCCGTGAAGACCCTCAGGCGGGGTTCCGGATCCGGCAATGGCGCCCACTCAGACCCCGTGAAGACCCTCAGGCGGGGTTCCGGATCCGGCAATGGCGCCCACTCAGACCCCGTGACGACCCTCAGGCGGGTTCCGGCTCCGGCAATGGCGCCCTCTCAGACCCCGTGAAGACCCTCAGGTGGGATTCCCGCTCCGGCAATGGCGCCCACTCAGACCCCGCGAAGACCCTCAGGCGGGTTCCGGCTCCGGCAATGGCGCCCACTCAGACCCCGTGAAGACCCTCAGGCGGGTTCCCGCTCCGGCAATGGCGCCCACTCAGACCCCGTGAAGACCCTCAGGCGGGGTTCCGGATCCGGCAATGGCGCCCACTCAGACCCCGCGAAGACCCTCAGGCGGGGTTCCGGATCCGGCAATGGCGCCCACTCAGACCCCGCGAAGACCCTCAGGCGGGTTCCGGATCCGGCAATGGCGCCCACTCAGACCCCGTGACGACCCTCAGGCGGGGTTCCGGATCCGGCAATGGCGCCCACTCAGACCCCGTGAAGACCCTCAGGCGGGTTCCGGCTCCGGCAATGGCGCCCACTCAGACCCCGTGAAGACCCTCAGGCGGGTTCCCGCTCCGGCAATGGCGCCCACTCAGACCCCGTGAAGACCCTCAGGCGGGTTCCGGCTCCGGCAATGGCGCCCACTCAGACCCCGTGAAGACCCTCAGGCGGGTTCCCGCTCCGGCAATGGCGCCCACTCGGCTGTGTCAACGACCCGTGGCTTCGTGGCTGTCCTGGGAGCCAGCGCTTTCACGCTTGCACACTTCTATAAATAGTTATACATTTTTTTGAGACAGGGTCTGGCTGGGTTGCCTAGGCTGTAGTGCAGTGGTGTGATCACAGCAACCTCCATCTCCTGCACTCAAGTGATCCTCCTGCCTCAGTCTCCCAAGTAGCTGAGACTACAGGCACGTGCTACCGTGCCCAGCTAATTTTTGTGTGTGTCTGTTTTTTTTTTTTCTAGACAGAGTCTCGCTCTGTCACCAAGGCTGGAATGCAGTGCCGCAGTCTTGGCTCACTGCAACCTCCACACCTCGGGTTCAAGAGATTCTCCTGCCTCAGCTTCCCAGGTAGCTGGTATTGCAGGTGCCTGCCACCACTCCTGGATAATTTTTGTATTTTAGTAGAGACGGGTTTTCACCATGTTGCCCAGGCTGGTTTCAAACTCCTGAGCTCAAATAATGCATCTGCCTCAGCCTCCCAAAGTGCTAGGATTGCAGGTGTGAGCCACTGCACCTGGCCCAGTACATCTTTGTTAAACAAAAAATCTAGTGAGCAGAGTGGCACTGGTATCCACGTTTGCAAAATCTCCATCATGCCGGTTTCCTAGGCCCAGGGGTCCTCCTCCCGGGGCCTGCCTAGGCCTCTGGGAATCATTGTTCTAGGAGAAGTATGTGAGGAAAATCTGGCTTCATCCAGATTTGTAGTCGGAACAGGGAAGGGCACCCTGATAGCCTTTCTGGATCATTGTGGACCTTCTGTGACTGGCTCTTAGGCCCATGAGTGATGCTGGAATGTCCCGCCTTGGTCGTGGGGTTTCCCAGACCCCCAAGTGCTGACCCCTCCAATTTCAATAAGGAACATGCACGCTCCCTAACTGAGCCTATCAGAAGGAGCTTCAGGGCCAGGCACGGTGGTTCACGCCTGTAATCCCAGCACTTTGGGAGGCCGAGGCAGGCAGATCATGAGGTCCCAGCTACAAGGTCGGGCCACTGCACTCCAGCCTGGGTGACAGAGTGAGACTCGGTCTCAAAAAAAAAAAAAAAAAAGAGCTTCAGGTGGTGGAGCAGCCTTGCCTATGATGGCAGTTTCCAAAACTCAAATGTCCACTGGAAAATGCAGATTTATCACGGCAGCGAAGAGGGTCCGTTGTTTTCACTTTGTTCATTTTGGAGACAATGACTACCCACGTCTCGACACAAGAGGTTCTTTCAAGTAACCTGGGGAAGCTGGCCAGGTCAGTCACGGCTGGGACATGGCTCCCAGCTCTTCCCCGGGCAGCCCCAACACCTAGGCAGCAGGCGCCCGGGACGCCGGATGCTTACGCTTCCAGGTGAGACTGCATCAAATCAGTGACGTTTGCTGATTTGACTGTGTGTGTCGGGGAAGAATGGGGGCTGCTCATATTCGAGCAAAGGTGAGTGCGGTTGAGAAGGCAGGCTTCTGTGTTTCACGGGGCTGCCATGGCAAACGCCGCACACTGGGTGGTGTGAACAACAGACGCGTCTCCTCTCTTGGTTCTAGAGGCTGGAGTCTGAGATGCAGGCGTGGCCAGGGCTGGTTCCTTCGAGGCTGTGTGGAAATCTCTGCTCTGGGCCTCTCCAGGCTTCTGTGGGAGCTGCCGCTCCGTGTTGCTCCTTAGCATGTAGAAACCTCCCCCTCCTCCGGTGATCACCCCGATCGTGTCTGTGTCCACGTTTCCCCTTTTTATCTGTTGTTTTAATTTTTTTTTGCCCAGGCTGGAGTGCAGTGGTGGGATCTTGGCTCACTGCAACCTCCACCTCCCAGGTTCAAGCGATTCTCCTGTCTCAAGCCTCCTGAGTAGCTGGGATTACAGGTGCCCGCCACCACGCCCGGCTAATTTTTGTATTTTTAGTAGAGATGGGGTTTCACCATGTTGGCCAGGATGGTCTCGAACTCTTGACCTCAAGTGATCTGCCCGCCTTGGCCTCCCAAAGTGCTGGGATTACAGGTGTGAGCCACCTCACCCGGCCTCCCCTTTTGATATATTAGGGCTACCGTACTCCAGCATGGCCTCATCTTAATTACATCTGCAGTGACCCAAATAGGGCAACAGTCTGAGTTGCTGGGACAAGGACTGAAATATGAATTTCTGAAGGACATAATTCAACCCAGAGCACCTTTTTTTTTGAGACAGCGTCTTGCTCTGTCACCCAGGCTGGAGTTGCAGTGGCACCATCACAGCTCATTGCAGCCTTGAACTCCTGAGCTGAAACAATTCTCTCGAATCAGCCTCCTAAGTAGCTGGGACTACAGATGCACATCACCACACCTGGCTAATTTTTACATTTCTTTTTGAGACGGAGTCTTACTCTGTTGCCCAGGCTGGAGTGCAGTGGCGTGATCTCGGCTCACTGCAAGCTCTGCCTCCCGGGTTCACGCCATTCTCCTGCCTCAGCCTCCCGAGTAGCTGGGACTACAGGCGCCCGCCACCAGGCCAGGCTAATTTTTTGTATTTTTTGTAGAGATGGGGTTTCACTGTATTAGCCAGGATGGTCTCGATCTCCTGACCTTGTGGTCCGCCCGCCTCGGCCTCCCAAAGTGCTGGGATTACAGGTGTGAGCCACTGCGCCTCACCAATTTTTAAATTTTTAGTAGAGACAGGGTCTCGGTATGTTGCCCAGGCTAATCTCAAATTCCTGGGCTCAAACAATCTACCTGCTTTGGCCTCCCAAAGCACTGGGATTACAGGTGTGAGCCACGTGCCTGGCCTGCTTCTCAAGTCTTGCTATAAAAACAGTGTAGAGGGCCGGGCACGGTGGCTCACGCCTTTAATCCCAGCACTTTGGGAGGCCAAGGTGGGCGGATCACCTGAGGTCAGGAGTTCAAGATCAGCCTGACCAACATGGAGAAACCCCGTCTCTACTAAAAATACAAAACTAGCCAGGCGTGGTGGCAAGCGCCTGTAATCCCAGCTACTCGGGAGGCTGAGGCAGGAGAATCACTTGACCCAGGAGCCGGAGGTTGCGGTGAGCTGAGATCACGCCACTGCACTCCAGCCTGGGCAACAAGAGCAAAACTCTGTCTCAAAAAACAAGCAAACAAACAAACACCGTCTGGAGCTCACAATGCCCTGAAAGGGTCTTAGGTCTCCCAGAGACTGTCCTTGGTGTCTGCTCTGCTTGCCAGTCAGCATCCCCTCCAAGTGGCCGTCAGTGAATGCGAGTCTTTTAAAAAAATGTTTTCATTAAAAAAATTTTTTTTTGGCTGGGTGCAGTGGCTCACGCCTGTAATCCCAGCACTTTGGGAGGCCAAGGCAGGTTGATCACGAGGTCAGGAGATTGAGACCACTACATGGTGAAACCCCGTCTCTACTAAAAATACAAAAAATTATCCGGACGTGGTAGCACCCACCTGTAGTCTCAGCTACTTGGGAGGCTGAGGTAGGAGAATCAATTGAACCTGGGAGGCGGGGGTTGCAGTGAGCCGAGACTGCGCCACTGCACTCCAGCCTGGGTGACAGAGCAAAACTCTATCTAAAAAAAAAAAAAATTTTTTTTTGAGACAGGATCTCACTGTGTCGCCCAGGCTGGAATGCAGTGGTGCCATCTCAGCTCACTGCAACCTCTGCCTCCCAGGCTCGAGGGATCCTCCCCACTCAGCCTCCCGAGTAGCACAGGCAGTGAGACCACAGGCACTCACCAGCACGCCTGGCTAATTTAATAACTTTTTTTCTTTTCTTTTCTTTTTTTTGAGACAGAGTCTCTCTCTGTTGCCCAGGCTGGAGTGCAGTGGCATGATCTCTGCTCACGCAGTGGCGTGATCTCTGCTGACTGCAACCTCTGCCTCCCAGGTTCAAGCAATTCTCGTGCCTCAGCCTCCTCAGTAGCTGGGACTACAGGTGCCCGCCACCATGCCCAGCTAATTTTTTGTACTTTTAGTAGAGACGAGGTTTCGCCGTGTTAGCCAGGATAGTCTCAATCTCCTGACCTCGTGATCTGCCCACCTTGGCCTCCCAAAGTGCTGGGATAACAGGCATGAGCCACCGTGCCCGGCCTAATAATTTTTTTTTGTAGAGACAGGGTCTAGCCATTTGCCCAGGCTGGTCTCGAACCCCTGGGCTCAAGCTATCCTTTTGCCTTGGCCTCCCAAAGTGCTGGGATTACAGGTGTGAGCTACTGCGCCCGGCTGCAAGTCTTTAATTTTGCCAAAATCAAACTCATTGACTCCCTTTTTAAAATTTTCATTATTTTATTTTTGAAACAGAGTTTTGCTCTTTTGCTGGAGTGAAGTGGCATGATTTTGGTTCACTGCAACCTCTGCCCCCTGGGTTCAAGTGAGTCTCCTCCCTCAACCTCCCAAGTAGCTGGGATTACAGGCACGCGCCACCATGCCCGGCTAATTTTTGTATTTTTAGTAGAGATGGGGTTTCACCATGTTGGCCAGGCTAGTCTCGAACTCCTGACCTCAGGTGATCCACCTGCCTCGGCCTTCCAAAGTGCTGGGATTACAGGCGTGAGCTGCCGCGCCTGGTATCCACTGCTTTTGAAGTTTTGTACAGAAAATTCTTCTTCCCCTTTGTCACATGGATATCCTGGCATCTTCTGTGAACTTGGTCGTTTTGCCTCTCATGACGTCTAGTACTGCTGGGGCTGGTTCAGCTTTGTGGGGTTAGTGGGGGTCCCTGTTGTGTTTCTCCACACATTTTCCCAGCACCACTCTCACCACCTTCCTGGGTAACGGGTGCCCCGGGCTGGGACCATGGCATCCCCGCAGGTGTGAGGAACATCTTACTGTACGTGCTGCTGTGTCAACCTCTTGGGAAATCAACCGTTTTGTAATTTTTTTTTTTTTTAAAGAGACAGCCCTTCCTAAATGGCATGGGAAGCCCCTCTTGGGTTCTGCGGGGCCTGACTGGGCACGGGCGGACAGGGCCAGCTGTGGGGGAGGACAGAAGGGGAGCAAGCGCCACAAAGACATGCTTGTCCCGAGACAGACGGGCCTTGTTGGTGGAGATATTTGCTTGTGGCTACTGGTGGCCCCACTGGCAGCTCAGGCCACCCACCCTGAGGTCTGATGTTCAAAGCCCCGCCCTCCCTCCTCGCCCAGTGTGGACTCTCCCACACTCACGGCCAGACCCTCGGCAACCCTGGCCCCACCAGGGCCAGCACCAGCAGACCCTCCTTCTTTCTGTGGACCTGCCTGATGGGGAAGTGGGTAGGGAGGCCGGGGAGGGAGTGAGTGGTTAAGGACACGTTGGAACTAAGAGAGATTGCATGTTAACCCCAGCCCCTGCCCCAAACTCGGGCCTCGAGCAGGTGACCTGGCCCCTCTACGGGTCATTCTTATCCACGCCTGCCTCACGGGGCTGCCACTGGGGCCTCCGGAGGCCGCGGGCAGCACTCAAAACACCACAGGCCCCCAAGAGTGATGCCCTCAGGGCAGGAAGGGGGGCAATCCTCACCCCTGGGGCGGGTGGCCAGAGAGGACACAGAGAGCCAGCCCACCCGATGCCAGGTGACCCTGTGCCCATCACCAGGCCGGTGAGGTCGGTGGTCCCATCTGCTCTTGAGGGGGGTCTCAGGAGGTGGCAGGAAGCCCCTTGGAAGAAACGGGAGGTAATTTCTGGAAGCCCAGAGGTCCGAGCAGGCAGCTGGGGCCAGGGTGCCTCGGACTCAGGGCTCCTGGGGTGGGAGCCTGCTTGGGGCCTAGGGCTGGGATCTGGGGGCTGGAGTCTGGGGGTCTGGCTTCCTGGGGCTCCTCAGCTGTGCAGGTGGCAGAGTGGGGCACAGCAGGTAGGGGGCTCTAAATGGGGCTGGGGGAGGTGGACAGGGAGAAGGCTGAAGAAGCAGGTGTAGATCTGGGGCCCTCAGAAGCTGAGCAGCCCAGCCTGGAGGCTGCATATGAAGCCCAGACCATCCTGGTGGAGGAAGGGTCCTGTTGCTGGGAGTGGTTGGGGAGTGGGCAGCCTCCCTCACTTCCAAGGACTGGCATCCTGGGGCCCACAGAGGCCCCTTTTGGAGCAGATATAGCCCCGGTGCCTATCCCCGTCCTGAGGTGGTGGCTCAGCAGGCAGCGGGAGCTGCAGGTTGCAGGGAGGAGGGCCGGTGCCCCCATCCCTCCCCTTTTCCTCTTGGACCTGTCTCTCTCACTGCAGGGTCCATCTGACAGGGTGGGGGGGCCTCTTCCGGGGGCCTGGAGGAGTGGTGGTGGCCATCAAGCCCGGGTCGTGGCTCAGAGGGCACCAGACAATCCCTGCTGCCCCGACCAGACACTGTGGTTAAGACTTGGCCTAGTGTGGCCTGAGCTGTGAGTCAGGGCTTCTGTGGCCTGGTGTCCAGGCCTGGCTGGGTGGTGGACCAGGCAAGGGACACGCCCCCCCCAGCCCAGCCCCACAGTCGCCCCTGCCCAGGCCAAGACCCCAGGACTGTGTCCCCGGATGCTCCGCACCAGGGTTGGGTTCACGGCTGCTATGGGGACACATGGTTGTGGGTTGCCCCCTGCCACCAATCCAGGGCGAGGGCACCCCTGGCGGCCACTCACGGCAGCACATGGAGCGGCCGGCAGAGGGCACCAAAGGCCCCTCCAAGGGTGCGGCTCAGGTGGACCGCCCATCTGGCGGTCAGGTGCCCCTCCCACGCAGGGTGCTGAGTGTGGCCTGCTCCCCCTTCTTGGGAGCCTCCGTCAGCCTGGGCTAAGATCTCCAAATCCAGTTTCAGCCTTGCCCTCTGACTCATGGCCCTCCTGGGGCCTGCCGACCGTCTGGCCGAGCTGGCTCTGTCCCCACCGCTCCCACTAGGGTTGTGCCCAGCGAAAGCCGGGCTTGGATGACACGCTTTGGGCCTTCTGGTCGCTGGGCCTGGGAGGGCCACAGGAAGAGAAGTGGGCAGGGTCCCCTCTGGGCTCAGGGGCAGAGCAGCCTGGCGGACGGCCAGCCCTCTGCCCGGCACTGCTTAGAAAAGGTGCAGTTTCCGGGGGCTCCAGGACCCACTCCGACTCCCAGAGAACTGAGACACACGGCTCCTGGGAGACTTAACTGGTTTAATTGCTTAGCCCTGGTGCCTCAGCCACCTCTCATCTGTAGGGTGAGACTCAAGTCCAGGCACCAAGACACACCAGCACCCCCAACACCATGCGGGGATCATTGGCCTGAAACTTGGCCAGAGAAAGCTCCAGTCCTGGGCCTGTAAGAGTGGGCGCTGGGAGTGTCTGAAGCCGGCACGGTGTCCCCTGCGTTGTCGGCCCTTGCAGGTGAAGTGTGTGTCGTTCCCCCACTTTCCCCCGAATGGCACCCACGGCCTCCTGCTGGAGCCCCTCCCGGGCCCCCCTCAGGGAGCAGAACTCTGCGTGTGTGCGAGGTTCAGCCTGGCCAGCCTGGAGCTCCAGCTCACCCTGGGGTGTGGATGGATGTAGAAGTGGGTGGGGATGGGGGAGCATCACAGGGGCCAGGACCCCCCAGGTGCACAGGGGAGGCCAGAGAAAGAGGCCCCAGCCCCAGGGAGTTCTGTGGCCTCAAGAGAAGGTGGACAAGGGGCTGGCACCACCAAGCAGCAGGTTTGGCTGAGATTAGTCTTGGTGTGGGCTGAGGCCTTGGGTACTGTTTGGCCTAAGGATGGGCGTTGTGCCTCCAGACAGGGGCAGGGACCTCTAGCCAGCACCACACCCCCTCCGTGTCCTTGATACAAAATACATACACATATAAAAATAATACTCCATGCATTGTGGGTGGGCTTCCCCTCCGCAGGCCCCAGCCCAAGGCAGCTGGGCCTAGCTGTCCTCCCCCCTCCTCTGATTCATGGAATGAAACTTGTTCATGAGTTCTTCCAGCTCCGACCCACTTTGCTGCTTCTAGGGAGGAGAAATGGGGGCATCCTCAGCCGGGGGTCCCACGTGTCTGGGTGCCGGCCTCCCCCTTGCTCTGCGACCCCAGGAACGGGCGGGGGAGAGGAGGGCGCAGGGGCAGGAGGGGCGTGGCGCCGGAGCGCAGGCGGGCTCACCTCCAGGAAGGCCTTCTGCATGGTGAGCTGGCTGTACACGCGGACGCCCTCCTCGCCGCACACTTTCTTCAGCTCCTCCTTGTTGAGGGAGAAGAGCTGCGGCCCGGTCAGGATGCCCAGGTTCTCCACGATCCTGGGGGCGGGCAGTTGGGCGTCAGGGCCGCGCTGTGAGCGAGGCTGCCTGGCGCCCGCCCCGACAGCTGCGCACCTTCGGCCGCACCTCCCACCCCTCGCCCGGGCCCCAGCTCATCCCCCGCCCCCGCTCACCGCGGGCTGAAGGCCTTGGCTTCCAGCCAGGCGCGGACCTCGTCCGGACCCGACTCGTAGGTGAGCGGCTGGCTCACGGGCTGGCTGCGCTCCACGCGGAAGTGCCTCTGTGGCTGCGCCCTGATGTTGCTGATTTTCCGGATGAGCTCGTCGTTGACCTCGTCCATGTGCTGCATGAGCTCTGAGGGGGCGCGCGACTCAGGCCCGCCGCTGCCTTGCCCCTGCCCCCGCCCCCGGCCCAGGGACCCCCCCCACACTTCCTCCCCCAGGTGGCCCTGGGCCCGGGACCCCCGCCTCGAAGCAGCAGCTCTCACCGTCTTTGTTCCCCGGGAAGCTTGGGGGTAGCTTGTGGGTCGGGCTGGCGGGGCCCCAGTACTTCTGACCGGCCTGCGGGGGCGGGGGGCGATTAGGCTCCCCACGCCCCGCCCCCGCCTCCCAGCACCTGCCCGGGACCTCCCCACCCCGCCAATCCCCCTACAGCCCCGGCCTGCGGACCAGCCCTTTCCTTCTGCCCAGGGAGCCCTGCACCTGCCCCAGTCTCTCCAGCCGCGGGGCTGGCCTTGGGGCGGGGCTAGGCGCAGGCGGGGCTGCTCCAGGAAGCTGGGGGCTGCGACCCCAGGGACCCCCGCGGGCTCACCTGCTCGAACGGGGCGCCGGCGTCCTCCGGTCGCGCCTCGCCTAGGATGTTGCAGGGCACGTACCCCGCCTGGCCGCTGCGGCTGCGCAGCTTCCACCACTGCCGGCCGTCCTCCAGCACCTGCGGGGCGCGCCGTCAGCCCCTCCCCACACCCAGGCTCTGCGGGGCTGGGACCACCCGCTGGCGCCGCTTTACAGAGGTCGGGAGCGCCCTAGGGTCTCCCGGAGCCCCGCTTCGCTCCATTCTCTCCGCACCCCTGTTTCCACCCCTCCATCCCTCGCTGGGCTGCTCCTCCCCCACCCTGCCTCAAGGAGTCTGGGGGACCCTTTTTTTCTCGGAGACAGGGTCTCACTCTGCCGCCCAGGCTGGAATGCAGTGGTGCAATCACTGCCCACTGCAGCCTCGACCTCCTGGGTTCAGGCGATCCCCCCACCTCAGCCTCCAGAGTAGCTGGGACCACAGGCACACACCACCACATCCAGATAATTTTTATGTTTTTTGTAGAGATGGGGTTTTGAGGTGTTGCCCAGGCTTGTCTCGAACTCGTGGGCTAAAGGGATCCTCCCGCCTTGGCCTCCCAGTGCTGCGGTTACAGGCGTGAGCCGCCGAGCCAGGCTGTGGATGTGGCCCACTCCCCCCTAGCCTGCTCCACTTTCTGTCCCCCAGTGGGTGGCCTGGATTCCGGCTGGCAGATGCGGCCAGTGCAGATGTGGGGGCTCCTGGGTGGGTGTGAATGACAGGCCCCCGCTGAGTCCACGTGGTGCAGATGCTCCCCCCAGCCTGGCACAGGGGTCTCTGCATGCCTTTGGGGAGCCCCAAGATGGGAAGGCCCCTCCAACAGGCTGGGGATCCTGATCAGAGTCCAAGGGCGGGGACCCTGGAGAAAGGGGCCAGCAGCTGTGCCCCGTCCTGGCATCACCCAGCCTGGCCCTAGACCGCTCCCCACCTCCCCTGGTAGCCCCTCCCTTGAAGCCCTGCCCTGTTTCCCCCTCTTGGACCCCGTCCTCCAGCCCCTCACCTCTAGGACCTCATCCTTGAGCACCGATAGCTCGTTGGCATTTCGGGCTGTGAAGTCATACAGGATCTTGACGTACTTGGCCATGGCTGGTGTTGGCTGGTAGCCCCTGTGAGGAACAGGAGGGGCTGAGGCCCAGTCTGGTGGGGGTCTCCTCTGAGACCTGGGCAGTGGCTGGGGGGCAGCAGCTTCCCAGGTGCACGACTGGCTGCCTCTTTTCTGTTCTGGAGGTCACCGTGGAGAGAGGCTGCAGGCAGCGTCAGCCCGGAATGGAAACTGTGACAGCCCCAGAGCTTTGGGGCCCTGCGTGGAGGCGGGGCAGGCAGGAGGTGGGCGTGGCGCAGGGGCCTGTGGTACAGCAAGGCTGGCCCATCCCAGGCCACCTCAGGGGTCTCCAGTCCGGCACCCCAGGGGAACCAGAGCCAGGGGCGTTCCTGGGAAACGCCAGGGTCACAGCTCCCCGCAGCTGGCCAGTGAGGGCCAGCATGTCTTCAGAGCCGTGGCCCCTCTGAGGACTGAACACAGCCCAAATGGTCCAGTGGAGGACGGGTCTCAAGCTCCTCTCTGTGGGGTGGGACCTGCACCTCAAAAGCGCGGGGGGGCTGGCCCTGGCTGAGGGGTCCTGGCTTTGGCATGTAGCAGGCCTGTGGCTGTCACCTGGCCAGGCCGTCCATCCTGGTCAGTGTGGCCCTGGTCATCAGGGCAGCTCCCGTGTCCAGGTGCTCAGGGAAATGAAGTGGCCATGGACTGTCAGGACATGGCCAGGGTGGACAGACCAGGAGCTGAAGTCAAAGGGTGGAAATGTTTTTAAGTGTGGTCCTAGGCCAGGGACCACGGGAGCCAGGCTGACACTGTGGGTGAGGGGAGGCCATGCTTGCTTAGAAGATGGATTGCTGGCCCCTCTTTACCCCAAAATTGAATCCTGGGGTGTGGGAGGGTCAGGGGCTTCCCATGCAGATTGGACCAGGAATGAGCACAGAAGGGAAGAGGAGAGGCAAGGAAAGACGGGACTCCCCTAGTGCCATAGGCTTGTTCTTTGTCCTCTTTGGAAACAGGTGGGGCTGGGGGTGGGAGGAGGGGAGAGGCTTCACTAGCCCAGAACCCCAGTCTCCTCTTTTGGCTCTACCAGAGGTTGGGCCTGAATCAGTCCCAACAGCCCCAACAGGGTGCCAGTGTTTGGTGAAACCACTCAAGTTCAGTGGTTTAGTAGTTTCTAACCTTGGTTCTAAAACATACATGTGGATGCACAGAAAAAGCTGATATATTAGGGTAGAGAATTTGTGCATGACTTTTGAAATGTTTCCTTTAATTATATATCATGCAGTTGAAATGAAAACCGCTTCAAATCTGGAAAAGTATTTTAAACCACTTGAACAATGCACTTGCCACCACCTGGTGGCAGCGTACCCATATGTTTTTAGAGACTGTAGGTTCTGAAGGGTTTCACTTTCATGCTCCCTCACTTTGAGGGGGGCTTACCTGTGAGTATGTGGGGAGCTGACTGGTGGTAGGGCATCCCCCGGGGGGGTGGGCTCTGAAGTGGGGCTGTGCTTCTGGGAGTTTCTTATGGACTGTCGGCTCACTGGACTCACCTGTGGGGAAGGTGGGCGACCTGAGTTAGACATGGGGCGGGGCTGGGTCCCAGGACGAGGGGGCATATGACAGGGGCTGGGCTAATGTCCTGTGACTGATGCATCACTGAGGGTGATGGAGCCTGATGCCCGGTGATGCCAGCATGGGTTGCCTCTCCTGGCAGGGGCTAGGGGCAGCTGAGCTGTGGCTGAAGGGGCGGTGGGTGGAGGTGGGCTGGGGAGGGGAGCTCTGGGGAGGGGTGGGTGTCGGGGCCGGGGAGGGGAGCTCTGGGGAGGGGTGGGTGTCGGGGCTGGGGAGGGGAGCACTGGGGAGGGGTGGGTGTCAGGGCTGGGGGGGGAGCTCTGGGGAGGGGTGGGTGTCAGGGCTGGGGGGGAGCTCTGGTGAGGAGTGGGTGTTGGGGCTGGGGTAGGGATGGGGGCTGCTGGTGCTCTCACCTCCTCGATGGGGGCAGACGCCAGCCCCTCCACCTCCCAGGGGGCCTCCTGCAGCACATCCACAGGAGGCTCCCAGCCGCTGTGGAACTTGGGCACGTAGAGGGGCACCTGTGGCTCCCGCGGCCACTCGGAACTGGGGTGAGAGGTCCTGAAGTCAGCCCTGCCTCTCCAGAACTGGCCCACCAGGACCCCCTTGCTGGCCCCCATGCAGCGCTGGCCCCCCATGAAGCCCCGGCACTGCTCTGCCCTGCCCTACCGGGGCCGCATCCAGCTCTCTCCCAGTGACTCCCACAGCGACATCTCCTTAGGGACCAGGTGGCCGCGCAGGAAGTCCACGGCATCTCGGGAGAGCAGTGGGCAGGAGACGGAGCGTGCGATGTCTGGGCCACTGCAGGTGTTGACGATCTGGGGCACAGTGAGGTTCAGAGGGGACTGAGGCCCACAGACCCTGGCCCAGCACCCCCGTAGCTCCACAGGCTGGCCCTCGGGAAGGGACTTTGGACCCCAGGGAGAGTGGCCACACAGCGTGAACCGGGCTGCCCAAGGCGGGCACCTGCTGCCCCAACCCCGACCCCGGGGAGATGCTGCAGAGGCCTCTGGGCCCCCACCCTGCGCGCCCCTGCCGCCCGGCCCCAGGCACCAGGTCCAGAGGCCCGAAGAGGAAGTGCACGAGCTCCGCGGCGCTGGGGTTCTGGATGTGCTTCTGCAGCTTTGCCTGGGGGTGGGAACAAGTGAGCAGGTGCCGGGGCGGGGCGGGGCCTCCACCCTCCCCTCAGCACAGACAGTGGGGCAGGGCTGGGGCCACCGGACCCACCAGCAAGTTAATCGCCAGCTTGATTTTCTGGAAGCAGTCGATGAACTCGCCCTCAGAGGGGGGCCGTGCCCGCAGTGTGAGGACGCCCTCTGGCATGGGAGGCACCGCGTGAGCCAGGCTGGCCCTGATCTCCCCGGCCCCTGCGCCTTCTGTCCCACGCAGCCCATCTGTGTGGGCTGGACCTTCCTCCACCTCCATGAGTAGCCCCCATGGATGTCCCTGGCCCCGTCCCCGTCCCTGTCCCCTGCACCTGCTGGCCCCGTCCCCTGCACCTGCCGGCCCCGTCCCTGTCCCCTGCACCTGCTGGCGCCTTCTTGCCCTTCTTCTTCCCCTTTTTCCGCTGGTTCAGCTGCTTGAAAGCCTCGGCTGCCTTCTGCAGCCGGGCCACAAACCACTCGATGTCGTCCAGGGCGCAGTTGAGGATTTGCTGGGGTCAGAGGGGGTCAGGGGTCAGCCCCTGACACTCCCCACCGCCCCGCCTTGCTGCAGGGACAGCCCCACAGATGATGGGAGGAGCTGGGCCCCACACCTTCGGAGGGGCAGCCACAGGCTGGGGACTGGCCGGAGGGACAGCAAGGACCAGTGTCCACTGCTGGGGGCGGGGAAGAGAGGGGCCACCTGCCGGGCCCGGGCACCCACCGTCTCCTTCTCTATCTTCTGAGCCAGCACGGCCCGCGGCTCCTCCTGCGACTCCCGACGGCGGAAACCTGATGGGGGACACGGCGGCTGCTCACCGAGCCCCCCACAACGAGCCCTGTGGAGCCCCCTCCAGCCCCTCGGCCCACCTGGCTCGCTGAGTGGCACCTGCGGGCCCACGCGATTCTTGGCCTCCGGGGAATCCCCGCCGCGGTGCTGGAAGGGGATGGGCGCCGGGCCCTGGGGAGGAGGCAGGATGGACTGCCGCTGCCGAATCTTCTCCTGGTGTCCCCTGGAGGGCGAGGGGGTCCTGCTCAGCCCCGCCGGGAACGCACCTGACCCTCCCTCCCTGCCGGGCTCCTCCCCTCCCCTGCCGGCTCCTCCCCTCCCCTGCCGGGCTCCTCCCCTCCCCGCCCCCTGCGACCCCGCTCCGCCCGCTGCCCTACTTCAGGGTCTGCGGCCGCATCTTCTTGCCCAGCCGGCAGTCGGCCAACGCGCTCTCGATGTCCTCGTGCACCAGCTCTGCCTGGGAAAGCGGGCGTCAGGCGGCCAGGAGGGCGGGGCGCGGCGCGGCGGGGCCCCACCCTGCCCCGCCCGGCACCGCCTCACCTCCACCTCATCGCAGTGGAAGAAGTGGACATCCGGCTTGCTCTGCTCCGAGTCCTGGCACACGAGCAGCAGCACAGACGGGTAGCGCAGCTGGTTGAGGACCGTCTGGCTGCGCTGCACCGTGGGCAGCGGGAAGTCTTCCAGCTCCTCCTGCGGGTACATCGCGCGGACACGACTCGCACCCGGGGTCTGGGCACTCTGGCAGGGAGTGGCCGGAGCTGTGGACAAGCCTGGAGCACAGGCCCCTCTGGCGCCGCTGGGGAATGGGCTCCCAAAGATGAGGACTAGGCCCGGGACACACCCCGCAGCTGTACCGCAAGGCTGACCCCGGCTTCCAAACTTCCCTGGACTCTCAGCTCTATGCGGCCCTCTGCCCACCCTTGTCCCATCCTCTTCCAGGGACCAGAATGATAGGGCATGGCCGGCCCTGCAGAGAGGACCGGCCGCACATCCGGGCTGCAGCCGGTGGCTGCCACCGCCTCTACCCACTGTGCTCCCTGTCCCCCGTGGCGCTGGGCCCCACCTGTGACTCGATGTCCAGCAGCCGCAGCGACTGGTCGTTCACCTGCAGCAGCATCTCCTGGGTCCAGATCTTCTCCTTGGAGCTCAGCTGCACCAGCTTCCGGATGGCGTCGTCCACAGACGTGATGGCTTCGCTCTTGTCCATGATGAATGTGGCCAGGTGCTGGGGGTGGGCAGGTGGTCACTGCTGGGCAGAGCCCTCCTTGTGTCGAAAGCCCAGCCCCCAGGGGCCACAGCCTGAGGGGCTGAGGGGCCACAGCCAACCCTGGGTAGGGGGCTAGAACGGGGACCGGCCCCGCCTTTGGTGGGGGGAGTCTCTATTCTGCCTTGGCAGGCATCTGTAGGGGCCATGCTTGTGTCCTGAAACTATCCTCAAAGGAATTCCAACTGCTGCCCGGCCCCGCGCCACCATCCTCACCCGCCCACCTCCTGGTGCAGGCTCAGTACCCGCCCACTGCACCAGCTTTGCCAGCCTCCCCAGCTCTCTTCCTTCTCAGACGTCCCCTCTGTGGCCACCTGGCTACAATGCCAGCCGTCACCCCATCCCGACCTGCCCTAATTCCCTGAATCAGACCCAACGTCGCGCTGCACGTGGTGTGCTGTGCGTCCAGCGTGCTCGCTACTCCAAGGCACTGTTCCGGTTGCCACTTGCTAAGCTGTGTCCCCAGGTCCAGGGCAAAGCCTGGTGCACAGAGGACCCTCGACAAGTGTGTGCGGGATGCGTCCATCCCTGAGGATCTGCGGCCAGCCTGGCCCCTGCCCTGTGCCCTTCACCTCTCCTCTTTCCAGGCCTGGCTCAGGCCCCCTCCTCCAGCCAAGCTGCCGTGTTCACTAAGTAAAACCCTCCCACGAAGGGTTGGCCGTTCGGTGCACAATGCTGGCACAGCTGGATAAACACTAACTTGAACTACAGGACAGTCAAAGACAACCACAAAACGCAAAACATAAAAGTTTGTGTGGCCGGGCGCGGTGGCTCACATCTATCATCCCAGCACTGCGGGAGGCCGAGGCGGGTGGATCACCTGAGGTCAGGAGTTCGAGACCAGCCTAGCCAACATGGTGAAACCCTGTCTCTACTAAAAATACAAAAAATTAGCCAGGCATTGTGGCGGGCGCCTGTAATCCCAGCTACTCGGGAGGCTGAGGTGGGAGAATCACTTGAACCCAGGAGGCAGAGGTTACAGTGAGCCAAGATTGCACCACTACACTCCAGGCTGGGCAACAGAGGAAGACTCTGTCTCAAAAAAAAAAAAAAAAGATCGGGCGCAGTGGCTCATGCCTGTAATCCTAGCACTTTGGGAGGCCGAGGCGGGTGGATCACAAGGTCAGGAGATTGAGATCATCCTGGCTAATATGGTGAAACCCCGTCTCTACTAAAAATACAAAAAATTAGCCAGGCGTGGTGGCAGGCGCCTATAGTCCCAGCTACTCGGGAGGCTGAGGCAGGAGAATGGCGTGAACCCAGGAGGCGGAGCTTGCAGTGAATCAAGATCGTGCCACTGCACTCCAGCCTGGGCGACAGAGTGAGACTCCATCTCAAAAAAAAAAAAAAGAAATTAAAAAAATTAAAAAATTAGCCAGGTGTGGTGGTACACACCTGTCATCCCAGCTACTTGGGAGGCTGAAGTGGGAGGAATGCTTGAGCCCAGGAGGTCAAAGTTGCAGTGAACCATGTTCGTGCCACTGCACTGAGCCTGGGCAACAGAGAGAGACCCTGTCTCAAACTAAAAAAAAAAAAAAAAATTAAAAAAGCATGCAAAAACTCAAAGAAAAAATTGTATGCAACACCATTGAATGAAAGAATTACAATTTGAAACTCTGAGCCTCTTTTATTTTAGTGTTTTGTCGGTTTGGCGGGTTTTTTTGTTTGTTTGTTAGTTTTTGTTTTGTTTTTGAGACAGTCTCGCTCTGTCCCCCAGGCTGGAATGCAGTGGTGTGATCTTGGCTCACTGCAAGCTCCGCCTCCCGGGTTCAAGTGATACTCCTGCTTCAGCTTCCCGAGTACGTGGGATTATAGGCACCCACCACCACACCCGACTAATTTTTGTATTTTTAGTAGAGACAAGGTTTCTCCATGTTGGCCAGAATGGTCTCAAACTACTGACTTCAGGTTATCTGCCCGCCTCAGCCTCCCAAAGTGCTGGGATTACAGGCGTGAGCCACCATGCCCAGCCTCTGTTTGGTTTTTGGTTAACAATTTTTTTTTTCTTTTTTTTGAAACGGAGTCTCACTCTGCTGCCCAGGCTGGAGTGCAGTGGCGCGATCTCGGCTCACTGCAATCTCCGCCTCCCAGGTTCACGCCATTCTCCTGCCTCAGCCTCCCGAGTAGCTGGGACTACAGGCGCCTGCCACCACGCCCGGCTAATTTTTTGTATTTTTAGTAGAGATGGGGTTTCACCATATTAGCCAGGATGGTCTCCATCTCCTGACCTTGTGATCTGCCCGCCTCGGCCTCCCAAAGTGCTGGGATTACAGACGTGAGCCACTGTGCCCTGCCTATTTATTTTTTCTAGAGACAAGGGCTTGCTATGTTGCCCAGGCTGGTCTTGAACTCCTGGGCTGAAGCGATCCTCCTGCCTGTGCCTCCCAAAGTGCTGGGATTATAGGCATGAGCCACCTCGCCCAGCCAGGAATTGTGTTTTTTTACCTATTCTATTGCCCAATACTAATAGTCATTGTGGGTTTTACTTATGGGTTAGGATGTGGAGAAAGGATGCCCTCATCCAGCACCTGCCCAGCCTCTCTGGGGAGAGGCCAGTGGCACCTCTAAAGCTGCACACACCATCCCCTCCCAATTCTACTACAGGTAATCTGCACACGTGCAAAATGTGGCATCGGTACCAGGCTGCTCAATGCAGAACTATTTGTAATAATAAAGACTGGACCCAGCCTACATGTCCATCAACAGGTTAAAGAAGTGGGCAGATCCAACAGGTTACAGTGGGCACAGGGCCAGACACGGTGGCTCATGCCTGTAATCCCAGCACTTTGGGAGGCCAAGGCAGGTGGATCACAAGGTCAGGAGTTCGAGACCAGCCTGACCAACACGGTGATACCCCGTCTCTACTAAAAATACAAAAATTAGCCCGGCGTGGTGGTGGGCGCCTGTAACCCCGGCTACTCAGGAGGCTGAGTTAAGAGAATCACTTGAACCCGGAAGGTAGAGATTGCAGTGAGCCGAGATCGTGCCATTGCATTCCAGCCTGGGCAACAGAGCGAGACTCTGTCTCAAAAATAAATAAATAAATAAAATAAGTGTGCAGAAACACGCAAGGGACTATGAGGCCACTCATCTCTCTGCGAGAGGCAGAGTAAAACCTGAAACACACAATACAACCAAACAAGAAAAACCAGGCTGCTGGGCCACAGAACAAGTCTCAGTAAATCTCAAGTGACTGCAACAGTACAGAATATGTTTTTTGATCATAACAGAATTAAGGTAGAAACCCATAATAAAAATAAAACCAGAAAATCCCCAAATGTTTAGAAACAAAGCAACATATTTCTAAATAACCCATGCATCAAAGATGAAGTCACAAGAAAACTAGAAAGCATTCTGAACATACATATCACAATTTGTGGAATACAACTAAACCAGTGCTGCAAGGAGAATGTAGAGCTTTCCATGAATATCTTAGAAAAGAAGAAAGACTTAAGATCAATAATCTGGCCAGGCACGGTGGCTCACGCCTGTAATCCCAGCACTTTGGGAGGCCAAGGAGGGTGGATCACTTGAGATCAGGAGTTTGAGACCAGCTGGGCCAACATGGCAAAACTCTTGTCTGTACTGAAAATACAAAAATTATCCCAGCACTTTGGGAGGCTGAGGCAGGCAGATCACAAAGTCAGGAGATCAAGACCATCCTGGCTAACACGGTGAAACCCTATCTCTACTAAAAACACAAAAAATTAGCCGGGCGGGGTGGCGGGCGCCTGTAGTCCCAGCTACTCAGGAGGCTGAAGCAGGAGAATGGCATGAACCTGGGAGGCGGAGCTTGCTGTGAGCTGAGATGGTGCCACTGCACTCCAGCCTGGGTGACAGAGCGAGACTCTGTCTCAAAAAAAAAAAAAACCCCACACAAAAATTAGCCAGGCATGGTGGTGCATGCCTGTAACCTCAGCTACTTGGGAGGCTGAGGCAGGAGAATCGCTTGAACCCAGGAGGCGGAGGTTGCAGTGAGCTGAGATTGCACCAGTGCACTCCAGCCTGGGTGACAGAGTGAGACTCCATCTCAGAAAAAAAAAAAAAAAAAAAAGATAAATAATCTAAGGTTTCACCTTAAGCAGGTAGGAAAAGTGAATCAATGCCGGGCGCGGTGGCTCATGCCTGTAATCCCAGCACTTTAGGAGGCCGAGGCAGGCGGATCGTGAGGTCATGAGATCGAGACCATCCTGGCTAACGCGGTGAAACCCCGTCTCTACTAAAAATACAAAAAATTAGCTGGGCGTGGTGGTGGGCACCTGTAGTCCCAGCTACTTGGGAGGCTGAGGCAGGAGAATGGCGTGAACCCAGGAGGCGGAGCTTGCAGTGAATCAAGATCGTGCCACTGCACTCCAGCCTGGGCGACAGAGCAAGACTCCATTTCAAAAAAAAAAAAAAAAAAAACAAAAGAAAAAGATAAAGTGAATCAAATAAAACCCACAGTAAGTGGAAGGTAGAAAATTAAGAGGAGGTCAACGCACTTTACACAGACTACTGACAGACACAAATCAACAGAGCCCAAAGTTAGTTATGAGAAGGTTAATAAACTTGGTAAATCCCTAGCAAGCCTGATCAAGAAAAATACTAGAGAAAACACAAATTCTCAAAAACCAGAACAAAAGAGGGGGCATCACTACAGATCTTACAGGCAGGAGAGGGGATTAATAACCGAAACCTTCCCACAAAGAAAATCCTGTGCTCCGAGGGCAGCACTGGCAAATCCTAACAAATATCTAAGGAAGAAACAATAACAAGCTTTCACAAACTCTTTTTTTTTTTTTGAGACAGAGTCTCACTCTGTCTCCCAGGCTGGAGTGCAGTGGCGCAATCTCAGCTTACTGCAAGCTCCGCCTCCGGGGTTCACGCCATTCTCCTGCCTCAGCCTCCCGAGTAGCTGGGACTACAGGCACCCGCCATCCCACCTGGCTAATTTTTTGTATTTTTAGTAGAGACGGGGTTTCACCATGTTAGCCAGAATGGTCTTGATCTCCTGACCTTGTGATCTGCCCACCTCAGCCTCCCAAAGTGCTGGGATTACAGGCATGAGCCACCGCGCCCGGCCCACAAACTCTTTCTGAAAACAGAAGAGGAGGGAATACTTCCCCACCCATTTTATAAAACCAACATAACCCTGCCACACAACCTGCCATAGGCATTATACGAAAATTACAGACCAGTACCTCTAATGGACATCAACACAAAATACCCCTAACAACAATATTACCACATCAGTCCCTCAACACAGGAAAAAGGATCACACACTTGGAATAAATGAGGATTAGGCTGGTTCAACATTCAAAACAGTCAATCAGTGTGGTCCAGTACATTGAGACTGTCTCAAAAAAAAATAAAATAAAATAAAATAAATATAAAATAAAATTTAAAAATTAAATAAAAAAATAAATAAAATAAAATAAAATAAAATAAAATGGATCCTGGCCCTAAACGCAAAAGCCTACACTGGGAAGCATCCAAAAGAAAACACAGGAACTGGCCCAGCGCGGCGGCTCACGCCTGTAATCCCAGCACTTTGGGAGGCTAAGGCTGGTGGATCACCTGGGATCAGGAGTTCGAGACCAGCCTTGCCAACATGGTGAAACCCCATCTCTGATGAAAATACAAAAAATGAGCCGGGCATGGTGATGGATTCCTGTAATCCCAGATACTCAGGAGGCTGAGGCAGGAGAATTGCTTGAACCCAAGAGGTGGAGGTTGCAGTGAACCAAGATCACGCCACTGCACCCCAGCCTGGGTGACACAGCAAAGCTCCACCTCAAAAAAAAAAAGAAAAAAGAAAAGAAAAAGAAAACACAGGAACTTCCACAGTGAATTCCTAATTTACAAAAAATAAAAGAAAACACGGAAGAAATCTCCAGAAATTTGGTCAAAGGATGACTTCTTAGGATGCCAAAAACCCTAAACCATAAAAGAAAAACACATACGAATGGACATCATAAAAATTAATTTCCACTTATCAAACCACAATGATGGAGGCCGGACGCAGTGACTCAGTCCGTCATCCCAGCACTTTGGGAGGCAGGTGGATCACCTGAGGTCAGGCACTGGGGACCAGCCTGGCCAACATAGTGAAAACAGGTGGATCACTTGAGGTCAGGCGTTGGGGACCAGCCTGGCCAACATGGTGAAACCCCATCTGTACTAAAAATACAAAAATTAGGCCAGGCACGGTGGCTCACGCCTGTAATCCCACCACTTTGGGAGGCTGAGGTGGGTGGATCAATTGAGGTCAGGAGTTCAAGACCAGCCTGGCCAACATGGTGAAACCCCATCTCTGCTAAAGATATAAAAAATTAGCTGGGTGTGGTGGTGCGTGCCTGTAATCCCAGGTACTGGGGAGGCTGAGGCAGGAGAATCACTTGAACCCTTGAGGCGGAGGTTGCAGTGAACCAAGATCACGCCACCGCACTCCAGCCTAGGTGACAGGGTGAGACTCTGTCTCAGAGAAAAAAAAATTTAGCCAGGCGTGGTGGCGGGCGCCTGTAGTCCCAGCTACTCAGGAGGCTGAGGCAGGAGAATGGTTTGAACCTGGGAGGCAGAGGTTGCAGTGAGCTGAGATCGCGCCATTGCACTCCAGCCTGGGTGACAGAGCGAGACTCCGTCTCAAACACACAAACAAACAGAAACTGTGGTGATGAAGGCAGGCAGGTGTTGCCAGAGGTTGGGGGTAGCCACCAAGGTCGGGGATTCACAGGTTTGGAGTGATGGGGCTGATGGGTCGACTATGGTGGCAACAGAACCACACCCCCACGTACACATGGCTTTTACTGTGTGATAACTTAGAAAAAAGCAAACCATGGACCCGGGCTCAGGTGCCCCCCACCCACTGTCAGGGCCAATCTGATCCGGCCCCCACCTGGCTGGAGAGACTTCCCACCAGACTCTCACCCTCTCTCTGGTCCCCAGTGTCCTCATCGGGGAGAGGCAGGAAAGCCCCACCCACCCTCCACTCCTCACTCTGTTGGCCTCTGGGCAGACGAGGCTCCTGCTGGCTGGGGGCCAGGCCAGGCCAGCTGGGGCCAAAGTCCAGGAGCCAGGCTGAGAGGCCCCAGGCTCCTCCCGAAGAGGGCAGAGTCCCTGAGAAAGGTGGTGGAGCTGCCCAGGAAGAGGGGACTAAAGTGAACTCGGCCACTGCTCTGTGCCTTCCCCTGGACACTGAGCTGGCCGAAGTCACCAGCCTGGCTGTATGCAGGGTCTAGCTGCCCAGGCTGCTGGGAGGGCCCTGGTCACCCAAAACAGCCCGATTCAAGAGCTCAGGGACTCCTGATGGCTCTTTGGACCCATTGTACAGACGAGGAAACTGAGGCTCAAAGAGTAGTGACCTGTCTCACCTCTGCAGGTGTGGAGGACAGCAAGGGGGAACCAGGGGGCATTTTGGGCCCCCAGCCAGGGCTGTTTGTGGCAGAAAGGACTGGTCCTGCAGGAGGACCCAGCTCCAGGCTCCCTCACCCTCCCTCCTTTTCCTAGTCCTGTAGGCTTGGACCACAACCGGAAGCCCAGCTCGCACCCAGGCTTGGACGACAACCGGGAGCCCAGCTCGCACCCAGGCTTGGACGACAACCGGGAGCCCAGCTCGCACCCAGGCTTGGACGACAACCGGGAGCCCAGCTCGCACCCAGGCTTGGACCACAACCGGGAGCCCAGCTCGCACCCAGGCTTGGACCACAACCGGGAGCCCAGCTCGTACCCAGGCGCAGGGGCCTTTTTTTTTTTCCTTTTGAGATGGAGTCTCGCCCTGTCCCCCAGGCTGGAGTGCAGTGGCGCAATCCCGGCTCACTGCAACCTCCATTTCCCGGGTTCTAGTGATTCTCCTGTCTCAGCTTCCCAAGTAGCTGGGACTACAGGCTCCCACCACCACGTCCAGCTAAGTTTTGTAGTTTTAGTAGAGATGGGGTTTCACCATGTTGGTCAGGCTGGTCTCGAACTCCTGACGTCAGGTGATCCACCCGCCTCGGCCTCCCAAAGTGCTGGGATTACAGGTATGAACAACCGCGCCTGGTCCCTTTTTTTTTTCTCTTTTTTGAGATGGAGTCTCGCTCTGTTGCCCATGCTGGAGTGCAGTGGTGTGATCTCGGCTCACTGCAACCTCCGCCTCCTGGGTTCCAGTGATTCTCCTGCCTCAGCCTCCCGAGTAGCTGGGATTATAGGTATGCACCACGACGCCTGGCTAATTTTGTATTTTCAGTAGACATGAGGTTTTGCCATGTTGGTCAGGCTGGTCTCAAACTCCTAACCTCAGATGATCCACTCACCTCAGCCTCCCAAAGTGCTGGGATTACAGGCGTGAGCCACCGCGCCTGGCCTAAGACTCTGTTGCCCAGGCTGCTGGAGGGCCGTGGTGGGATCCTCCTGCCTGAGCCTCCCAAGTAGCTGGACTACGAGCTCACACTACCAGGCCTGGCTAGGAGGGGGGAGGATTGCTTGAGCCTAGGAGTTTGAGACCAGCCTGGGCAACATAGGGAGACTTCCATCTCCACAAAAAAATAAAATAATTAGATGGGCATGGTGGGGCCAGCCTGTAGGCCCAGCTACTGGGGAGGCTGAGGTGAGGGGATCACTTGAGTCCAGGAGGCGGAGGCTGTAGTGAGCCAAGATCGCACCACTGCACTCCAGCCTGGGCACCTGGGTGACAGAGCTAGACCCTGTCTCAAAATGAAAGAAAGAAAAGAAAAGAGAGAGACAGAGAGAGAGAGAAAGAAAGGAAGAAAAAAAGACACACACACACACACACACACGCACGCACGCACACACGCACACACGCACACAAAACCCCCCAAAAAAACATTTCCTGAGTTCTCCGTGTCAATGAAACTGACCTAGGAGAACAGAAAAGCCCTCAGGGCTGGCGGCTGGTCCGGCGCGTGCAGGCAGCCCCGTCTGAGCCCTGAGAAGCAGCCCGGGCCTCCCTGAATCCCCCATCAAGGGCGTCTTTGTTCTGCCTGCTCCCTCCCGATACAGTTCCTCGTTTTGGGGCCAGGATGATCATCTCCTCCAGGGGCTCTTCCCATCCAGGGCTGGGCAGCAGCCACAGTGTTTTCCCGGCACACCCTGGGCTGCCTCACCCCCCAGGCCGCGAGTTCCCAGGACTGGAACCAGAGGGGCGCTTTCCCCGGCCCCGTGGCTGAGCCCGGGACAGTGTGGGCAGTTCTGGCTCTGGCCTCCCCCGGCCCCGTGGGTGTCAGAAGCTGGGCTGACCACTCTCCCTGGAGCTTTCCTCCCTTCCTCCCTTCCTCCCTTTCTCTCTTTCTCTCTTTCTCTCTTTCGTTTTGAGACAGGGTCTAGCTCTGTCACCCAGGTGCCCAGGCTGGAGTGCAGTGGTGCGATCTTGGCTCACTACAGCCTCCGCCTCCCGGGCTCAAGTGACCCCCTCGCCTCAGCCTCCCCAGTAGCAGGGCCTACAGGCCGGCACCACCATGCCCGTCTAATTATTTTATTTTTTGTGGAGACGAGAACCTGAGGACAGCCATGTCCTGAGGGTGCTCCCTGGGGGCGGAGCCTACCTGGGGGCGGGGCCTTACCTGGACGTGGTACTGCGAGGTCTCGTGCATGATGACGTTGGAGTTGGAATACTTCTTCCTCTGCTCTGAACCGGGAGACACCAGTCACTCCCCCGACGGGCAGGACCCACAGCCTCCCGTCCAGTTGGGACTGGACCCACAAGGGAAGGTGGAGTCAAGCGGAGGGAGGCTGCTCCGTGGACCTCTTGGCCACCAGGAAGGATGTGGGTGTGAAATCAGGACCTGCAGGAAGCCCCCTCCCTCCCTCCAGGGAAGCCCCCTTGGAGAAGGACGCAGCTCGGAGAAGGCGATGGGCTTGCTCTGAGTGGAGTGGGGACCAGCAGCCTGTGCCCGGGGGGTTTCTGTCCCGGAGGGTGAGGGGACAGGAAGGGGGTCCCAGCCCGGCTTCTTCCCACTCTGAGAGCTGCCAGCTTCACTCTCCCTGCCCTCCCAGGTCTTCTCGCTTTCCAGACTAGGCACCTTGTCCAAAGACATAAGTGAAGGGTGCATCTAGCTAGCGAGAGGGCAGGGTCGTCTCTGGGGAAGGGCAGAGTGGGGGGAGGTGGGGGCTGGCCAGGCCCCCCTCCTGGAGCAGACACCTGGCGGCTTATCCTGCCTGAACCTCGCTGTGATCAGGTTACAGCAATGAGTGCAGCGGAATCAATATTGATGCTCCCTGAATTATTAGTAAAGGCCTCTCCCCTTACGGGTGTGGGGGAGGGGATCCAGTGGCCAGGAGCTTTCGGAAGGTTGATTAGGGTCCAGAGGCCTCCCTGGGCACCCGGAGATCCCCTGGGCCAGACCAGGCACAGCTGTGGGGCAGGAGCAGCTGTCCCCCACCTGGATGCAGTGCCCATTTCTCCCCTGTGACGTCCAGCCCGTTCTCAAACCTCACTCACCAAACAGGTCCTTGGGGCTCATCTTGGCCACACCGTCGGACCGGCCCAGGCTGCCACTGCAGGGGAGGGGCTGTCAGGGCAGGGCCAAACTGCACCCCTCCCTGGGGACTGTTCAGAGGGTGAGGGTGGGGTATTCGGGATGGGTGGGAGGGCTCACTTGGTGGCACCCGGGCAGCAGCTCACGGCCCCGGACTGGCTCATGGTGTCTTGGGTGGCGGCCAGCGGGAGAAGGGCAGACCTCAGTGTGGCCCCGGTCTGAGGCCAGTGCCTGTCCCACACCTGGGTGGACAGAAGGGCTGCGCTGACACTTCCTCCGGCCTGGCTGGTTCCTCCCCTCCTTCCCTGGGCCAGATCCCTGACTGGCCTGGCCTGGGTGGGGGTCCCTTGGGGGGCAGAGCCCCTGCCCGACATCCCAGTTGGCCCCACGTCCCAGTTGGCCCCACGTCCCAGTTGACAGTCGATCAGCCTCGTCATGCCTCAGACCCTAGGTGCTCCACAGGGACCCCCCAGAGGCTGACTGGGAGGCTCTGACAAGGGCCCTGGGGGCAGAAGGCGCCTTCCAAGCTGGGCAGCATGGAGTTTAAGGCCCTGGTGCTGTGGGGAGGGGGGTGGGATGGGTAAGGGGAGGGGGATGAGGTGGGAGTGTGGGGGGAGGGGGGTGCGGTGGGGGTTGGGGGAGGGCGGGTGGGAGCTGCAGGATGGCAGGAGAGGTGAGGCTGGAGTTGGGGTAGGTCCTGAAGTCCAGAGGGAGCCCGGCTCTAGCCGCCACTCCTGCCCCACCCCAGGCCTGCACCCCAAGGGGCTCCTGCACCCACATGTGGACTTGCCACCCACACATGCCACCTCTGTCCAGGCCCCAGCAAAGAGGCTGGCCCTTGGCTCTTTCCTGGGCCTGGGAGACCTGGCAGGGAAGAGGCTGTGCGGGCAGGAAACCCTGGGGTCCCCGGGGTGCAGTGTTTCCTCACCTCGAGGGCAGGGATGCGGCCAGGTGGCCAGCGCAGAACCCCTGGCAGCAGCCAAGCCTAGGGGAGGGACTGGAGGGCAGGTGTGGTGGGGGCTGAGACTGGGAGCCAGTCCAGTGGCCCCAACACACAGTATCACTGCCCCTCCAACGAGGTAGGGTGGCTATGGGGCAGGTGCCTCTGGCCTCCCCCAGGGGCAGAATCCTCAGAGCCTGTCTCTGGGCTCCTAGTGCTGACCTCTTCCCCGAGCATTTTGGGGAAACTAAGGCCCAGCCGCCAGGGCAGACAGGTGGGTCTGATTTGGGCTGGACCCTAGGGGCTTCCCGGGGGGATGGACAGAGCCTGATGGCCCTGAACCAGGCTGACTTGTCCCAAGGGGACTATGCCCTGTGGGGACCTGGCTGTTCTGTGGCTCTGTGATCAGCTCCCCACAGGTCCACACCATCTGCCTCCTGCCAGGGCTGCAGGGCTGTCCCCTGTGGCTTCAGAGTTTGGGTCTGCCACGGTGGGGGTCACCAGCCACTGCTGTTGGTATGGAGGGTCAAGGGAGTGGCTCGGAGCACCCGGGACTTTCTGGTTTGACCAGGTCTGGCCTAGTGGGAGGGTCTGGGAGGCCCGGGGGCACTGCCGCTGACATGAGGGGCTGGGTGCACCAGGGGGTATGGCCACTTCCTCCATCCATCTATCCGTGGAGAATGTCTGGAATGTTCACGGGCTCAGTGGCGAGCCTGAGTGTTTGCTTAATGGGATTCCTGGCGGGCTCCACCAAGGGCGCCAGGCACGTGTGTCCAGGCACACACCTGGGCGAGACACCAACGCACCCTTGCAGACTCAGGCCTGGGGGCACGCAAACATGGAGGGCTGTGACACGCGACCCCCCTGGGGAAGGCCAGGTTCCTGGCCTTCGGTTGCCTGCAGGGCATCGGGGACCTCAGGCCCAGGCAGGGCCGGGCAGCAGTGGGGTGGGTCCAGGTGTGGTGTCTGGGTCTGAAGCACATGGGTATGGGGCTGCCTCCTGCCCTGTGGGAGCCCCGCCCCCCTGGGGAGGCTTCTTTGGCCCACTGGTGGTGGGGACGAAGCCCTGGAGGCCCAGGCTGCACTTTGTACTGTGGTCATTTTCCCGGTGTGAAGTGAGGCAGAGCGGGGTGCCCGGTCAGTCGGGCTGTGGAGGGGAGGAGGTCCCAGCAGGGCAGGAGGGTAGAGGGACGGGCTCCAAGTTCAAGTTCCAGCTCCACATGCTGAGTGACCTTGGGGAGGGGTCAGCTGAGTCACAGGGGCTCCAGGCTGCCCTCATAGGCGCTGGGTGGGGCCCTGGAATGGGGAGGCCCCTCAGGCCCTGGCCCTGTCCTTGTTTGGAAGCTATGGCTTGAGGGAGGAAGGGATAAGCTGGGGAAGCTGAGGGTGGGAAAGGAGACCGAGGCAGGCGGAGAAGGCCCGGTGGGAGAGCTATGCCAACAAGGCCTGGGTGCTAAGCAGGCCCGGGAGAGGCTGGGACCCAGGAGGGGCCGCGAGGGGAGGAGGGGCCGCGAGGGGAGGGGCCGCCGCCAGCTGGGCCTGCCTCCCAGCACAGCCGACCCAGGACTGAGCACGGGGTGGGTGGGGGCAGAGGTCCGGGCATGCCCGGCCCTGCCTCCCCCTCCCCTGCCACCAGGGACACCCCGCAGCAAGGGGCAACGCCAGGCAGCTGGACGCAGGGACCAGGAATCTAGGATGGCTGAAGTTCGCGTGCCCACAGGCTCCTGCCAGCCCACCCTCCTGCCTCTCCTGGCAGGGCCTCTGCAGCCCCTGTCCCAGCCTCCCCTCCTCCCTGAAACTCCCACCCCCAACCCTGACCTGGAGACTGACCCAGCTGGTGCTTCCCGGCCACTGGTTTCCTTCTGGGCTCCGACACCCAGGAAGTGCCTCCTGGCTCCGGCCCACAGGGAGTGGGTGTGCAGTGCTACCTCCACGGTCAGGCCCTCGGGAGGGTCCTGCTGCTCACAGAACCGGGAGAAGCCTCCCTACCACCAGCGCTCTCCGGACGCAGGGATTGCCCCCACCAAGCCCCAGAGCTGGGAGTGGGCAGGACGGGGCAGGTGAGTCACCCATCGCTGGCTTAAAAATATCCTTGCTCGCCGGCCGCCGCCCAGGACCGACGGGGGCAGGCCGGGCTGCAGCAGGACCCGTCCAGGAGAGGTGGGGACTCGACCAGGCCCCCAGCCCCTTGCCCCGCGCCCTCGGCCCGGCCGCCCTCCAAGTGCCCCGCGCCCTGCGACGCCGCGTTCGTCCCGGTGTCCTGAACCAGAAGCCCCGCGTCCCATCGCCACCGGGTAAACTGAGGCCCGGGCGGGCGCGCTCCCCCGTGTCCGCAGCGCTCACCTGCCTCCGGCGCCCCGCGCTCGGCCTGTCCCCTCGGCGCTCGCCGGTGCGTCCGTCTGTTCGCGCCTCGGCCGGGGCGCCAGGTCTCCCGCGGGCGGGTGGGACGCTCGGCGGGGCCGGGCCGGGGCGGGGCCGGGAGAGGAGGAACCTGAGCGACAGGTTGCGGAGTCACCCGAGAGCGGGCGGGCGCGCGGGGGAGGAGGGCGTGGGATGGAGGCGCCCCCGCCGGCCTCGGACCCAGCTCCGCCCCGCCCCCTGCCCCGCCTGGGCTCCAGCCCCAGCCCTCTGCGTCCTCCCCAACACCCGCCTGGTGTGCCCCTCCGCGGGCCTAGCCCCTAGAGCTGGGGCGCTGGGGACAGGCGGGGCGCAGGGCCGCCTCCGCGGGATGAGCAGGGCGAGGCCTCGAGCTCTTCCTTGGGCAGGGCCTAGCTGCGCCCCAGCAGGCCGGGGGACGGGGGAACGCTGCCAATGGGACTTCGGGGGCAGCGCTGGCGCATTGCTGGGGAGGGCTCCAGCCCTGGGGAGGTCAGAGCCTCCGCCGGGCCAGGTGCACCCCTCAGGTGCCCCAGGCATGGGGCAGAGTCACTTCCCTTACCGGGCCCACCGCAGGCCCAGGGGCAGAGGCTTCGGTGAGTGGGTGGGTGTCAGGCAGGACCCAGCCATGCCCACCCCAGGCCTGGAGCCCTGAGTTCACAGTGCAGCTGCTCCTCCAGGCCCCCCTTTCTGCCCAGCCTGGGCACTGAGGGATGGGGTGTCAGGGGAGGTGGGGACACCTCAGGCCCTCTCAGGATGCCTCTCTCCTTGCACTGCCCCGTGGTCAGGCCCAGGCCCCACCTCTGCCCACCACAGTGGGACTGTCTGGTTCCGTCCTCATCTGCCCGGCTTCCAGGATGGCCCTTCTCCCCAGCTGCTGTGACCGCTCAGAACAGGGCCAGGGTGCAGTGGACACAGCGGGTAGCACCGGCTGCCACAGCAGTCAACTGGACGAGGACGAGGTGAAGGGGCACAGGGCGCCCCAGGCCCATGCAGGGACCCAAGGCTCCGGCTGCCGGTCCTGGGTAGGGGTGGGAATGAGCGTGGCCAAGAGTCTGGGTCCCCGGGCTATGGTCCCAGAGGGGCAGGGCTAGCGTGTTTACCCTGGGCTGGCCGGAGCACTTCCTGGGGAGGCGCCATAGGTGAGCTCGGTGGAGGGCTGGCAGGAAGTGGCCCTCCTCCTTCGGGCCCAGTGCCTGCCCCTGAGCCCAGGCAAGACCTGGCTTCCTGGTTTACAGCCTTTGCCGTTTGATCTCCAGGAACCTGCCGTGATCCTGCTCCATGCATGAGCTTGCCCTGACCCAGAGCTCAGGGTCACACACGCCAACCCCTCGGTGCACCCGTGCCCTCACCCTTCCTGGAGGCAGAGCTGGGAGTGGCCAAGTGGGAAACAGGCGCTGGAGAGGACAGCTGGGGGGTGGGGTCCCTCTCCACTCCTAAACGGGTGCCTGTCAACACGATTTTGAGTGCGGAGCCTGCCCTCAGGAGACAGTCCAGGCTGGCCTCTCGGGCCCCATCCACTCCGGGTCACCTGGAGCCATGGCGTTCCCTGTGGAACAGGTGACCACTGCCTTTGTGTGCTCGCTGAGACTGGAGGTATCAGGATCCATTAACCATGAAGGCAACAGGTCTCCAGCTTCAGGGAGGGGGTCCTTCCCTGGTCTGCATGGTTTGTGGGCTGGGTCCTCCAGATGGCAGGTGTGCCCAGCTGGTCTTCTGCGAGTGCAGGCGCTGGTGAGGGAGGTGGCCCGAGGCGCTCAGGCGCTGGTGTGTGAAGTGGGTCCTCAGGGCTGTCCTGCAGCTCACCGTGGCCACTGGGGGCCACAGACAGGTCAAAGGAAGTCGGCCCAGGACAACTGGGTGCTCCCACCGCTTCCACGAAGACAGGCAGGAAAGACTGTCCAGGTGCCACAGCCACAGCCACCCCAGCCGAGGGAGCCCCAGTGGAGGCCCAGGACAGTCCCGCAGCCTCCTGCCCTCAGGAGTCCACCGAGCGGAAGGCGCCCGGCAGCCAGGGCCCGAGGGCGAGGCCAGCCAGGAACTGACCAGCTGGCAAGTGGGGTGTGCTCTCTTGCAGGGCAGGAGAACTGGAGATGGGGTGGGGGAGGTGGCCATAATTAGGAGAATTCAGGGAGGCATACACATCTCTTTATTTACAAAATGCGGTGAAGAGAAAATATCTAGATATTTGGGTGTAATTATTCCAAACATAGAAAACACACAATAGAATCAAGTGAAGGGAAAGCTACTGTAACAGCTTAGATACTTTTTAAGGAGAACTGATAGTAAATCTGGGAATGGGAAAAAAACACAGAGCTAGAATTTGTTTAGCACTCCGTGCAAAAGGCAAAAGCTGATAAAACTGGAGTGGACGGAGGCTCCGAATGTGGCCCTCCGCTGCTCTCTCTCCTGCAGTCTCATCCCCGGCCTTAGCCCTGACCTCTCCTCCGAAGCCCCTGAAGGGAGAAGTGTGGCTAAGATGGAAATTGCTAGGCAGCAGAGCTGTTGGCTTGTTTGCATTTATTGCTTTAGGAACCCAGAGTCCACTCTTGCACCGGGCCTGCCTGCCTGTGAGGCAGAGCTGGGGTTGCTCAGAGCACAAGGCCTACCCCATCCTGCGTCTCCAGCCCGACTTGGAAACACAGGTGGGGCCTGGCCACGGAGTAAACTGGGATCTCAGAACACAAATTAGGACCATTGGGGAACTAGGGGGTGATGGGGGATGCAGTGAGATGAGGCCTCTGTTCTGAAGGGCTCTGTCCTCCCTCTCGGCCCTGGGGGCCCATGGGGGTCTGTGGAGGCCTGGCTGCTAAAGCCAGACCCCACTGACAGGGCTGAGTGTGCGCTCCTGGGACTCATCTTGAAGGCAGTTCTGTCTGGTCCCTACCCTCCCCGCAGCTGTTCCCAACACCAGGGCCTCCAGCAGTTTGTTCTGCCCTGGCTCCTGCTCCCACTCCTGCCAGAACAGATGGAACCATCCAAAACCATCTATGGCCAGTCACTAGGAAAAGTGCCCTTCCTGTCCAGGAATGGGGAGGTGACAGCTGGGGGACTGGTCAGGCCCAGGAGGAGGGCCCCAGTGTGGGGTATCCCGGGTGTCCGTAGCTACCTGGTGAAGGCCGCGATGGCAACCACCTGCAGGACGGCCTCCAGGCCGTGAAGGGCCAGGAGCGTGGCGCTGAGGGCCCAGTCCGCCCACAACACTAGGGCCTGCCAAAGCAGGAAGTGGGCAGAGAGGAGGGCGGTGCCAGCCGTGAGGGCCAGGCTGGCGGCCAGCGGCCTCTCAGCCTCTGTCAGGTTGCCCCTGGTGCCTGGAGAACAGAGCAAAGGGGAGGGAAGGTGGTGCGAGGCGCTCCCTGGAGCCCACCGCCCACAGGTGCCTGGAGGGCTGCTGGGACCAGAGCAGCTCCTTGCCCTACGTTCCTCCGGGGCCTGGGGAATTCCAGGGAAACAGCCTCCATGGCCACCCAGAACTCAGGAGAGCCAGAGAGCATGGGCAACACAGGCGTGAGCCCCTCCTGGGGGAGGTGCCCCTGCAACAGCATGGTTTGATCTGTCTCTGGGTCTTCTGGGTCGGCTGTGTGGGCGGGGGTGAATTTGGTTTCTAAAATGATTCAAGTGCATCTGCCACGTTTTCCTAATTCCAAGTGGAACTGAAGGGATTTTTTTGAAAAATTCCCAAAGTATTTTTCTCTGGTCCAAGGCCAGTTCTGGAAAATTTCACGAGTATGTATTAAAAACAAAACTGCGTATTTAGCAAACAAATGGGTCAGTCACTAGCTGAGCCCAGGTGCCTGGAGACCCTGCAGTGTGCGGCGCGCTTGGGGAGGGTCCCGTTGGCCTAGCAGCCCCCAGCAGGGCCAGGCCACACCCTGTCCCCACCACCTCAGGGCAGGCCCAGGCCCCAGAAGATCAGCCAAGAACCGGGCCTCTGTGCCGCAGCGGTGCTCGCACCCTCCCAGCAGTGCCCGCCCTGGGGGGCAAGCTCTAGAGGTTCTGGGACGTAAGTGCAGACAAGACACTGACGGCCGGGCACCCCTCAGTGGGATGGGCAGCTGAGAGAACTCGCCTCCATCCTCCTAGTGTGTCTGAGGCCTGATAACAAGAGGAAGGGTGGGGGCCACCCTTCCCCGCAGCCTTGGTTCCTCACTGGACATCAGGCATCAGGGGTGTATCTGTATGTGAACAAGAGGGGCCCAAGATTCCAGCCTGGCAGGGGCACAGCGCCCTGGAAGTGCCCATTGCGTTCCCCACGGCAGGACAATGTTTCACAAACACGTGTGTTTAGGTGCACATGTTACGACCATGAGCACGCAGAGGGCTGGAAGTCTGCACCCCGCTGGCCACAGAGGTGAGCTCTGGGGAGGGCGAATTTCCATGTTTTACTTCTGCACCCCTTGAATCTTGTACAAGAACATACCCTTGAACAAATTGTGTGGTTAAAAAAAGGGGAGTGAGGCCAGGCACTTTGGGAGGCCAAGGTGGGCAGATTGCTTGAGCCCAAGAGTTCAAGACCAACCAGGGTAACATAGCGAAACCCTGTCTCCGGCCGGGCGCGGTGGCTCACGCCTGTAATCCCAGCACTTTGGGAGGCCGAGGTGGGCGGATCAGGAGGTCAGGAGATGGAAACCATCCTGGCTAACATGGTGAAACCCCATCTCTACTAAAAATACAAAAATGAGCCGGGCGTGGTGGCGGGCACCTGTAGTCCCAGTTACTCGGGAGGCTGAGACAGGAGACTGGCGTGAACCCGGGAGGCGGAGCTTGCAGTGAGCCAAGTTCACGCCACTGCACTCCAGCCTGGGCGACAGAGCGAGACTCTGTCTCAAAAAAAAAAAAAAAAAAAAAAGAAACCTTGTCTCGTCTCTACCAAAAAAAAACAAAACAAAACAAAACAAAATTAGCTGGGCGTGGTGGCAGGTGCCTGTAATCCCAGCTACTTGGGAGGAGGGGAGGGCTGAGGCAGGAGGATCGCTCAAGCCCAGGAGGTCAAGGCTGCAGTGAGCTGTGACTGCACCACTGCACTCCAGCCTGGGCAACAGAGTGAGACCTCGTCTCAAAAAAAGTAGGTCACTGGAAGGGGTTGCAGACTTGGGGATCCCTAGAGCTGGAGTGGGGAGGCTGGGGGCTCCCACCCCTCCAGACTCTGCTGCCTTTTGGGACCTGGCAGAACTCTCCAGGGCTCTCTCCTCAGACAGCTAAGGGCAAGGGGAAGGAAAGGGGTGCTGGTGAATATTCCGGAGCTCCAGATGTGGTGGTGGGCTGGGCTTTTCTGATCTCAGTGCCATTACCCAGTGGCTTCTACAAGACATGCTTCCAAACACAGAGTCTCTCCCAACGATGCCCCCAGTGTTATTTGTCTCTGGGACAAAACTTCTTGATTAATACTTAATGACACTGTAAGGTGAGCCTGCAAAGCAACTGGGTAAGCAGTTTGGATAAAAAATGTCTCTGAGAACCACACTATAAAATAATTACTCTTGAAAGGCTGTGGAAACAGATAGCAACTCTTAGGACAGGTTCTTCACGGTGTTAACAGTCCACTCACCCAGGTATAACCGAACTGCTTCTAGAATCCCCATCAGAAACAGCAGAGCAAGATCGAGGACCAGGTAGCGGTGAGGATAGCTGAACACCTGACCTGAAGAGCAGAGGCGCGGACGGAACATAAGTAACCTGGCACAGCAGCAGCAGCCACCTCAGCTTGCCTTTTCCTTTTTTTTTTTTTTGAGACAGGGTCTTGCTCTGTCACCCAGGATGGAGTTCAGTGGCGCAATCTTGGCTCACTGGAACCTCCACCTCCCGGGTTCAAGCAATCCTCCCACCTCAGTCTCCCGAGTAGCTGGGACTACAGGCGCCCACCACCACGCCCGGCTACTTTTTGTGTTTTTAGTAGAGATGGGGTTTCCCCATGTTGGCCTGGCTGGTCTCAAACTCCTGACCTCAAGTGATCCGCCCACCTCAGCCTCCCAAAATGTTGGGATTACAGGCGTGAGCCACTGTGCCCGTCCCTGACTTACTTTTATACGTGATCATCAGGAGCGTGGCGAGGAAATACAGGGCGTAGTACGTTCCGCTGAGATAAAACAGCATTTGAAGGGGAACTGAAGAGAGCTGGTGAGTGGTTAAGGATCCTCAAGCTCAACAGGCTTGGGAGCAGCCTCCCAGGTGGCTGAACAAGAGGGGCTGGTTCTGTCATCTGTTTGGTGGCCACAGACACCAAGGGACCATGGAGTCTTGGCAATGGCTCACTGCCTATCTGAGGCTTCTGTCACTATGCTGGCTGCCAATGTGGTCCCATGAGCTGACAAGGCCTTTGTGGGACCCCCCTCCATGCCACAACAATGCGGTCTGTGCACTGCAGCCCCTGCCCTCCTGACTGTGGACAGGACTGGTCAGGGGACAGCCTCCACACACTGGCATCCCCAGTGATGTCACCCTGCCTTTGGCCCCAGTTATGAGTTAAGAGAGAAAAAATAACTTTGTCATTTTCTTTTTTTTTTTGAGATAGAGTCTTGCTCTGTTGCCCAGACTGGACACTGTGCAGTGGCACAATCTTGGCTCACTGCAACCTCCGCCTCCTGGGTTCAAGTGATTCTTCTGCCTCAGCCTCCTGAGTAGCTGGGATTACAGGCGTGCAAAACCATGCCCAGCTAATTTTTTGTATTTTTAGTAGGGACAGGGTTTCACCATGTTGGCCAGGCTGGTCTGAAACTCCTGGTGTCAAGTGATCTGTCCACCTCAGCCTCCCAGAGTGTTGGGATTACAGGCATGAGCCACTGCGCCCGGCCACTTTTTTCAGTTTCTTCAGAGGAAATATATTTCTGTTTGGGGGACTTAAGTATCTAGTAGCCATTTCCTGAGCTGTGTACATTTCCTATTTGTTTATGCTAACATGAGTCTATGGGGCCAGGCACAGTGGCTCCCGCCTGATGCCAGAGCTTCAGGAGGCTGAGGCTGCAGTGAGCTGTGATTGCCACACTCCAGCCTGGGTGAGAGGAAGGCTCTGTCCTTAAAAAAACATAAACAAACAAAAATAAAATAAAATGAATCTAGGGACAAAGTGAGGGATTTCCATCTTCCTGCCACTAGCGGCCGAGACAGAGGCAGGTGGCCATCGCCTTGGGAGCCGGCAGTGTGGCGTGCTTAGCCACTTTGTGCAGGGCTGAGCAGGTAGGGGATGGAGCCAGCAGAACTGATCCGAGGAAGTTACATCAACTCTCTAAATCTGTCAAGGAACACCCCCCTCTCCAAAGTGGAATTACTAGACAGAACTTAGGGAAAACGTGGGGTGAGGCCGAGTGCTCTCTGTGCAGCAGCAATTCGGGCCTCTGGGTGCTGTCCTGGAGGGGCACGCAGCAGGATACCACTGTGGAGGATCCTCTCCCTGAAAGAGAAAGGGGCCGTGAGCAAGGCCTGACAGCCACCAGGATGCTTTCCCGGGTCTCGCTCCACACTGACAGGAACCACCCCTGCTTTATTTTCCTTTGATCTCGTATTTGTAGAAAGCAGCAAACATATACCGTGGGCCTGCCACTAGATAGCTCCCGTGCCTCTCTAACCATCCTTCAATGAGGCTAGGAGTCTCTGCCTTTCAGAACCTGAGGCTGGAGACAGCGAGTACCGGGGGCACCGGGGTGGGAAGTGAACCTGGGCCAGACCCAGCTGGCCCTCAGGGAAAGCAGCACCCTGGAGCCCACCCCAACAGCTGCTCTCATTGTCTGTGGCTCACCGTCTGTGGCTTCTCCGTATTTGCCACACATATATGACTAGATGAAAACCTTTTCTGACTTAGGTTGTAACAAATCTTTTTTCATGATTGATGAGACATTTGCTTTCCTCTGAAATTTTATCCCCAAATATCCCTCCAAAAATAAGGATTTTCCAAACCAGCAATGCAGCTGTCCAGTCTTTTTATCATGCAACCTCTTGGGCCTTCTCCCACCCCCACCTGAGAGATGACAGGAAGCCCGAGGAGTGAGTGGAGTCTCTTTCCTCCTTTTTGATTCTGAGGTTTTGCATCTGAAGACGCCTCTGACTCACCCTGGATCCACGCTGACCTGGAGCGGACTAATTGTCTGAAAAGGGCTCAGGCCAGTTGCACGTGTGATATGTGCACGTCCCTCCATGTGTAGATACCTCAATACACATCTAGAATTGGGTGGAAACCTCTCATAAAAGGAGGCTCAAGCTGCACCGCTGGGCGGCAGGCAGGACAGCAACCTGAACACAGCCTCTGTTCTATTTCCCCTTCAGCGCCAGGGAGGGCAGGACAGAAACCTGGCGTTGGTGAGATTTTGTGGCTGATCCCACAGCTTCTTGGGCAGATCTGGGGCCTTCTGTGCCAGAGTTTGTGGAATCTCACACAGGCAAGAGTTTTAAGCCAGTAAATACAGGACATCGGCATCAGAGACTCAGAACTGGGCTCCTGGAAGAGGCACCACAGGATGGAAGCAGGAAGCCAAGTGCACGGCAGACCACGCCGCATCGCGTTCCCGGCAGGCCACTCTTTAAACCCGATCTGTTCTTTTCCAGGCCTTAGCTAAACCAGGCCACCTAAATACCTGTCATTATCTGTGATGATTTCGCATTAATTGGGGTTTTTGTCCCTTCTGTTCCTTTTCTTAAAGGCTGGCTTCTTAAACACTTCCAATGTGTCTGCTAGTTGCTCACTGTTATAGATTGAAGTTATGGGGCTTGGGGGAAAAACTGTATAAAAGCCTTAAGTGATGTAACATTTTAATAATTAATATGAAGGGCGGCTATAACCAGATACGCTGTTCTAACAATTCCAGACCTGCAGGAGCTCATTCTGACCGAACGTAGCCTTGGCTTTCAGGACAACATTTTTTGTCAGTGACTTACTATAATCACAATGTGGCTACGAATAGCTGTGTCAGGCAGAAGTTAAACATGGAAGTGAAAGAGAACAAGTGTTTTCCCTGATGTAATGGACAAGATGTGTTAAGAAATCTTGTTTTGGTATACACTTAGTTTTTTTAGAGACAGGGTTTTGCTCTGTTGCCCAGGCTGGAGTGCAGTGGCCTGATCACAGCTCACTGCAGTCTCAACCTCCTGGGCTCCAGTGATCCGCCAGCCTCAGCCTCCCACGTAGCTGGGACCACAGGCTCCCTGAGGTAATTTTTTTTTTTTTTGAGACAGAATTTCGCTCTTGTTGCCCAGGCTGCAGTGCAATGGTGCGATCTTGGCCAACTGCAACCTCCGCACCCCACCCCCCCCACCACCACCACCGGGTTCGAGCAATTCTCCTGCCTCAGACTCTCAAGTAGCTGGGATTACAGGCATGCACCATCACGCCAGGCTAATTTTGTATTTTTAGTAGAGACGGGGTTTCTCCATGTTGGTCAGGCTGGTCTTGAACCCTCGACCTCAGGTGATCCGCCCGCTTTGGCCTCCCAAAGTGCTGGGATTACAGGCGTGAGCTACTGCGCCTGGCCTTCCCCGGGGTAATTTTTAATTTTTTTTTTGTAGAAGGGGGTCTCGCTCTGTCGCCCAGGCTGGAGTGCAGTGGCGCCATCACGGCTCACTGCAACCTCGACCTCCTGGGCTCAAGTGATCCGCCAGCCTCAGCCTCCAGAATAGCTTGGCCCACAGGGGTGCGCCACCGCCTGGCTGATGTTTACAGTTTTTTTTTTATAGAGGGGGTCTTGCTATGTTGCCCAGGCTGGCCTCAAATGATCCTGCAGCCTCGGCTTCCCAAACTGTCAGGCTTACAGGCCTGAGCCACTGCGCCCAACCTAAACTTAATTTTTAACCAAATGAAAATACACAAAACAAACCTGGTTACTAGAGGCTGTCCTGCCTATGGAGTAGCCATTCTTTATTCCTTCAAAACAATGCACCTAATTACTAGAGAACACGCACGAAGGTTTGGCACTTCAGCGCCCGCGTATGGGAGTTCTGGCTGTACCCACAGACAGCAGAAGGCGGCTCCTCTGCAGGATGGCCGATTTACTGCTTTGGTCTGTCCCTTCCTCCTCTCGGAGGCGAGTCTCTCAGGCAGGACGGCTGAGGCACCGGCGCCCGCGATTTTCTTTGGCGAGAGTTCCAAGGCTACCGAAACCCTGCGCCCATCCCGCCCACGTGTCTTCACAAAAACCACGCGCGGGACAAGAGCTGCCGGGGACTGGGGCCCCCAGAGCCGCTCCGCACCCACCCTGCCCGGGGCCAGGCGCCCGCGCGCGGGGGAGCTCTTCGGGGTGCAGGACGCCCGCCACCCAGGCCAGGCCAGGCCGCGCTTCTCGATGGGGTGACGGAGCTGTCTCGCTCACGTAGAGACGGTGGCACGGCCCCGTGAGCGCACCGAAAGCGGAAACCGGATTGTCACCACAGGGAAACGCCGCGCCCGCCGCTGCAAGCCCGGAAGCCCCCACCCCGCCCGAGCTCACCTCGCCGCGGGGCCGCCATCTTACCCGCCCCGCCCGCCGGTCCGTCGCGATCCCGGCAGCCTCTCGGCCCGCGCGCTCGCGCTCCTTCGGCCATTTTCGCGTCTCCTGACGAAGGGGCCCGACCGCGCCGCGTTTCGGGAGCGGACGTCCGAGCCACGGCCGAGGCCCGATTAGTCCGTCCGGCACCGCTCGGGCACTTTCGGAAGGGAAGAGGTGGAGAACCGACGTTCGGGAGCATTCGGCCTCGGGGACATTCGGCTCGTCTCGGCTCGGCCTCGGGCTGACTCGGCTTCCGCCGGCGGCGGGAACGGGCGAAACCCGCGGCACTAAGCTCTCTCTGAGAGGCAGAATTGCGCCGGCCGCCGGCGAGAATCTGCCTAGAGCCGTCCAGCCCTGTCGGCCGGGGACGACAGCCGCCTCAGCCTGTCAGGACAGTGAGGAGAGCAGGGGCCGAGTCTCTCGGAAGCCCTCGTGAGGACTCGGACCTATTCGGACTGATTCGGCTTCCCACTTCGGGGAACTTCGACCCTCCTCGGTTCAGGACTCGGTCTCGGCTCGGCGGCTTCGTGCAGGTTCGGCTCCTACTCGGGCAGCCTCTGTTCGCCTCGGCTCCGCTCCGCGGGCGGACTCGGCTCGGCTCTGCTCGGCGGCTGGCTGCCTTTTCGGTCCCTATTCGGGCGGCGGCTTCGGGCGGCCTCGGCCCAGCTCGGGCGTCCTCTTCGGGCCCCGCTTCGGGCTCCGCGACCGGCGCTTCGGGCGGTCCCGGACGGCGCCTTCGGGAAGGCTCGGCGGAGTCCGGATGGAGGACTCGGACTCGGCGGCAAAGCAGCTGGGCCTGGCTGAGGCGGCGGCGGTGGCGGCCGCGGCCGCTGTGGCGGCGGCGGCCGCGGCCGCGGCAGGAGGCGAGGCGGAGGAGCCGGTGCTGAGCAGGGACGAGGACTCGGAGGAGGACGCAGACTCGGAGGCGGAGCGGGAGACGCCGCGGGTCACGGCAGTGGCGGTGATGGCGGCGGAGCCCGGGCACATGGACATGGGCGCCGAGGCCCTGCCCGGCCCCGACGAGGCCGCCGCTGCCGCAGCCTTCGCAGGCAAGTGCGCCCGCCGGCCTCTCGCCTCGTCCGGTTCCCGCGCGCCTACCCCGCGCGCCTGCCCCGCACAACTGTCCCAGGTGACCAGCCCGCCACACCTGTCCCTCACACCTGCTCCACGTGACCAGCCCGCTCCACCCGCCCTGCACACCTGCCCCTCACACCTGCTCCACGTGACCCGCCCGCCCCACCCGCCCTGCACACCTGCCCCACGTGACTAGCTCACCCCTCACATCTGCCTCTCACACCTGCCCCACCCGCCCCTCACACTTTCCCCACGTACCTGCTCCAGGTGACCAGCCTGCCCCACCTGCCACAAATACCTGCCTCGCACACCTGCTCGACGTTTCCAGCCTTCCCCACCTGCCCCACGTGATCGGCCTGCCCTACCTGCCCCGCACACCTGCCCCACATACCTGCCCCAGGTGACCAGCCTGCCCCACCTACCCCAAACACCTGCCCCGCACACCTGCCCCTGGTGACCTGCCTAGCCTCACCTGACCTGGCCCTGCCCTGCACACACCTGCCCCCTGCCCCCCTTTTCTTTGTGGCAGCCCCGCCTCCTACTGGTCCCCCCTGTGCAGCTCTGCCCCTGCCCTGCCTTCGTCCATCCTGGCTCCCCCCACCTGTCCTGGAGAAGCCCTGGGGTGGGTGGGCACCTGTGGTCACCAGGAACCCCCCACTTCCTGAGGGCCAGTTCAGGCATGACCTGAGCGCTGGGGAGCCAGGGGTGGGCAGCCTGCTGGAGGCCATGATGCCAGAGGTCAGCGTGGCTGTGTGGTGGCCCAGGGGGGCTGCGGAGCCACCTGTGCAGGCTCCCCTCCCAGTCCTCCCTCTTCCTCTTGCCTTTTTCCCTAAGGACCTGCTCCTCCTGCCCCGCTTCCTGTCGGGCTTCCTTTGGGGAGGCTGCTGTGGCTTTCCAGTCCACATTTTTATATAAGCTGCTTATAGTTTCTTGCCACACAGGTCAGTCTCCTTCTCAGGCTCCAAAACACTGGGAGCCCGTGGCAGAGCTCACAGATGCCCTACGGGGCTGGTGCCGTCCACCCACCTCCTGTGTCCCGCCCTTGTGTCCGTGGGGCATAGACTTCCCCACCCACTGGCTTCCTAACGCACTGTATTCTTCCCCATTGGAGTTCCCGAGTGTCCCCCAGGGACTCACAGCTCAGTGTTGAGACCCTTGGGAGGAGCTTCTTGTTGCGTTGTGAGGCACTTTTCCCCTACGGAGCTTTGCGGGTTGAGGAACTGGATCCCAGTCCTGGTGTGCTGGGTATGTCAGGGCATTGCGTGTGCTCTGGGTGCTTGTTCGGCCTGGGGGCTGGGTGGGGGCCAGCAGCGTCTGGGCTGCCCTTGGTCAGCTGAGTGGCCCTCGAAGGCAAAGGGGTCACTGCTGCTTGTTTGGTTGGTTAAGAAAAAAAAGTGAGGGAAGGCTTTGTGACTCTCAGGGGTTGGCGTCCGTCGCTAAACTCTGGTTTGACGTTGGGATTTGGAGCCATGAGGTTGATTTCAGGTTTTTGTCATTTTTGCACGTATTTTTCTGAATGCATAAAAGAAAAATGATGCTGTTCATCATGATGTCAGAGAAATGTGCTGACGTGTGTTTTCTTCTGAAAAATATGGTAGTTGTGTTTTGATGTGGTAAAAGCACTTTAATACTTTTTAAAAATTACGAACAGCTGACGTCAAGTGGTTTCCAGGTTTAAGTAACTCAGCAGGACACGCTGCCGCCTGAGGAGGCTTTGGGCGGCTGCTCCCAGGGCTGCCATGGGCCTGGCGTTGAGCACTCACTGTGGCCGCGCGCCGCATGCCGGGGCTTGTGGTGCTGAGAGGCGAGGATGAGGGAACCGTGCACCTGGTGTGGTCTGGTCGTGGAGACAGACAGCAAACATGCCTTTTTTTTTTTTTGAGACGGAGTTTCGCTCTTGTTGCCCAGGCTGGAGTGCAATGGTGTGATCTCAGCTCACCGCAACCTCCCGCCTCCCGGGTTCAAGTGATTCTCCTGCCTCAGCCTCCCGAGTAGCTGGGATTACAGGCATGTGCCACCACGCCCGGCTAATTTTGTATTTTTAGTAGAGATGGGGTTTCTCTATGTTGGTCAGGCTGGTCTCGAACTCCTGACCTCAGGTGATCCGCCCGCCTTGGCATCCCACAGTGCTGGGATTACAGGCGTGAGCCACCGCGCCCGGCTGCAAACAGGCATTTTTAGGGCAGTTTGGTGAGTGCTGGGTTAATGGTATGGTCAGGACTCATTCAACCAGTATCTTTTAAGCATCTGCTGTGTGCCAGAGATTGCCCTGGACACAGGACATTCTAGAACTCTGGGTGACAGAAGAGCCACTTGCTTGGCCTAGGAGCATCACAGGAAGACTTTGCAGAGGCAGAGAGGAGGGTGTGGGGGTGTTGGCGGCAGAAAGTGTTTCTCTAGAAACACTCCAGCATGTAGAGGCTGGAGCTGCAGGACCTATCTGGGATGACAGGGGCAGGAGGTGGGGTGCAGCTGACCTCTGTGGTAACTGCCCTGTGTGCAGATGCTGCTGAAGGGCCTGTCTGCATGCCAGGGGGCTGAGTTCCATGTTGTAGGGGGTGCGGTGGGGTGGCACCAAGGGACATAGGCAGGTTAGATGTACTTTTTAGGAGGAAGGGGTCAGAGACCAAGGGCAATGGCTGTGAGCATGGGGCCGAGGTCACCTGACGATGGTGGCCTGACCCCTGCGGTGGAGGAGAGGCAGGAATGGAGCTACAAGAGTGGGTCCAGGAGGTGTCCTCACCTGCGGGGAGGCCGAGAGCTCCTCGTAGGCATAGGGCACACCTGACCAGCAGAACCCACAGCTGTGCCGCAGAAGGAGATAGAAGCCCCGTGGTGGTTTGATAGAGCTGGGGCTGGCTGGGGTGGCGGGTTTGTTGTATGCATTTTTTACTGCACGTAAAAGGCTTTACTGGGGAAGAATAGATTTCCTCTCTTTTTCCTGGAAGAGCCGAATGACTTAGACAATGGAATAGAAATGTAGGTCGAGCGTGTTCATGGAAGTGTTAAGATCTTCCTGGTTACAAGGGCACACACCTGAGGGGGAGTCACTTTGTTTGAAGCACCTGAGCGAGGCTGTTCGCTTTGTCCATTCTGGCTTTTGTTGCTTGTTAAATGAGGCTCCTTCTGTTGCAGAGGTGACCACAGTGACAGTGGCCAACGTGGGGGCTGCTGCAGACAATGTCTTCACCACGTCTGTGGCGAACGCGGCATCCATCTCAGGACATGTTCTGGTAAGCTGCTCCGAGGGGCACAGCCCAGGGCGGGTGGTGCCACGCTGGGGGCCTCCGGCTTCCCCGAGGCTCTCCCGGGGTTCAGCCCGCTGTGTGAACGTCTGCTCTGTGAGCTGGGGAGGGACGCACTGGCTCGCTCTGCTCTCAGAGGCCTTCGGGCTGTGCTGGAGGTGGGAGAAATTACAGCTGAGGTAGAAGCTGCCTCGGAAGGCCAGGTGAAGAGCCACACCTGTCAGATGGGCTTGTGGCCTGCGTTGGGCAGGGACTCCCAGCAGGCTGCTGTCCGGCCACAGTTCAGCCTCTGCCCGAGGCCCGGCCCTGCCTGTGCTCCTTATCCTATAGCTGCAGGGCCAGCTGAAAGAAGCAAGGCGTTTCCCTCCCCCATATCCTGTTCTCGTAGCATTTATGGTGCAGTCTCCCACGCCTGACTGCTGTCTACTTAGAAAACTGCTGAAAGCCAGTTGCATTTCAAATAGTGTCTGTGCCACCTTCAGAGCCCTTTTGTGATCATGTTTTATCAGCTTATTTTATGTTTTATGTGTGGGGCCTTCGGCGATCTGGGGACATCTGGTCAACCAGGGCAGGCAACCTTGTTTCCAAGTGGCAGATGCCAGGGTGGGTCCAGTCTCCAGAAAGGGATTTTCCCTGGGACCATTGGCACCTGTTACTTGTAGTCTTTTCAGCCTTGGTCACATACCTGGGACATCATCTCCATATACCTGAAAGCAGAGTGGTTATTTGTTTGTTTTGTTTTTGAGACGGGGTCTTGCTCTGTCACCTAGACTGGAGTGCAGTGGTGCAATCTCGGCTCATTGCAACCTCCGCCTCCTGGGTTCAAGCCATTCTTGTGCCTCAGCCTCCTGAGTAGCTGGGATTACAGGCGTGTGCCACCATGCCAGGCTAATTTTTGTATTTTTAGTAGAGACAGGTCACCATGTTGTCCAGGCTGGCCTCAAACTCCTGACCTCAGGTGCCCGCCTTGACCTCCCAAAGTGCTGGGATTATAAGGATTATAGGTGTGAGCCACCACACCCGGCCTGAAAGCACAGTTATTGTTAGAATGGCAGCAAACAGAAAACTTGTGAAGGACTTCAGTAAAAACATAAGAAACTTGGAAACCCCCTCCCCTGCCCTCCCCTCCCCTGCCCTCCCCTCCCCTGCCCTCCCCTCCCCTGCCCTCCCCTGCCCTCTCCTCCCCTCCCCTCCCCTGCCCTCCCCTGCCCTCCCCTGCCCTGCCCTCCCCTCCCCTCCTCTCCCCTCCCCTCCCCTTCCTTTTTGACAGAGTCTTTCTCTGTTGCCCAAACTGGAGTGCAGTGGAGTGATCTCAACTCACTGCAACCTCCACCTCCTGGGTTCCCCATGTTGTCCAGGTAGTCTCAAACTCCTGACCTCAGGTAGCTACCATCTCGGCCTCCCAATGTGCTGGGATTACAGGCATGAGCCACCGCACCCAGCCCAGAAACTTGGCTTATTTCTGGTGGGTGTGAGAACACACACAAGCTGACCCATGGCCACGTGGCGATCTGTGTTTTCAGTCAGGCTGCTCCTTCCTGGCAGTGGGGTCTGGGCACCTCCTCATTTCCTAGGAGGGGCTGAAGCCCAAGGCACCTGTGGGTGCCTGGAACGTGCTGACGTCATGGAGCGGGGGTGTCCTGCAAGTGCCTGAGGCTGGTTTTCTCCCCTCCAGGCCAGGAAGACCAGAGACTGGTGTGTTCCTGTTTGGAAACTGACAACAAAGCGGGGCACGGTCTGAAATAACTGTGTGTTCCCTTCCTAAGAAAAATACTCTGTGACTCTTAAACAAACACAAGACATTCCTTTTCTCCAGTGAAGAGCTGCAGGTCTTTGGTGACTCAGGCACAGCAGTAGGACCCCCTGTGTGAGCCCAGGCGTCAGGCATGTGTGTTGGGGGTCCCTCCACTCCATGATAAACTTCTACTCAAGTGCTCTGATTTGACAGTGACATTTTCAGATGTAGGAAACAGTTGTCAGCTGGGCGCGGTGGCTCCTGCCTGTAATCCCAGCACTCTGGGAGGCCGAGATGGGCAGATCATGAGGTCAGAAGATGGAGACCATCCTGGCTAACACGGTGAAACCCCATCTCTACTAAAAAAAAAAATGCAAAAAATTAGCCTGGTGTGGTGGTGGGCGTGTGTAGTCCCAGCTACTTAGGAGGCTGAGGCAGGACAATAGCGTGAACCCGGGAGGCGGAGCTTGCAGTGAGCCGAGATGGCGCCACTGCACTCCAGCCTGGGTGACAGAACGAGTCTCCGTCTCAAAAAAAAAAAAAAAAAAAAAGAAAAAGAAAAAAAGAAACAGTTGTTTTCTCACTTTGCCTCGGTTGGTTTTGTATTCAGAATGAAAACCTTGGGGCACCCAAAACACGGGGTTCAGAGAGGCCCCTGGAAGTCTCTGGTCTGCCCCACCGTGGGGTGAACAGAGCCTGCAGGCCAGAGTTTGCCGGATGACTTGGCCAAGGTAGGGTTCAAGTTCCAGCAGTGGTGTGTGGGCATGGAGACTCTGGCTTCCTGTGGCGGGGTCTGTGCCGCCTGAAGGCTGATTTTGGAAGCAGGCAGCAGTTGCAGCAGCTTCAGCCAGTGTGGAAATGTGGTTTTGAGGCCCTGGTCTCCAGTTGCCATCTGTAAGGAGGTCTGGAGGGCGGTCCTGCACAAGGCCTTGTCTGTGGCGGCCAACTCGGTCTGTTGGAAACTCTGCATGAAGACGGTGACCTTGTGGGAGCGGCTCAGGTGGAAGGGAGGGTGTTTCTTGTTTGTGGAGCACCTTTCTTCCTTCCCTTTGACAAATGATGGCAAGCATTTTCCTCAGCACCACACAGACTTCGGCATTGTCTGTTCTTGTTCTTGGCTCTGTTTTCAAGTCTTTGAGAGGTATCTTTGGAAAAGATATGGGGTGCCTAGGTGAGCGTCCCTTCTTGGTGAGAACAGCCAGAGAGCCCTGCTGGAGGACGGCCCAGCTGGGCTCAGTGACACGCCTGGTGTCACTCTCGGACGTGACCTGACGGAGCGGTTTTTCCTTCTAGTCTGGTAGGACGGCCCTTCAGATCGGGGACAGCCTGAACACCGAAAAAGCGACACTGATTGTCGTCCACACAGATGGGAGCATCGTGGAGACCACCGGGCTGAAAGGCCCGGCAGCTCCCCTCACCCCAGGTACAGCGGTGCCTGCACCCCAGGCCTCGGGCAAAACACGTTTCAGAATAGCTAGAATTTATTTCAGGGATTTATTTACTTGTTTCTTTTTGTGGTAAATTTGGAATATCATCTATTAATAGATTTTAAGTAAAAGCATTGGAATTTTCCTGACCAAGAAGTTTTTCCGCCGTTGAAGGAGGTGGCGCTGCCGGGGAGGTGGTGTCTGAGATGAGAGTGTACTATGCTTCCCGGTGTCCGGCCTCTCACCTTCAAACACTTTCTCTGCCCAAGGTCCTCAGTCTCCTCCAACCCCTCTGGCTCCCGGCCAAGAAAAAGGTGGAACTAAATACAACTGGGACCCTTCTGTGTACGACAGTGAGCTGCCCGTACGGTGCCGGAACATCAGCGGCACTCTGTACAAGAACAGGCTCGGCTCAGGTGAGGACTGCCACTTCAGACTCCAAAGTTGTATTCCCCTTTGTAACCCCCCTAGCATAAATTGGGGGCTGAGAAAGATGAAAATCATGGCACCTAGAACTAGTTAAGAAGACAGGGCTGGGCGCGGTGGCTGATGCCTGTAATACCAGCACTTTGGGAAGCCGAGGCGGGTGGATCAGAGGTCAGGAGATCGAGACTATCCTGGCTAACACGATGAAAACCCGTCTCTACTAAAAATACAAAAAATTAGTGGAGCGTGGTGGCAGGCGCCTGTAGTCCCATAGTCCCAGCTACTCGGGAGGCTGAGGCAGGAGAATGGCGTGAACCCAGGAGGCAGAGCTTGCAGTGAGCTGAGATCACGCCACTGCACTCCATCCTGGGCGACAGAGCGAGACTCCGTCTCAACAACAACGACAACAAAAAAACAAGACAAAAGGTGCAGGTGACACCCAGTTCCTGTGAACTGAGCTGAGGCCTGGGAGAGGCACGGGACAGGGCTGCGCCCAGGAACCATCTGGGGGTGAAAAGCCATCGTGACCCACGGGACAGGAGACAAGCGAGAAGAAGCAGGAGGGAGGCAGGGCTGGGACGTGTTCCTCAAGTTGCCAGGTTAGCTTGGGACTTGTAGATGAAGGCTCTGGAAGTGGGTACCAGAGGTGCTCAGTGTGGGACCTGGTTGAGCTTGCACTGCCTGTGGACAGCGGGTGGAGAGATCACGTAGGGGGTCAGAGGCACAGGCTGCAAAGGCAGACCCGTGGTGGACCTGTCAGGGCCAAGTATGTGGGTGGGTGAGATCACATGAGCCGCTGGGGCGCTGGTGCTGGTGGAGGGGTTGAGGAGGCGCCAGGAGGTAGGCAATGGCAGAGGTGACGTTCCCACCTGCCATCATCATGACTGCTGCCCTTCCTTGCAGGCGGCCGGGGACGGTGCATCAAGCAGGGGGAGAACTGGTACAGTCCCACCGAGTTTGAGGCCATGGCAGGAAGAGCCAGCAGTAAGGACTGGAAAAGAAGCATTCGCTACGCGGGCCGACCCTTGCAGTGCCTCATCCAGGTATCGTCCGTGACCTCACCTGTGCTCAGCACACAGTTCAGACGTGGGGCCCTCTGAGGCGGCCCAGCCAGAGGGAGGGCACAGACCACGGGGTCAGACAAATGGGGTTTGCAGCCTCCACCTGCTGTCTGTGTGGCCTTGGGCGAGTGATTTACCCTCTCATGTTTCAGTTTCCGGGTCTTTCACGTGGGGATGACGATGATCGTGACCCTGTGAGGATTGTTGGGAGAAGTGCATGAGGTCACAGCGCCTGGCACAGAATAGCTGCAGAAAGGGGGCGTGTCAAATACACAAAAAATGAAAACAGTAGAAGTTAAGATAATCGCTTCTGTTTGAATGCGTGTGACCCTTTCAAAGTCACCTAACTTCTCGTCAGTCTACTAAGAAAAGAGGACTTCTAATTCCTATTCCAGTTTAGCTCCTTGGGTGTTGTTAAGGAAGCAATTCCTGTAGAGACTTTTGCAAATCTTGAAAGGAAAGAGGTAGGTCCTGCCACCAATAATGGCATTGTGAAAAGGAGAAGGCTCTGGAAATTACTGTTTTTGTGGTTTTTTTTTTTTTTTTTTGAGACAGAGTCTCACCCTGTTGCCCAGGCTGGAGTGCAGTGGCTTGATCTTGGCTCACAGCAACCTCCACCTCCCAGGCTCAGAGGATTGTCCCACCTCAGCCTCCTGAGTAGCTGGGATTACAGGTGCCCGCCACCACACCTGGCTTTTTTTTTTTTTTTTTTAATTTTCAGTAGAGATGGGGTTTCACCATGTTGGCCAGGCTGGTCTTGAAGTCCTGACCTCAGGTGATCTGCCTGCCTCGGCCTCCCAAAGTGCTGGGATTACAGGTGTGAGCCACAATACCCGGCCTATTTTTTTTGTATTTTTTAATAGGGACAGGGTTTCACCACGCTGGCCAGGCTAGTCTCGAACTCCCGACCTCAAGTGAGCCACCTGCCTCGCCTCTCAAAGTGCTGGGATTACAGGCGTGAGCCACAATACCCGGCCTAATTTTTGTATTTTAATGGAGACCAACCATGTTGGTCAGGTTGGTCTTGAACTTCTGACCTTAAGTGAGCCACCCGCCTCGGCCTCCCAAAGTGCTGGGATTACATGTGTGAGCCACCACACCTGGCCTGGGCATTACCTGATTTCTCACAATTTTTTTTTTTTTTGAGGCAAAGGCCTCCCTCTGTTGCCCAGGCTGGAGTGCAGTGGTGTGATCTCAGCTCACTGTAACCTCTGCCTCCCGGGTTCAAGCGATCCTCCTGCCTGAGCCTCCCAGGTAGCTGGGACTATGGGCATGCGCCACCATGCCCAGCTAATTTTTGTATTTTTAGCAGACACGAGGTTTCACCATGTTGGCCAGGCTGGTCTCCAGCTCCTGAGCTCAGGTGGTCTGCCTGCGTCGGCCTCTCAAAGTCCTGGGATTACAGGCATGAGCCACCATGCCCGGCCCTGATTTTGCAGAATTTTTATCTTTATGAGGTTGGGCACGGTGGCTTACGCTTGTAATCCCAGCACTTCGGGAGGCCGAGGCGGGCAGATTGCTTGAGGCCAGGAGTTCGAGACCAGCCTGGTCAACATGGCAAAACCTGTCTCTACTAAAAATACAAAAATTAGCTGGGTGTGGTGGTGCAAACCTATAATCCCAGCTTCTTGGGAGGCCGAGGCATGAGAATTGCTTGCGCCGGGGAGGCAGAGGTTGCACTGAGCCGAGAACGTGCCACTGCACTCCAGCCTGGGCAACCCAACAAGACTCTGTCTCAAAAAAAAAAAAAAAAAAAAGAATTTTTATATTTATGAATGGTAGGTAAGTGGTAAAAGTGGTTGAAATCTTCTATTATTGAATGATTGACATTTAGGGGCTGACTTGCTAATGCATGGTGGTTCTTTTCACATCTCAGGATGGGATCTTAAACCCTCACGCTGCCTCTTGCACCTGTGCTGCCTGCTGCGACGACATGACCTTAGTAAGTGGCCAGCGTGTCTGGAACAGGATGACTTGGTGGGGCTGGGGGCGGCTGAGTGGGTCCCACAGCCCTTGGCCTCTCGGCTGTTTCCCTCCTGCCCTCTGCCTTGGAGAGAGACACTGTCCTCACTTCTCCTGGGTTGCTCTGTTCCCTCCTCCCTGATACGTCACAGTGAATCCTGATGTCTCGATGGGGAACACGTGGTTGGCCCCCAAGATGTTGCTCAAAGAACATTTGTGGAAACCTTAAATAATGAAAAGCGGTTATAATGTCACCGCCTTAACTCTAAAACTAAACATACACGCTTTTCCTTGTATGCATGCCATTTTATATTCCTCATTTTGTAACATGTCAGAAAAATGCTACTGTAAACTTATTCATGTGTAGAGCTTTTAACGCCTTTTTGACGTATTTCCTTATTCTAAATTCTTAACTGCTTCACAAAGACCCAAAATAATTTTTCTTTCTTTTTTTTTTTCTGAGACGAAGTCTCATTCTGTCGCCCACACTGGGGTGCAGTGGCGCGGTCTCGGCTCACTGCAACCTCCGCCTCCTGGATTCAAGCACTTCTCCTGCCTCAGCTTCCCGCGTAGCTGGGATTACAGGCATGTGCCACAATGCCCAGCTAATTTTTGTATTTTTAGTAGAGATGGGGTTTTGCCATGTTGGTCAGGCTGGTCTCAAACTCCTGACCACATGTGATCCGCCCGCCTCAGCCTCCCAAAGTGTTGAGATTACAGGCGTGAGCCACTGCACCTCAAAAAAAAAAAAAAAGAGCATGGAGAGACCTACCGTGTTCTTGGGGTGAAACACTAAACATCCTAGAATTGTGTAGTTGATATATAGATTTCATGTGATTCTAGTGGAAAAAACAATTTTGTGAACGTAAAATAATTTTGAAGTTGATTGGGAAAAGCCAGTCGGTGAGACTCTTAGAGACGCTGCAGGAGTAAAGGAGCCGGGAGGAGACGTCGGTCCCATTGGCAGTTGAGCCTGCAGGTAGATCATTTGCAGGGGCTCCAACACTGAAGTACTTAGATGTCAGTCTAGGAAATCATGTACAGGGTTTGTACGTGGAAGATACTAAAGAAAATGCTGAAGAGAGAGACCAGGGAAGATTGAAATACGTCAAAAGACGTCCTGCGCCCGTGGATTAGAAGACTCAGTAAAGATGCGACTTTTTCCCAAGTTGATTCGTAGGTTTAACACAATGACTATCAAAATCCCAGCAGGATTCTTTTTAGATGCAGACAAGCTGATTCTAAAATTTGCATAGAAAGGTAAAGGAAATAAAAAAGCCAAAACAGTTTTGAAACAAAAAAGCCAAAACAGTTTTGAAATAAAAGTTTAAAATGGGTGGAATCACATTGCGGGGTCTTAAGACTTACGGGCTCGTGACAGTAATCAAGATAGTGTGGCACTGGCAGAGGGAGAGACCCCACGATCTGGGTCAGACTAGAGTGTCATAGTAGACTCCAGCAAATGGCCTTGGAGTGACAGGACGTTCATCAGCAGAGACAAAGGATGACCTAAACTTCACACTTGGTACAAAAATGAATTCAAAATGGGTCATCGATCTAAAGTGAAAGGTGAAACTATAACATTTTTAGGAGAAAACACATTGGAAAATCTTCCTGACCTGGAGTTAGAACTAGGATTTCTTGGATTGGACTTCATCAAATTTTAGAACTTTTGGCTTCCGCTTGGGGAGTGGTGGTGTGATGAGCTCAGTGGACCAACTCTCCAGAGAAATAACTAGTGAAAATTGTGAAAAAATAACCCCTTAAGGTCTCCAGAAATTGTCCTAGGGGAGTACAGCAAATAAACATCCAAGAAAATGTAGTAAGTCTTGGAAAGGGCAGTGAGGATTGTGACGTTTGAGCTACGACCAGCTCCTTCCCTCCCTTTCTGCCCCCAGCTCCCTATGGTGGAGGCTCCATTGTGGGTGGTTGTGACCAAGAAAACGGTTCCCACTCCTTGCAGTTCCCGGTCAAGGGATATGGTATCTCACTGGGAGGGGCAGGCCACCAGCATTTCTCAACCCCTTCAGCTCTAAGTTGCAGTAAATTCCTGGGAAGTGTGACTGAAAATCTCTTCAGTCATCCCCACTCAGAGGGCAGAGGCTTTACCCAGGCATGGGAGGCCAAGCATACGGAGCCCCAATTTCCATCAACCCACATTGCCCATAGGGTGGGGTGTCCATGCAGTGAGAGGCTGCTGCCCCCCACACAGAACCCGGCTAATGCAACAGAATTCCCTCTGATAGACTCAGGCACTGTTCCTGCCTCTAGGTCTATAGTAGGGGCTCAGACATTCAGCCCAAAAGAGAGAGAGGCCGTAAGAACAGAGAGCTCCAAAGCCCCTCCCAAAGGAACTGACTTGATTTGAAACAGTATGGGGATGTTCAAGCCTAAAAGTGCCCTGGAAAAGAATGGACATTTTGATGGTAAGCAGTTAAGAGGAGGCCAGCAGTTCCATTAGAGCAAGAAACTAAACTGTAGGTCAGCAGGTTTACCAGAGAGGCGAGGAAAGCCACAGCGAAGAACCCATCTGGGAAACCGACCTTCAAGATCGAACCTCTCAGTAAAGAAGCCCTAATTTAATTGGCTCAGACAGTGGAGCAGTGTGTGCCCCAGGGCATTGTTGAAAGTAATGGAGCAGGCAGCTGGCAGTTAGTTGATTCTGACACTTGACTACACCAACAGCTTAACAGAGATCAGGAAGAGCGACAGCCAAAACTCCCACCACCAAAGGTGATTGCACCCCACCCAGGGCCGAGCCCTCAGAGGAGCAGCAGCCGAGGCCGCCCCAGGAGAACAGGCTCAGTAAGATAGTCCAGCTCCGTACCTGAGTAATAAACAAGCTGACAGCAGCAAGGATCCCAGAGAAAGGAGAACTGCTTTCCACTGTTGCTACAATGTATCACCTGCGGTGTCTGATTCTTAACAAAAGATGATAAGACATGCAAGGAGCCTTGGACCATACACAGGAAGAAAGCAGGCAACAGAAATTGCCTGGAGAGGTCCGGATGTTGGGGTTAACAGGAAAAAGCTTTAAAATGGCTATCCTCAGTATGTTCAGAGGACTGAAGGAAACCACAGCTAGAGATTGCATGGAAGGTCTGAAGACACTGTCTCCTCACTGGAGAATGTCAATGAAGAGATATAAATTATTTAAAAAAAAAAGTCGGCCGGGCGTGGTGGCTCACGCCTGTAATCCTAGCACTTTGGGAGGCCGAGGTGGGCAGATCACGAGGTCAGGAGAACGAGACCATCCTGGCTACCATGGTGAAACCCCGTCTCTACTAAAAATACAAAACACTAGCCAGGCTTGGTGGCGGGCGCCTGTAGTCCCAGCTACTCGGGAGGTTGAGGCAGGAGAATGGCATGAACCCGGGAGGCAGAGCTTGCAGTGAGCCCAGATTGTGCCACTGCACTCCAGCCTGGGCAACAGAGCGAGACTCTGTCTCAAAAAAAAAAAAAAAAAGAAAGAAAGAAAATTAGCCGGGTGTGGTGACACATGCCTGTAATCCCAGCTACTCAGGAGACTAACGCAGAATCACTTGAACCTGGGAGGCGGAGGTTGCAGTAAGCCAAGATGGCGCCACTGCACTCCAGCGTGGGCAGCTAGAGTGAAACTCCGTCTCAAAAAAGAAAAAGAGGTGGGATCTTTAGGGGCGCTTACCATCTTAATGTGGTCTCACCATGTGACTCACACACCCCGCGGTGCCCCCACTTAAGGAGGAGTTGCAAGCGCAGCATAGCTTTTGCACACATGAAGGTGGTGGCCTCTCTCCTTTCTCCCCCAGAGTGGCCCAGTCAGGCTTTTTGTGCCTTACAAAAGGCGCAAGAAGGAGAATGAACTGCCCACAACTCCCGTGAAGAAGGACTCCCCCAAGAACATCACATTGCTTCCAGCCACCGCGGCTACCACCTGTGAGTTTGAGAAAACACAGCTCTAGTTTACTGAGGGGACCTGAGTGCATTGCCTTCTCTCGTCACCACTCCCACGGCCACTGCGGGATTCTCACTTCTAAAGCACATTGCGTGGCCAGAGGGATTCCAACGCCATCACACTCCTTTGCAGTGCGTCCCCCGGGTGGGAAGGGGTGTCCCAGTGCCCAGCTCGGTCTTGCTTCCCTGGGACCCGGACACTGTTGGCCTTGTCCTGGGCTGTTTCCTAGTATGAGTGAGCATGGCTGAGTGCCCAGCACACGCTCAGGGGACGTTTCCTGACAAGGGCGTCCTTGGTGAGGGATTCTCAGTGCGCTGGACGAGGGCTGCGGAGAGCTCTGTGGGTCTTTCTCTGTGGCCGGGCTGGAGGGCGGCGTCAGGATCCCGGCTCGCTGCAGCCTCGGCCTCCCAGGCTCAGGCACTGCTCTCACCTCAGCCTCCCAAGTAGCTGGGACCACAGGCACGTGCCACCATGCCCAGCTAATGTTTTTATTTTTTTGTACAGACAGGATTTAAATGGGGAGAGGTAGCAATAGGAGAAAATGTCTTTGTAATAGGCTTTTGTTAACTAAGTCTGGGTTTTTGCATTTATAGAGTAAGGTCTTTCTAAAACACCCTGTCAGCTCCTTCCTGAGGCCCTGGGTGGTGGGTGCAGGAAGAGTCCCACAGCAGCAGAGTCTCAAGATCTGTCGCCAGGATTTTTTTTTGAGCTGGAGAGGCAGCCTTGCTGTGGGACACAGGGCAGCCTTGCTGTGGGACACGGCTGCTTTTTACCTTCAGCTTGGATTAAAGATTTTTTCTTAATTCGAACCACGAAGTACTTAAAAATCACTGAAAGTTTTATTTTATGTTTGTTTTCTGGCTGGGCAGCACATTTCCATGGTTCACAGTTTAAACAGCGAACAATTGGTAGTGGCAAGTTGCCATCCTGGCCATCCTGGTTTTCTCCTGTGAGGTCTTCTCCAAGGTCTGGGATTTCCCCCGTGTCCTTCACATGGGAGGGTACAGTTACCACTGCCCGCCCTTCAGCCCAGGCCCCCACAAGGATTGGCGCCCGTGGGTGGCACGGGACCTGTGTGCCGTGGGCGCCACTGCCTGGCCGCGTGAAATGTGCTTCTGCCTTTCCAGTCACCGTGACCCCCTCGGGACAGATCACGACCTCGGGGGCACTGACCTTTGACCGAGCGTCCACGGTAGAGGCCACTGCTGTCATATCAGAGAGTCCGGCCCAGGGCGACGTCTTCGCAGGGGCCACAGGTGAGCTGCTCCAGTGCCTGCCTGACGCGTCCTCAGCATATCCCTGTCTGTGACATCACATCCCCGACGCCACATTGGGCTGCATAGGCTGCTGGGTGCCTCGAGAGGGGCCTTGAACCAGGCGTTTGTTGGTGGGGACAGCGTGTGAGCCACGTCAGGTGGGCGGTGCAGTGTGGATGGGGTTGGCGTGTGGCAGTGGGTTACTTGTGACAGATGCCAGAACTGGCAAAGCTGAAAATACTCTCTGTCTGCCGGCTCCTGCTTTTGACTGCAGTTGTGCAACAGAAATGCAGCCTAGCTGGTTGTGTGCTGGAGAATATTCTAGAAGCCACACTGAGGAAAATAGAGTTAGAACTGATTTTTTTTTTTTTTTGAGGTGGAGTCTCGCTCCATCCCCCAGGCTGGAGGGCAGTGGCATGATCTCGGCTCATTGCAAGCTCCGCCTCCCGGGTTCACACCGTTCTCCTGCCTCAGCCTCCCAAGTAGCTGGGACTACAGCGCCTGCCACCATGCCCGGCTAATTTTTTTTTGGTATTTTTAGTAGAGACAGCGTTTCACCATGTTAGCCAGGATGGTCTCTATCTCCTGACCTCGTGATGCGCCCATCTTGGCCTCCCAAAGTGCTGGGATTACAGGCGTGAGCCACCGCGCCCGGCCTGATTTTTATAATCTATTTTATTTCACCTGATATAGCCCCAATCCTATTATGTCAACGATTCAGGATCACCACATTTCAGGGGCTCAGTAGCCACGTGTGGCCATAAGCTACTATGTGTACTGAATGGCGCAGCCATACAGCGTGATATTTAGAGTCTGCTGTGCGGACAACCATCCCGAGCCTCCCTGTCCTTTTTCTCCCCAACAGTCCAAGAGGCCAGCGTGCAGCCCCCATGCAGGGCCAGCCACCCTGAGCCTCACTACCCCGGCTATCAGGACAGCTGCCAGATCGCACCGTTTCCAGAAGCTGCGTTGCCAACGTCACATCCCAAAATAGGTAGGTTTGAAAGAATTCACACATGTACAGGTTATTGTCCTCAGAATTGCTTCCAATGAAAGAATTCCTAAGTGAAATGGGATTCATTTTGGTTTGGTTTGTTGTTTTTGTTGATGCATTAGATCAGTGGCTGGTAAAGTGTGGCCCACTGCCTATGTTTGTAAATAAAGTTTTACTGACACACAGCCACGTCCATTCATGTGTGTGCTGTGGAAGTTGCTTTTGGTACAGCAGCAGGGCACGCCCCTAGAAACCAGTTGGCCTGTGAAGCCTGAAGTTCTTTCTGGTGAGTTTGCTGTTGTCCTCTTGAGGGTAGACACTCCCCAGTGGCAGGTCTTGGTCTCTCCAGAGCTGGCATAGACATTCGGTATCTGGTGAAAGAAAGAAAAACCAAGGCCTAAATGTGGCCTAAATCTTTAAAATGACGATACACTGTAAATGCATTCTAACTTTGATTTTTCGTTTAACTGCACTTCTATTTTTTTGAGACTGAGTCTCGCTCTATTGCCCAGGCTGGGGTGCAGTGGCGCAATCTTGGCTCACTGCAACCTCTGCCTGGTTCAAGTGATTCTCCTGCCTCAGCCTCCCAGGTAGCTGGGATTACAGATCTCGAACTCCTGACCTCAAGTGATCCATCCGCCTCAGCCTCCCAAAGTGCTGGGATTACAGGTGTGAGCCACCACATGCAGCCAAGATTTCTGTATAATTATACGTTTTTTGTTTTTTTTTTTGAGACAGAGTGTCACTCTGTCGCCCAGGCTGGAGTGCAGTGGTGCGATCTCGGCTCACTGCAACCTCTGCCTGCCAGGTTTAAGCAATTCTCCTGCCTCAGCCTCCTGAGTAGCTGGGACTACAGGTGCACGCCACCATGCCCAGCTAATTTTTTTTTGTTATTGTATTTTTAGTAGAGATGGGGTTTCACCATGCTGGTCAGGCTGGTCTCAAACTCCTGACCTCATGATCCACCTGCCTTGGCCTCCCAAAGTGCTGGGATTACAGGCGTGAGCCATCGTGCCCAGCCATCATTATACTTTTTTAAAGGGTGCATATGATCAATACATGATTGATTGAACCCTCCCCTGCTGGTGGCAAATGCATGTTTTCCATTTTTCACTGTCACAGACAGCGCAAGAAACTTGTTCATGAAAAACTTACCTTTTCATTTTCATTTGCTTGTTTCATTATTCTCTCTTTTGCCTATCTAAACTCTTTCCATCTTTAAAGCTTACCTCAGGGCTGGGCGTGGTGGCTCATCCTTTTTTTGTTTTTTTTTTGAGATGGAGTCTTGATCTGTTGCCCAGGCTGGAGTGTAGACTTCAGGCACGCGCCACCATGCCCGGCTAATTTTTGTATTTTTAGTAGAGATGGGGTTTCACCGTGTTGGCCAGGATGGTCTTGATCTCTTGACCTTGTGATCTGCCTGCTTTGGCCTCCCAAAGTGCTTGGATTACAGGCGTGTGGCTTACCTGTTTAATCCCAGCACTTTAGGAGGCCGAGGCCAGGAGTTTGAGACCGGCCTGGGCAACATAAGGAGACCCCATCTCTATTAACTGGAAAAAAAAAAAAAGTGTGGGGTGGGTGTTGGTGAAGTATTTATACCAAGAAATCAGCAAATGCTTGAAATCAGAGCTTTTTCTCCAGGAGGGCTGGGGTTCGCATCGACCGCTTGCCCCTGGTACAAGGTGTGCATGTGGCTCCTGGATCTCTGTCCCCAGGTGCCCTTGGTGGGCAGAAGTCAGAAATGTTCTCATGTGCACGTGTGCGTGTTTGTGCTCCAAATCTGTGTGTGTTGAAAACCATGAGTTTGCCCCAGTGTCTCTAGTTCCAGTGCAGAACCTCAGGGTTTGTGCTAGTTCCTTTGTAACTTTCTTCTCCAATTGTAAGAAACCCCGCTGGGCGTGGTGGCTCACGCCGGTAATCCCAGCGCTTTGGGAGGCCGAGGCGGGTGGATCACCTGAGGTCAGGAGTCCGAGACCAGCCTGACCAACGTGGAGAAACCCCATCTCTACTAAAAATACAAAATTAGCCAGGCCTGGTGGCAGATGCCTGTAATCCCAGCTACTCGGGAGGCTGAGGCAGGCGAATCACTTGAACCCGGGAGGGCAGTGAGCCAAGATGATGCCACCGCCCTCCAGCCTGGGCGACACAGCGAGACTCTGATTTAGCCACTTCCCTCCCCTGGTCATTGTCCACGGCGCTGATTCTGCGAACATTTCAGGGTCCAGCAGCCGCATTCAGATGAGTTGTACAACATGGAGCTGGGTGGGTGGAGCAGGAAGGGATGGGACATCCTCCTGCCTGTGTTGCCTGCTGGGGGGATGTCAGGCTGAGTGCTCGGGGATGTCAGGTGCTGGGGGGATGTCGGGTGCTGGGGGGATGTCGGGTGCTGGGGGTGTCGGGTGCTGGGGGGATGTCAGGCTGCGTGCTGGGGGATGTCAGGTGCTGGGGGGATGTCAGGTGCTGGGGGTATCGGGTGCTGGGGGATGTCAGGCTGAGTGCTGGGGGATGTCAGGTGCTTGGGGATGTCAGATGCTGGGGGGATGTCAGGTGCTGGGGGTGTCGGGTGCTGGGGGATGTCAGATGCTGGGGGGTGTCAGGTGCTGGGGGGGATGTCGGGTGCTGGGGGGTGTCGGATGCTGGGGGTTGTCGGGTGCTGGGGGGTGTCGGGTGCTGGGGGGTGTCGGGTGCCGGGGGGTGCCAGGTGCCCCGGGGGATGTCGGGTGCCGGGGGATGTCAGGCTGCGTGCTGGGGGATGTCAGGTGCTGGGGGGTGTCAGGTGCTGGGGGGATGTCAGGCAGTGATTTGTTGTTTGCTGGTCAGTTTTTTACCCGACTTCCCAACATTGCGTGAGAGTTTTCTTTTCTTTTCTTTTTTGAGATGGAGTCTCACTCTGTCACCCAGGCTTGAGTCCACTGGCACCATCTCGGCTCACCACAACTTCTGCCTCCCAGGTTCAAATGATTCTCATGCCTCAGCCTCCCAGGTAGCTGGGATTATAGACGCTTCCACGCCTAGCTAATTTTTGTATTTTTTGGTAGAAATGGGGTTTCACCATGTTGACCAGGCTAGCCTCGAACTCCTGACCTCAAGGGATCTGCCCGCCTCGGCCTCCCAAAGTGCTGGGATTACAGGTGTGAGCCACTGTGCCTGGCCTCTTTTCTTTTTGAGACAGGGTCTCATTAAGTCACCAAGGCCGAAGGACGGTGGCGCAGTCATGGCTCACTGTAGCCTCGACCACCTGGGCTCAAACCATCCTCCCGCCTCAGCTTCCTGAGTAGCTGGGATCACAGGTGAATGTCACCATGCCCATCTAGTTCTTTGTTTTTGATTTCTGTTTTGTAGAGGCAAGGTCCTGCTATGTTGCCCAGGCTGGTCTTGAACTCCTGAGCTCAAGTGATCCTCCCACCTCAGTCTCCCAAAGTGCAGGGATTACAGGCATGAGCCACTGCACCGGGTGATGAGAATTTTTATTTATTTTTTATTTTTAAATTTTATTTGTTTATTTTTTTGAGATGGAGTCTCACTCTGTTGCCCAGGCTGGAGTGCAGTGGTGCCATCTCTGTTCACTGCAAGCTCTGCCTCCCGGCTTCACACCTTTCTCCTGCCTCAGCCTCCCGAGGTAGCTGGGACTACAGGCGTCTACCACCACGTCCAGCTAATTTTTTGTATTTTTTTTAGCCAATTTTTTGTATTTTTTTGTATTTTTTTAAACACAGTGAAACGCGGGGTTTCACTGTTAGCCAGGATGGTCTCGATCTCCTGACCTCATGATCCGCCTGCCTTGGCCTCCCAAAGTGCTGGGATTACAGGCGTGAGCCACCGCGCCCGGCTGAGAATTTTTAACGGAGGCCATTTTGAAGCTAGGAGATGTATTAATTTCTTGGTTTGTTTTGCTTTCCAAATGCTCTAGTGTTGACATCCCTGCCTGCGCTGGCGGTCCCACCCCCGACTCCCACCAAAGCGGCACCTCCCGCGTTGGTCAATGGGCTGGAGCTGTCAGAGCCGCGGAGCTGGCTGTACCTAGAAGAGATGGTCAACTCCTTGCTCAACACAGCGCAGCAGCTGAAGACGCTGTTTGAGCAAGCCAAGCATGCCAGCACCTACCGAGAAGCTGCCACAAACCAGGCCAAGATCCACGCTGACGCAGAGCGGAAGGAGGTAACCTTGGAACAAATGGGAAGACACGACCTGTGCCGAGTAACCCCAGGCCACCCTGGTGCCTGTGCCCAGCTGCGCAAGCCCCACCTTGGCTCACAAGGCCCCTGCCCCACCTTTCTGGAAAAGGGAGCTGTGGAGAGTCATTTACAAATGAAGCTTTTCCTAAAGAAAAGTGACAGCTATTGTTGTTAAGGTGGTTTTGGTTTTTGTAAATAAGGTTGCTTTGTTTCAGAAAGGGAAACAATTTTGTGCGCATCGGCCGTTGTGAATACTCACCTTTTCTAGGCATTATTCATCCTTTGTCTTCCTGTAGTGAAATGTGCTTATATTTTATGAAGTTTGGAGAACATCATCTATTGAGTCTCTGAGTATCAGCGACTGGCAGGGCGAATGCTGAGCCCCTTCCTGGGAGCCGAGCTCCGTCCATCTGCTGTCACAAAGCCCTCCCAGCTTCTGGCACGTTCTTCAGAAGGCGGCTCCTGTGCATGGTGGGAGGCTCACAGGGCGTAGTGCCCATGTTTTCTGTAGCTTCCTATTACTGCAGCACAAGCAAAAGGTCACTTAGGCCCCTTCGGCCTCTTTTCATATGGAGTCTCTACTTCATATGAACCCTTTACTTAGATTGAAGACTTTGAGGTAATATAAAGGTTCAGGTGGGTGACATGAATAGGGTAGATAGAAATTACTAGAGCCAGAGTAAACTGGAGAGAGGGTGGAGGTTTCTCAGCTACTTCTCATAGCCCAAACCCAGCAGACAGGTACCGTGTGTCACAGGGCACGGGGACGAGAAGGTGAGAGAGGAGGGCGCCTGTCTGCTCAGCACAGATGGGGAGCTCTGAAGGCCACAGGAAAGGACAGGGATGGATTTTGTTGTAGCTGCTTTTTCGGGTACGGTAACGTGGACTTTGGTTTGTAAACAAAAGTCAAATTCATATTTTTCCCACCAAATCTATGTAAGAAACGTTTTCCCCCATTTCTTTTCTACTTTCTATTTTTATTTTTATTTGTGGAACAGGCTGTCACTCTGTCGCCCAGGCTAGAATGCAGTGGCACAATCTCGGCTCACTGCAACCTTTGCCTCCCGGGCTCCAGCGATTCTTGTGCCTCAGCCTCCCAAGTAGCTGGGACTACAGGCACCCACCACCACACCTGGCTAATTTTCTGTATTTTTGGTAGAGACGGGGTTTTACCATGTTGCCCAGGCTGATCTCACACTCCTGAGCTCAGGTGATCCACCCGCCTCAGCCTCTTAAAGTACTGGGATTGCAGATGTGAGCCACCATGCCCAGCTTCTACTTTTTATAGAAGAACTTTTTATTTATGTATTTATTTTATTATCATTATTTTTTTTTCAGCTGCTGCTTTATTTTACTTTATTTTATTTTTTGAGACGGAGTCTCGCTCCATCACCCAGGCTGGAGTGCAGTGGCACGATCTTGGCTAACTGCAACCTCCACTTCCTGGGATCAAGCAATTATCCTGCCTCAGCCTCCCAAGTAGCTGGGACTACAGGCGCCTGCTGCCATGCCTGGCTAATTTTTGTATTTTTAGTACAGACAGGGTTTCACCATGTTGGCCAGGCTGGTCTTAAACTCCTGACCTCAAGTGATCTACCCGCCTGAGCGTCTTAAAGTGCTGGGATTATACGTATTTATTTATTTATCTATTTAAAAAAAATTTTTTTTTTTGAGACGGAGTCTTGCTGTGTCGCTCAGGCTGGAGTGCAATGGCACAATCTCAGCTCACTGCAGCTTCCTCCTCCCGGGTTCAAGTGATTCTCCTGCCTCAGCCTCCGGAATAGCTGGGATTACAGGCATGTGCTACCACACCTGGCTGATTTTTTGTATTTTTAGTAGAGACGGGGTTTCACTATGTTAGCCAGGCTGGTCTTGAACCCCTGACCTCAGGTGATTCACCCACCTCAGTCTCCCAAAGTGCTGGGATTACAGGCATGAGCCACCTTGCCCGGCCTATTTATTTTTTAATTTTTAAATTTTTCTGTCATTCAGTGCACATCAGGTACTTGTTATAGATTCTACTAGACAAGCACATAACGAACAGTGATTATCATCCCAGGCCGTATTCAATGTTAGGGGTTTGTTACGGATTCTACTAGACAAGCACATAATGAACGGTGATTCTCAACCCAGGCCGTATTCAATGTTAGGGGTTTGTTACGGATTCTACTAGACAAGCACATAATGAACGGTGATTCTCAACCCAGGTCGTATTCGATGTTAGGGGTTTGTTACGGATTCTACTAGACAAGCACATAATGAACAGTGATTCTCAACCCAGGTCGTATTCGATGTTAGGGGTTTGTTACGGATTCTACCAGACAAGCACATAACAAACAGTGATTCTCATCCCAGGCCGTATTCTATGTTAGGGGTTTGTGTAGTTTCCCCAGGACCTGTAGTGGTGATTGTCCAGAAGCCTTCCATAGGAGGAATGCATGGTCATTAGGTATGCCACAGCTCCAAACACCAGCAACACCACTCAATGACTATTGAGGTAATGACAGTGACACTGCAGCTCCACATGGCTGGGGAGGTCTCACCATCATGGCAGATGGCAAAGCGGGAGGAAAGGCATGTCTTAATGGTGACAGGCGAGCAGAAGAGCTTTTTAGATTCTTAATTTTTTAAATGACTGATCAATATGTGATTAGTGTTTTTTGTGTTTCTTTTTTTTTTTTTTTTTTTTTTTAAGAGGTAAGGTCTCACTCTGTTGCCTAGGCTCATGGCTCATTGTAGGCTCAAACTCCTGGAAATACGGGTGCATGCCACCACGCTTGCCTAATTTATTTTTTTATTTTTTATTTTTTGTAGAGACTGGGTCTTGCCGTGTTGCCCAAGGTGGTCTCAAACTCCTGGGCTCAAGAGATCCTCCTGCCTCAGCCTCCCAAAGTGCTGAGATTACAGGCGTGAGCCACTGGACCCAGCATTAATTTTCTTTCAAGGAAGAAAAGTGTTTCTACTCCTGAAGACAAAGATAATTTTAAAATACTTTTTCACTGGGCACAGTGGATCACACTTGTAATCTCAGTGCTTTGAGAGGCTGAGGTGGGAGGATCTTTTGAGCCCAGGAGTTTGAGACCAGCTTGGACAACATGGTGAAACCCCGTCTCTACAAAAAAATATAAAAATTAGCTGGGTGTGGTGGTGGGCACCTGTAGTCTCAGCTACTTAGGAGGCTGAGGCAGGAGACTCACTTGAACCCAGGAGGCAGAGGTTGCAGTGAGCTGAGATCGGGCCACTGCACTCCAGTCTGGCGACAGAGCAAGACTCTGTCTCAAAAAACAAAAAGTCCAGGCGCGGTGGCTCACGCCTGTAATCCCAGCACTTTGGGAGGCCGAGGCGGGCGGATCACGAGGTCAGGAGATCGAGACCATCCTGGCTAACATGGTGAAACCCCATCTCTACTAAAAATACAAAAAATTAGCCGGGCGTGGTGGCGGGCGCCTGTAGTCCCAGCTCCTTGGGAGGCTGAGGCAGGAGAATGGCGTGAACCCGGGAGGTGGAGATTGCAGTGAGCCGAGATCGCGCCACTGCACTCCAGCCTGGGTGACAAAGTGAGACTCTGTCTCAAAAAAAAAAAAAAACATTAGCCAGGTGTGGTGACATGCCAGTCAAGAGGCTGAAACGTGAGGATTGCTTGAGCCTAGGAGGTTGATGTTGCAGTGAGCCGTGATCACACCACTGTACTCCAGCCTGGGCAACAGAGTGAGACCTCGTCTCAAAAAAAAAAAAAAAAAACAAAAACAAAAAGAAAAAAGAAATTAAAAAGGAAAAAAATAAAGAAAAAGATATATATATATTTTGAGATGGTCTTGCTGTGTCACCCAGGCTAGAGTGCAGTGGTGTGATCTCGGCTCACTGCAGCCTCCATCTCCCAGGTTCAAGCGATTCTTGTGCCTCAGCTTCCCAGATAGCTGGGATTACAGGTATGTGCAACCACGCCCAGCTATTTTTTGGTATTTTAGGAGAGAAGAGGTTTCGCCATGTTGGCGAGGCTGGTCTTAAACTCCAGGCCTCAAGTGATCTACTTGCCTTGGCCTCCCAAAGTGTTGGGATTACAGGTGTGAGCCACCGCACCTGGCCAAAAAAATACTTTAAAAAAAAAAAAAAAAAAGTATACTTCCAAACAAACAGCTACTTAATGCTGAAATTTATAGAGGAAAAGAAAGTTTAAAGGCAAAAAAATCTATAACCCTGCACCCAAAGATAATGACCGTGAACACTTACTGTGTGTCCTTTTGGTCTTTTTTGGTAATTGAGGTAAACTGTATGTACAGCAAAGTGCCTCAATCTCCACCATAAAATGTAGTGAGTTTTGATGAATGCATGAACCTGGTCATGAGACCATTTCAATCCCTGCAGAAGCACCACTCATGTCCCCTTCCATCGGTCCCCTGCCCCATGGACAGTCACTGCTCTCATTTTTTTTTTTTTCTTTTCTCTTTTGAGGCAGCATCTCACTCTGTCACTCAGGCTGGAGTGCAGTGGCATGATCTTGGTTCACTGCAGCCTTGCGCCACCATGCCTGGCTAATTTTTGTATTTTTTGTAAAGATGGGGTTTCTTTTTTTTTTTTTTTTTTTTTTTTTGAGACAGTCTCACACTGTCACCCAGGCTGGAGTACACTGATGCAATCTCGGCTCACTGTAGCCTTCGCCTCCCAGGTTTAAGTGATTCTCCTGCCTCAGCCTCCCGAATAGCTGGGATTACAGGCACATGCCACCATGCCCAGCTAATTTTTGTGTTTTAAGTAGAGACGAGGTTTCACCATGTTTGTCAGGCTGGTCTTGAACTCCTGACCTCAGGTGATCCTCCTGCCTCAGCCTCCCAAAGTGCTGGGATTACAGGCATGAGCCACCGCACCTGGCCTCTTTTTTTTTTGAGACAAGTTTCGCTCTTGTTGCCCAGGCTGGAATCCAATGGCACAATCTCGGCTCGCCATAACCTCCACCTCCCAGGTTCAAGAGAGTCTCCTGCTTCAGCCTCTCAAGTAGCTGAGATTACAGGCATGCGCCACCACGCCCAGCTAATTTTGTATTTTCAGTAGAGACAGGGTTTCACCATTTAGGTCAGGCTGGTCTTGAGCTCCTGACCTCAGGTGATCTGCCCACCTCGGCCTCCCAAAGTGCTGAGATGACAGGTGTGAGGTACTGCACCCAGTTGATTTTCTAGATTTCCTACCACAACTGATTTCTAATTCAACTCCAATATGCTTAGAAAATATACTCTGATTTCAGTTCTTTTAAATTGATTACGATTTATTTCGGCCAGGCATGGTGACTCACACCTGTAATCCCAGCACTTTGGGAGGCCAAGGTCTTGAGGCCAGGAGTTTGAGACAAGCCTGGACATTGTGAGACCCTGTCTGTACAAAAAAAAAAAAAAAAAAAAGGGTCGGGTGCAGTGGCTTACGCCTGTAATCCCAGCAGTTTGGGAGGCCGAGGCGGGCAGATCACAAGGTCAGGAGGTCGAGACCATCCTGGCTAACACAGTAAAACCCCGTCTCTACTAAAAATACAAAACATTAGCCAGGCATGGTGGCAGGCACCTATAGTCCCAGCTGCTCAGGAGGCTGAGGCAGGAGAATGGCATGAATCCAGGAGGCAGAGCTTGCAGTGAGCCGAGATTGCACCACTGCAGTCCAGCCTGGGCTACAGAGCGAGACTCTGTCTAAAAAAAAACAAAAAACTTTTTTTTTAAAGGGTTTCACTTTGTCACCCAGGCTGGAGTACAGAGGTGTGACCTCGGCTCACTGCAGCCTCAAGTTCCCAGGCTCAAGCAATCCTCTTGCCTCAGCCCCCCAAGTAGCTGGGACTATGGGCATGTGCCACCATGCTTGGCTAATTTTTGTATTTTTCATAGAGAGAGGGTCTCACTGTGTTGCCAGGCTGATCTCAAACTCCTGAGCTCAAGCCATCCACCCACCTCAGCTTCCCAAAGTGCTGGGATTACAGGCATGAACCACTGTGCCCGGCCAAAATGTTTCCTTCATTAGCCGGATCACTGGAGCCCAGGGGTAGAGGTTGCAGCGAGCTGTGATCACGCCACTGTGCTCCAGCCTGGGCAACAGAATGAGACCCTGTCTCAAAAAAACAAAAAGATGTGTTTTATGATCATGTATATACTTTTCGTGGTGAATATTGCATATACACTTGAAAAGAGTTTTATTCAGTCATTGGTTTTCGTTTTCTGTAATGTCATTAGGTCAAGGTGGTTCATAGTGTGGTCCAAATCTTGTTTTTCTTCAACCTAAAGATGTACTTTCAGCTTTTCTTTTCATATAGGTCTGTTGGCCATGAATTCTCTGTTTTTGTCTGTAATGTCCCTCTTTCACCTTTATTTTTGAGGGACGTTTTTGAGTGACATGGAATTCTGGGTTGTCACTTACATATATATATTTTTTTGAGACAGAGTCTCGCTCTTGTTTTCCAGGCTGGAGTGCAGTGGCACAATCTCCGCTCACTGCAACCTCCATTTCCCAGGTTTAAGCAATTCTCCTGCCTCAGCCTCCTGAGTAGCTGGGACTATCGGCGTGCGCCACCACACCCAGCTAATTTTTGTATTTTTGGTAGAGACGGGGTTTCGCCATGTTGCTCAGGCTGGTGTTGAACTCCTGGGCTCAAGTGATCCACCCGCCTGGGCCTCCCAAAGTGCTGGGATTACAGGCATGAGCTAACACGCCGGCCTATTTATTTATTTATTATTTTTTGAGACAAAGTCTCACTCTGTCACCAGGCTGGAGTGCAGTGATGCCATCTCGGTTCGCTGCAACCTCCGACTCCCTGGTTCAAGCGATTCTCCTGCCTCAGCCTCCTGAGTAGCTGGAATTACAGGCACACACCACCATGCCCAGCTAATTTTTTGTATTTTTTTATTAGAGACAGGGTTTTGCCATGTTGGCCAGACCGGTCTTGAACACCTGACCGACCTCAGGTGATTCACCTGCCTCGGCCTCCCAAAGTGCTGGGATTATAGGCATGACCTACCTGGGTTGTCACTTTTTATCATTCACCAGTTTAAAGATGTCTTTCCATCATCTTCTGGCCAGCCTGCCTACCTGCCTTCCTTCCTTCCTTCCTTCCTTTCCTCTTTTCCTCCTTCCCTCCTTCCCTCCCTCCCTCCCTCTCTCCTTCCTTCCTTCCTTCCTCCCTCCCTCCCTCCATCCCTCCCTTCCTTCCTTCTTTTTTCTTTCTTTTTTGAGACAGGGTCACTGTCTGTCACCGAGGCTAAGAAGCAGTGTTGTGGTCACATCTCAATGCAGCCTTGAGTTCCTGGGCTCAGGTGATCTTCCCTTAGCCTCCAGAGTAGCTAGGACTACCGGCACTGGCCACTACTCCCGGCCAATTTTTAGCTGGGGTTTCACCATGATGCCCAGGCTGGCCGCAAACTCCTTGGCTCAAGCGATCCTCTTACCTCAGCCTTCTGAGTAGCTGGGACTACACATGTGTACCACCATGCCCAGCTATTTTTTTGTTTGTTTTGTATAGATGGGGTTTCACTATGTTTCTCAGGCTGGTCTTGAACTCCTGGACTCAAGCAACCCACCTTCCTTGGCCTCCTAAAGTACTGGGATTACCAGCATGAACCACTGCTCCTGGCTATAACTATTTCTTTTTTTCTTTTTTTTTTTTTTTTTTTTTTTTGGAGACAGAGTCTTGCTCTCCAGGCTAGAGTGCAGTGACACGATCTCAGCTCACTGCAAGCTCTACCTCCCAGGTTCAAGCGATCTCTTGCCTCAGCCTTCCAAGTAGATGGGACTACAAGTGTGCACCACCACACCTGGCTAATACTTTGTTGTTTTGTTTTGTTTTGAGACGGAGTCTTGCTCTGTCGCCCAGGGTTGGAGTGCAGTGGCACGATCTCAGCTCACTGCAACCTCTGCCTCCCGGGTTCAAGTGATTCTCCTGCCTCAGCCTCCCGAGTAGCTGGGACTACAGGTGCATGCCACCACTCCTGGCTAATTTTCTGTATTTTTGGTAGAGAGGAGGTTTCACCATGTTAGCCAGGATGTTCACAATCTCCTAACCTCGTGATCTGCCCGCCTGGGATTACAGGTGTGAGCCACCGTGCCCAGCCTCAGGATCTGCTTCTTTTGGCTACTTTTTCCCTTCATCATGGATCCTGTTATCCCTTCTTCACACGTCCAGTACTTCCTGATTGTGTGTTGGAATTTTAGTTTATATACTGTTTATATGGTAGAGTTTATATGGTAGAGACTCTGAATTTTGTTGGATTCTGTTGTCTTCCCCTGAAGAGTGTTGGGCTTTGTTCTCGCAGGCTGAATTCTTATGGATCACCCTGAAGAGGATCAGTGTTGATGCTGTTAGGGCAGGTCTGTCTGGCTTTTTCTTCTGCCTGACACATCCTTAGTCTTGGATCTGCGAAGCTGTGGTTTTCTGGATGTTCCTGGGAAGTCCGTGGTGTTTTTAAGCCTCTAACTTGTGAAGGTTCAAACT